>NC_000016.10:75471591-75774621 GCF_000001405.40 Homo sapiens | reverse complement strand
GTTGTATTATTTGTCAAATGCACATGTGAATTCTTGTTCTGTGAGTGGATTGCCAGTTCTGGGGAACATTGGCTTGTTAATTATTTCATGTATAATCCAAGCTATTTGTTATATATCTTTGTATTTGCTTTCCCTTTGTCCCTCATCTCTCCATTTAGAGTCATTTAGGGGAAATTTTCTTGCCGGGCAAATGAGTACATCCCAGGGTCAAAATGGGAAATGAAAGAGACTTAAAATACTTTTATTTCAGCTCTAGTGAGACTGAAAAGCAACTGACTCATGCAAAATTTGATAATTACATGTGGTTTCTTTATTTAACAGCTATCATTATGCCATTATGTATCAGACTATAATCTACTCAGAGTTTTCTTTCCTAATATTTGGAACTGATAAGTGAAAATGACAGCATTCCATGAGGAGGTATTTCACATTCTCCTTATTTCAGCAGAAGCATCTCTTCCATATTCTACAATTCCTTCAAGTTCTAATGAATTGTTTATGTATAGAGTGAAATAATATATTTTGTCCAATAATTGTATAGCTGATAATTTTATAAGTAGTAGTTTTTGTGAGTTGTTAACCCCCCACCATGGATGACAACAGCAGCAACAAAACTCTACGTACTCAGACATAAAATGTAGCCAAATTTTATTTAGAAACTTTTGCCTGGGCCTGGATTGGTGGCTCATGCCTGTAATTCCAACACTTTGGGAGGCCAAAGCAGGAGGATCACTTGAGGTCAGGAGTTCAAAACCAGCCTGGGCAACAAAGTGAGAACCCCATCTCTACCAAAAAAAAATAATAAATTTAATTTAATTTTTTAAAAATGTCTGGGTGTGGTGGCACACACCTGTAATCCCAGTACTTAGGAAGGCCAAGGTGGGACAATTGAGCTCAGGAGTTTGAGACCAGCCTGGACAACATAGCAAAACCCCATCTGTATGAAAAAAAACAAATGTTAGCTGGGCATGGTGGCATGTGCCAGTGGTTCCAGCTACTCAAGAGGCTGAGATGGGAGGATCACTTGAGCCCAGAAGGTCAAGGCTGTAGTCAGCCATGATAGGACCACTGCACTCCTCCAGCGTGGGCAACAGAATAAGACCCTGTCTCAGAAAAAAAAATTAAAAAGGAAGAAACTTTTGCATTTTAATAATTTTAGTGTTTAATTTATAATTCTTTTTAATTATCCATGACTTTTCAATGTAAAACAATATATTTTCATTATGCAATTATTTTTAATCTACTATAAATAATTAGAATAGGTTAAAGACAAAAATCTACTTAACATTAAAATACTAAAAATTTAAATATTGGAAGGTATTATAAAACTTGTGTAAAGTGCTCTAAAGCTTAAGAGTAATACACTTACAAACAAATAACTTGATAGTAGCAGCATGTAGATTTTCAGATACAAGATTTCTTTCTTTTTTATGGTTTCTCTCCTCTTTTTCAAGGATTATAATAACATATATGTTAGACCTTTCATTCTCTCTTTGGTCTTTTATCTTCCATTACTTTGCCTCTTCCTTTCTCTATTGGTATATTTCTTAGATTTATCCTCCAAATTGCTAATTTTCTCATTTCAGCTACATCTAATCTGTTGTTAAATTCATCCATTGAATTTTTAATATTCAGTTACTGCATATTTCAGTTCTAGACTTGGTATTCAATCCTTTTTATTGGATTGAATAAAAAATCCAATTACTGGAATAAAAATTCCAGTTCCTGTTTAAATGTTCTATTTGATCATTTAATTTCTTGAACATTTTACATTATTTGTAAAGTCTTTACATTGTTTGTTAAAGACTATTAAAGACTTTACATTATTTGTAGTCTTTGTCTAGCTGTGATCTTCAATATTCATCTCTCCAGTTTTGTGAAACTGGCAAATGTTCTGCTCGGATGCTGGCTACTGCTTTCTGCTCTGGTTTTCAGCTGAAATCTCCAGCTCCTGCTTTCTCTATCAGCAAATGCGTTGAAGATATAAGTTATGCCAAATATTGAGCTCAAATCCTAGGATTACCTTCTTTCTGGGAATTTGTTTCATCAAATCTTTACTGCTTTGGTAGCTCTGCTATCCCATCAAAAACTCATAGTTCTTCCTTCTTTTATAGTTGTTTTCAGTGGAAGGGCTGCTCCAACACTATATAGCCATGTTTCTTTCTTTCTTTCTTTCAGAAGAAGAAGAAGAGGAGGAGGAAGAAGAAGAGGAGGAGAAGGAGAAGAAGATAGTGACAAGGATAGCAAATGCAAACCTAAGAGACAAAGAAATTCAACTACTAGAAGGACCACAGGCAAAATTGTGATATGGGATTATCTTCCTCTAATGTCATTTTACTTCCCTTTTTTTCACCATTACTTACATCTGTCATTTTCTTTCTACTGGGACCCAATGTCTTGTACATTCTAACTTCTTGGAAGTCTAAATCAAACTAGGAATCAGGAAGAAGATGATCATAGACAGCAAAAAATTACACATATATTGCATTATTTTACTCATCAGGAAAAGGCCTGTGAAATAAGTATTTATGAAATCACAGGAAGAGCTGAAGTAGAAGGACATCTACAGGCTCTTCTTAGTAGTCATCAAAATATACCTGGTAAGCAGCTACCTACCTAGAGATAAGATACCTCCTACCTTACAGTTCACTGGGATTCTATTAGAATTTATTTTTCACTCTGCATTACCTTTTTTGGTAATCTACTATATATCAGTGATATAGAAATTAACTGTATTCTTTTTAACCCCAAGAGTTTTCTCTTTGACTCAAAAGATATATGGCCTCTTGTGGTCTCCAATCAAAGCTTCTATTGGATATTTTATTTAGTGTAAGATTTCTTTCTACATATTCCCATTAATGCTCCCATTCACTCTCCATTTCCTGATCAGCACCTTTTTTTAACCACTGGATAGTTTATGTAAGTAAGACAGTGTTCTACACTCTACAAAAATAAAGTTAATTGAAACTTTGTATATTTTAAACTTGTTTTACTTCCTTTGGAATCTAATACATAACCCATATTCTGGAGGATAATGAATCAATTTATTTTGATTTGGTTCTCTGGTTGCAGTAATAATGTAAATTCAGGGGGGAAATGTAAATAAAAATTGAAAGCAACAAAAACAAATTTTCTGAATTATAGTAAAAATGCAGAATTAAATATGTCTTAAATGTTTAAACATCTTAGTGTATCTCAGTTGGAAGAAAAACAACCTCTGTGAGAACAGAAAGAAGATGACTAAAGAGCAGTGTGGTCTGAGAAGGATTCTAAGGTTGTTTTTTATCTTTAAAAAGAGGGGTTGGCAAAATATGATCCTTGGGCCAAATCCAGTCTGTGACTTTTCTATACATAATGTTTTATTGAAACACAGCCATTTATTTATATACTTACAATGGCTATTTTTGTACTACAATGGCAGTGTTGAGTAGCTGTGACAAACACAATCTGAAGCACAATACCTAAAGCATTTACAATTGGTACCTTTCTAGGAAAGATTTGCAGACCCCTGCTGAAGAAAATCTTGATGGTGGTAACATCAGCAAAAATGGCAGAGCAGGGACCCTCAAAAATTCACCCTTCCATAAAAGCAATGAAAAAATTATTTAAATGGTCAGAATTACCTTTTTCAGATCTCCAGAAATGAATCAAAAGATTTTGTGTGACTGAAGTGGATGTAGAAATTTAAAAAAAAAAAAGAATTAAAAGCTTCCCATGACCTGGGGAGAGTTTACTCAAGAAAAATGGCTGGATGGCTGTAAGAAAAGTTAGCTTTGTGACATTTTAACTTTCCCTGGTCCCACCCCCCACTCTCTAGCTCAGAAAAAGCCTTGAAAAATACTCATCTGCATTGCTGGTGCTGCCTAGCAGTCATCAGTGGGACCAGAATAGAGATGAAGCTCTTTCAAAGTATAATTCCCAAAATATTATCTCTTTTTTTTTTTTATTGAGACACAGTCTT
The DNA here is from genome assembly GCF_000001405.40 of Homo sapiens. NCBI lineage: Eukaryota > Metazoa > Chordata > Mammalia > Primates > Hominidae > Homo > Homo sapiens. The sequence continues at coordinate 75,770,660 of NC_000016.10, read as the reverse complement.
GCTCTGTCGCCCAGGCTGGAGTGCAGTGGCACGATCTTGGCTCACTGCAAGGTCTGCCTCCCAGGTTCACGCCATTCTCCTGCCTCAGCCTCCCGAGCAACTGGGACTACAGATGCCTGCCAGCACACCCAGCCAGCTTTTTGTACCTTTAGTAGAGACAGGGTTTCACCATGTTAGCCAGGATGGTCTCGATCCCCTGACCTCGTGATCCACCTGCCTTGGCCTCCCAAAGTGCTGGGACCACAGGCATGAGCCACTGCACCCAGCCAATATTATCATTTCTTATTTGTCTGGTGGTTCTCTTGAAAAACTCATTAAGAGGCTGCCTTGGAGCTCACTCACTTCAGAGGATTTCTGTCAGGTGATGTTATTTTTGGAGACAATTACAGGCAAGTGTTTTAACTTTGTGGCTGCCTGAGGAGATTAACAACAGCTGAGGCAAACAAAGGACTAACCAAAAACCTTGAAAATAAAATAGAAGTTTGAAAATAAGATGTCTAGAAGGACATCAGAAGGCTCTGACAAAATCTCAGGGATCTAAATGACCATGTGTACTCCCAGGATAGTACACAAGCTCAGGGAAGACCTGGAAAGGCCCTCAGCTCTCATCTCTGCTTACCTTGAGGATCTATGTAGGCAGTAAGAAAAGGCTTAGATGGAGTTACAAGCTGCCTAAGTTTTGAGGACATGACCCAACATGCACAGAGAGCCCTTCAGCAAATGAAAGATTTATTGATTCCAGACCTCTAAGGAAACCTGTCTAATTACTAGCTAACCACTAAGCTAACTGAGTAGTGGCATCAATGCCCATACATGACAAAGAATACAAACTTTACTGAATTGCCTTAGAAATGTAAGTAAGAGCCGGGCGCGGTGGCTCATGCCTGTAATCCCAGCACTTTGGGAGGCCGAGGTGGGTGGATCACAATGTCATGAGATCGAGACCTTCCTGGCTAACATGGTGAAACCCTGTCTCTACTAAAAATACAAAAAAATTAGCTGGGCATGGTGGTGGGCACCTGTAGTCCCAGCTACTCAGGAGGCTGAGGCAGGAGAATGGCGTGAACCCGGGAGGCGGAGCTTGCAGTGAGCCAAGATCGCACCACCGCACTCCAGCCTGGGCAACAGAGCAAGACTCTGTCTCAAAAAAAAAAGAAACGTAAGTACGCAAACAGGTAACAATAACCAATAAGCAACAATAAAAACAAGCCATGGACATGTAGGAAAATCTGATTTCCAAACTTGCCACATAATACCTATTAAAATGTCCAGGTTTCAATAATGTAAAAAATTATAAGTCATGCAAAGAAATAAAGTACTGCCAACACACATACATAAAAATAAACAATCAATAGAATTTGTCCTAAAGGAAGCCCAGATATTGGACTTACTAGAAAAGACTTTAAATCATTTAGTCTAAATATGCCCAAAGACCAAAAGGAGAGTGTGCCTAAAGAAGTATGAGAACAATGTCTAACCAAACAGAAAACATCAATAAAGAGATGGAAATTATAAAATTCAACTTTAAAATAAAAGTTATAAAATTGAAAAGCTTAATAACAGAAAAGAAAAATTCACTACAGGTTCTCAGTAACAGATATGAAAAGACATAAAAAATCAACAAATTTCAAAATTGGTCAATTGAAATTATCCAGTCTGAGGAACAGAAAAGAAAAAGAACAAAGAAAAATGAACAGAGTTTCAGAGACCTGTGGGAAATTACTGAAAGTACCAATATATATGTAATGGGAGACCCAGAAGGAGAGGAGAGAAATGTCAAGAACCAATATTTGAAGAAATAATGCTTGTAAACTTCCCAAATTTGTTGAAAAATATTGGTTTGCACACATGAACTTCAAGTGTAATAAACTAAAAAGATTCATACCTCAATACAACATAATCAACCTCTTAAAGAATGAAGATGAAAAAACTTGGTATCAGCAAGTAAGACATGATTCATATACAATGGCTTCTCAGTAATATTAATAGCTGTTTCCCATTAGAAATCAAGGAAAAGAGAACATAAGACAATAGGATGACATATTCAAAGCAGTGAAAGTAAAAGACTGTCAATCAAGGAGTCTATATAGAGCAATACTATACTCCAAAATTGAAGGGGAAATTAAGACATCTCCAGATTTTTTTTAAAAAACCAAGAGAATTCATTGCTAGCACAGCTGTCCTGCAAGAAATACTAAAGGAGTTCTTTTAGGCCTAGATGAAAGTTATTTGGCAGTAATTCAAACCCAAATGAAGAAATAAAGAGTACTGGTAAATGTTAACTATATGGTTAAATATAAAAGACAGCATAAATGATTTTTGTTTATAGTTATTTTCTTTTCTTCTATCTGATTTAAAAGACAACTACATAAACCAGTAATTATAAGTCTATGTTGATGGGTACACAAGCAATAAAGATCTAATTTGTAAAAATAACAGCATAAAGAAGGCAGGTAGGCTGGGCATGGTAGCTCATGCCTGTAATCTCAGCACTTTGGGAGACTGAAGCAGGAGGATCACTTGAGCCCAGGAATTCAAGACCAGCCTGGGCAATACAGCAAGACCCCATCTCTTAAAAACATATATAAGAATAAATTGTAAAAAGAAAAGGAAGAAAACAGAGTTACATTGGAGCAAACTTTTGTATACTACTAAAATTAAGTTGGTATTATATTGACTAGATTGTTATAAATTAAAATATTGGGCTGGGCATGGTGGCTCATCCCTGTAATCCCAGCACTTTGGGAGGCCGAGGCAGGAGGGTCACTTGAGGCAAGGAGTTTGAGACCAGCCTGGGCAACACAGGGAGACCTCGTCTCTACAAAAATTTTTGAAAATTAGCTAGCCATGGTGGCGTATGCCTATAGTCCCATCTACTTGCAGCAGAAGTGGGAAGATCACTGAGCCCAGGAGCCTGAGGTTGCAATGAGCCATGATCCTGCCACTGCACTCCAGCCTCATTGACAGAGCAAGACACTGTCTCTTTAAAACTTTAAAATATTAATTATAATACCATGGGCAACCACTAATAAAATAACTAAAATTATATATTTTAAGAGAAATGAAAGGTAATTAAAATGTTACACTATAAAATATCTATTTAACACAAAAGCATTCAAGAATCAAGGAATTGAGGAATACAATGGACATAATACATATAGAAAACAAATAGCACAATAGCAAAAAATAATTCTATCTTATCAGTAATTATATTAAAGTAAGTGGATCAAACTGTCAAACTAGAAGGAAGAGATTTGGAGAATGGATTTTTTTAAACACAGCACAATTATATGCTATTTACAATAGACACTTAAGATTTAAAGACACAAATAAATGGAACATAAAAGGATGGAAAAGATACACCAGCAATAACCAGAAGAGCTGGAGTAGCTATATTAATGCCAGGCAAAATTGACAAAATATTTTAAGATAAAAATTATTATTAGGGCAAAGAAGGATATTTTATAATTATAAAAGTGTCAGTTAATCAAGAAGATATAAAAATAATTAAAGTGTATGTACCTAACAACACAGCCCCAAAATGCATGAAGCAAAAATACACCGAATTAAAGGAAGAGACTATTCAAACTTAATAGTTGGACGCTTCAATAAAAAGGAGAATAGAAAAACAATCTGCCAGGGTCATGATAGTGCCAGCTCTCAAATCTGGGTCTAGGGTAAAAGAGAAATAAAACTAAAACCTGTCCGAAAAAAATTCAATCACAGTGAACCTGACTGGGAAAGGAGTAGAAGAGAGGGAAGAGCCAGTATCCAGGCAGCTGGGGAACCCAAAACAATTCCCCTTAGGGCTACTCCCTCCCTGGTATCTCCTGATGTCTGACCTGACCCTCCCCTCCATTAAGAATAGATGTCACTTTCCTCCGTTCTCCTCCACTCTCCTCCACTCACTGCTACTTCTCCCACTCCACATCAACAAACTGAGTCCCAAAAGCTTCTTAAATATCAGCCCTATGGCGCTCAGAGCTCGGAAATGCTGAAAGTCCTTCAGTACCAGATGCCAACTTAGAGAGGACAAAGGAGTAGGAAAGACTGAGCAGTGACCCCTACATCCATGTGCCACTATCCTATAGCACATTTGAGACTATTCTGAAGAGCAAGTTAAACTCACATAAAATAGAAATTTTTATCCTAAAAAATATTTCATATGAAACATTTATGGAACTGAAAAAGTACTATACTTCAATCTGGAGCAAAATGACTTTGGCTCTCACTCTGAAAATAAATGTTTAAATCATACTTGATGGAACAAAGTCAGCTGAAACTATGCACATTGGATTCACCAGGAGACATGTGTACACAGTGGGCTGCCTCTCCTACATAAAAAGGTCTTCATGGATATACAATGGGTCCTCATGAAACTGATTTTGCCACAGATTTTGGGGAACTGAGAGCTTTTTTCTTCCTCCAGGAGGGCACAACTTCCTTCTATTTTCCAGTTTTTGTGCTCTACCTCTTTAATTTTACTTAAAAAGAATGACCCTGAAAAACACATTAGTAATTACTAGATGCCAGAAAATGATCCTTCTAGCATAAAATTGGAACATGGAACTATTTTATCAGTGTTAACTAGACCTGAATTATCAAATTTCAAACAATATTATAATACCAAAAGCTGATTTTAGATTATATTACAGCTCATTTCATAGAGCACCAAGGAAGTGGAAGAAAATATAAATGTGCTTCTTAACCTGTGTGACAAACCTACCTCAATGATTCAAGTGAAAGTTGTGGATTCACATGTTCGAGGCACATAAAAAAATAATCTTGTATGTTTTAATATCTAACTCAAGGACTATCATCCAGCATCTCTCATGCTGTGCTCATTCACACACTACAGAAAGGTAACTCCTCTTTGGCAGAGCTATGAAGTATATCTAAATTAAACAGGCTAATCAAGTGACTGGATTATGTGTAAACCTCCTCAAATAAAATAGTATAAAAAAATATATCATGGTAGAGTTTATTATTGTCACATTATCATAGTAACCACTAGGAATTTAGTCAGTTAAAAATATGTCAAAACCCAGCCTACAAAATGGGAAAAAATATTTGCAAACTATGCATCCGACAAAGGTCTAATATCCAGCATCTATAAGGAACTTAAACAAATTTACAAGAAAAATACCCCATTAAAAAGTGGGCAATGAACATAAACAGACACTTTTCAAAAGAGGACTTACTGCAGCCAACAAGCATATGAAAAAATGCTCCACATCACTAATCATTAGAGAAATGGCAATCAAAACCACAATGAGATACCATCTCACACCAGTTGAAAGGGCTTTTAATAAAAAGTCAAAAAATAACAGATGCTGGCAAGGTTGCAGAGAAAGGGGAATGCTGATACACTGCTGGTGGGAATGTAAATTAATTCAGCCATTGTGCAAAGCAATGTGGTGATTCCCCAAGGAATTTAAAAGAGAATTACCAATTGACCCAACAACCCCATTATTGAGTACATACCCAAAGAAATAGAAATCATTCTACCATAAAGACACATGCACACGTATGTTTATCGCAACACTATTCGCAATAGCAAAGACATGGAATCAACCTAAATGCCAATCAACAGTACACTGGATAAAGAAAATGTGGTACATATACACCATGGGATACCACACATTCATAAAAAAGAACAAGATCACATCCTTTGCAGCAACAAGGATGGAGCTGGAGGCCATCATCCTAAACAAACTAATACAGGAACAGAAAACCAAATGCCACATGTTCTCACTTACAAGTGAGAATTAACCAAGGAGAACACATGGGCACAAAGTGGGGAACAACAGACACATGGGCCTACTTGAGGGTGGAGGGTGGAAGGAAGGAGAGGATCAAAACACTACCCATCGGATATTATGCTTATTACTTGGGTGATGAAATAATCTGTACCCCAAACCCCCATGACACGCAGTTTACCTATATAACAAGCCTGCACATGTGCCCCGAGCCTAAAATAAAAGTTTTTTTAAGTCAAAACCATCTTCATTCTTTGTCTTCTTTACAAAAATATATCTGAAAAAATACATCCTGTGAAGTAGTGCTCTAAAGTTGTCGGAGATATTGATTTATTACTTCCTTTACTAAAATAATACCTTATATTTACTTAATTAAAATATATAAAACCTCCATAACTGGCATTTACGTTCAGAGAAATCGCTCTAAATAAAACATCTGCCAGGAACTAAAAGCATTTTAAAGTGGCTTGGCACTAACACTGTCATTATCATCACTATTACAAGGGACAGTGTCAGATTACATGTATGGCCACGAGGAGGTGCTAATACCCTGTGGCTTCATCACCAAAAAGAAAGTCATCAGAGCTGCAAAACCTGGGCCTGTTATTGCAGAGTCTGGTAAAAACAAAAACCCCACAGAGAGCAGAGTAACCTGCTGGCCTCTCACAGGGGACCGAGTGAAGGATGCTCTACAATCCAGGGAAAGGGGTGATAAGCCAGGGGAAAGCTGGCCTGCCTACCTGTTCTTCTCACAGAGGTGCCTCTTTAAAAATACATCTGATGAAATACTGTAATTTCTAAATGTTTGGACATTGTTATAATTATCAAATTAATCATTGATACAGTAGTCATTCCAATTTAGCTTCTTGTCCATCACTACAATTCTGAAGAATAAAATGTCTGCCCAGAAATAAGAATGTGGAGTCAGAAGAGGCTTTATTACTAGAAATATGAAATCAAAATGAAATTGCAGAGCTGTTCCAAAACAAAAATGTAAAGGCCCTTTCACTTACTGGCCCTTTCTATTGAAAACAAGAAGGAATTTAAGAGTAGTGTTATTGTTGTTAACGTTTTCACTGTGAGACAATTTGAGGGATTTACTTTGTTATCATACATTTGACATCGTCTCAACTCCTGTTCCAATCACAGAAATGCCTCCAAATAAAATACCTGCCAGTAATTAAAAACACATTATTATATAATTATCATTATTCCTTCAAAGGGGGTGGGAGGAGTTATTAGTGCAGTCCTTGTGATTTTTCTCTAAGTTTGAAACTATTTCAAAATAAACTTCTTTAAATTGCATATCCCTTTCTTGAAATACAGTTAAATGAAAAGCCTACCAATAGTTAAACCTTTAATGTTATGAGGGATAATATTATCATTACTAGTAAATAGGGTTAACCCCAAACAATGGAAACTGGTTTGTTTCTAGGCAGAATGCTGGATCCCAGCAACCAGGGAGGAAACAGGTCATTTGTCTGCAGTCGCCATTCTGTGAAATCCACTCGGTAGCAACAGTCAATGGATCTCCCAGTGGAATTGCTTATCACCTAGCAATGTATTGGTTGTAAATAATCCAGTCACAAATGTATTCTCTTCAATTTACATATACTTGTGGCTCTAACAAAGAGAAGTCATCATTCTCTAGTGTGCAAATGAACACAGCAAGAAGCACGATTGGATGAGTTTGTTTTTCTTTCTAAGCTGGGGCATGTGAATCCACACATTATCACATGAAACAGTGATATGCATTAAACAGAAATTTAAAAACACATTTATATGTTTATTCTTCCCGGGTTCTCCATGAAATAAGCAGTAATTGAATCCTGATATCTGCTTTTCATATATGTTTTTAAAGTGATAATTCAGATTTAATAGCACCAATAACAAAACAGTGCCATGTTCCAGTTTTACGCTAGAGGGATCATCCACCAGCATTTATTAATTACTAATGTCTTTTCTTGACATTCTTCTCTTCAAGTAAAATTACAGAACTACAGAAGAAAACCTGAGAATTGGAGCAAGTGTTCTCTTGGAGAACAAAGCCCTCAGATCCTACAAAATTAGTTTTATGAAGATATACAGTAACTGTCTTGGTCTTTTTTTTCTGTTGTTTATAAGAGAATTCCTGAAACTGGGTAATTTATAAAGAGAAGAAACTTATTTCTTACAGTTGTGGAGCTGAGGAATCCAAGGTCAAGGGGCCACATCTGGTGAGATCCTTCCTGCAGGTGAGGACTGTCTGAAAAGTCCTGAGGCAAGGCAGGGCCTCACCTGGCGAGGCAGTCGTCTGTGCTAGCTCAGGTGTCTCTTGCCCCTTTTTTTATTTTTATTTTTTTATTTTTTTTTTGAGACGGAGTCCCGCTCTGTCTCCCAGGCTGGAGTGCAGTGGCACGATCCCGGCTCTCTGCAAGCTCCGCCTCCCGGGTTCACGCCATTCTCCTGCCTCAGCCTCCTGAGTAGCTGGGACCACAGGCGCCCGCCACCATGCCCGGCTAATTTTTTGTATTTTTAGTTCAGGCAGGGTTTCGCCATGTTAGCCAGGATGGTCTCGATCTCCTGACGTCGTGATCCGCCTGCCTCGGCCTCCCAAAGTGCTGGGATTACAGGCGTGAGCCACCGCGCCCAGCCGTCTCTTGCCCTTCTTATAAGCCACCTGTCCCACTTCCATGATAGCCTATTCATCTGTTAATCCATGAATGGATAATTCATTCAAGAGGGCAGACCCCTCATGATCCAATCACTTCTTAAAGGGCCCACTTCTCAATACTGCCACATTGGGGATTTAGTTTCAACATCAGTTTTGGAAGGGACATCCGAAACACAGCAGTAACCAATGAGAAAATTTGCTGCTAGGAGAGGCAGCCCCCGTGTACTGGGGAGAGTGACTCACTTATTCAACCTGCATGTCAAATGAATGTGATCGCAAACATTCACACACACACACACACACACACACACACACACACACACACACACGTACATACAGTCCCATTGGATCCAATAGTACACTGTCATCTTACCGTTTCATCATGAATGGTTTAAACATTTATTTTCAGGGTAAAAGTTAAAATTGTCCTAAATCATCTACTTTTTTAGTACAGTGAACGTTTCATGCAAATTGTTTTTATGACGGAAATTTCTGTTTCACATCAGTTTCATTTCCTGTTTGGTATGTTCTCAAATGTGCCATAGCACATGAATGTGGGGTCACTGCTCAGCCTTTCCTACCTACTCACCCTCGCCAAGGTGGCATCTGGTAGTGAGGGAGGCTCAGCACTTTCCAGTCTCAAACCCTGGGACTCAAGCAGTTTCTGGGAATGATACGATGTATTCCTTTCTTAAGGCGGCTGCAACAAAGCACCCTAAACTGGGTGGCTTAAAACAACAGGAATTTATTCTCTCAGAGTGGTAGGGGCTGGAAGTCTGAATCAAGATGCCAGCAGGGCCAGGCTCCCTCCTCGCTTGCTGTCACCAGCAGCCCTTGGTGTTCTTGGCTTGCAGCTGCATAACTCCTGTCTTTAACTCCATCATCACGCGGTATTTCCCCCTCCTGTGTCTCCGCCACGTCATTTCCCTGCTTCTTGTAAGAACGCCAGTTACATCGGATGAGGACCCATCTTAATGACCTAACAATGTTGTCACAAATTTTAAAAGTTGAAAACTCCCAGGCAGTGACTAATGGGCAAACAGCCAAAGCTGAAGAATTTAGAGAGGAGAAAACAGTAGGAGGAATAATATATGATAGAGTGTTAACTGGATTGCTTCTGGCCAAAAGTAGAGATAAAGGGTCAGGCATGGTGATTTGCACCTCTAGTCCAAGCACTTTAGGAGGCTGAGGTGAGAGGATTGCTTGAGCCCAAGAATTCGAGACCAGCCTGGGCAACATGGCTAAACCCTGTCTCTACCAAAAATACAAAACATTAGCCCGATGCGGTGGCACATTCCTGTAGTTCCAGCTTCTCGGGAGGCTGAGGTGGGAGAATTGCTTGAGCCTGGGAAATTGAGGCTGCAGAGAGCTGTGATCGTGCCACAGCACTGCATTCTGGGTGATGGGAATGAGATCCTGCCAAAAAAAAAAAGATAAGGCATTATTTTCTGAGATCAGCAAAGATAGTTTCTTCTACATTTATGCCCGTCCTAGGAAGGACATAGGATGAGTACAGAGTTCACAGGATTTCACAGATAATAAGGAAAAAGATACGACCTTGGAGTGGCAGTAACAAACAATGAGTTTTATTCGGACAGTGCTTTAGCAGGATCACAGGTGAGGAGAAGTCCCTCACAGCATGAGACCTTCCAGAGTTGAGGGCACAGAGCCAGAAAAGAAAGAGGACAAGAGTACTCTGGCAGAGAGCAGGCAGACAGGAAGGGAGGAAAGAGGGAGGGAGGGAGGGTAGGAACGAAAGAAGGAAGGAAAGAAGGAAGGAAGGAACGAAGGAGGGAAGGAAGGAAGGGAGGGAGGGAGGGAGGAGGTAGGGGAGAGAGGGAATGAAAGGAAAAATGGAAGGAAAGGAAGAGAGGAAGGAGGGAGGGAGGGAAGAAAAGAAGGAAGGAAGGAGGGAGGGAGGGATGGAAGGAGGAAGGGAAAAGAAAGGAAGAATGGAAGGAAAGAGGGAAAGAAAGAAGGGAGGGAAGGGAAAGGAAGGGAAGGGAAGGGAAGGCAAGGGAGGGGAAGGGAAGGCAATGCAACAGCTCCAGTGGAAAATTCAAGTCCTCCTTCAACTGCATCCAAAAATAATAATTTTTACTAGATACCTGATGTAGAGAAGGCATACCCTGCCCAGATACAGGAGAATCTCCCAAAAGTGGATGACAAGATCAGCCATGACTGTGAAGAGATGGACACCTACAAAATACAAACCAAAATGCTTTCAGAAAAATTTGAAAGAATCACAGGTTATTATCAAAGCAGCTTATTTCCCATGACAGAAAATCCCATGACAATGAGTTGAGAGCTCTGTTGGCTAAGACACATCTTTGTATCTTAAGAAAAGGAAATGCGGGCCAGACACTGTGGCTCACGCCTGTAATCCCAGCACTTTGGGAGGCCGAGGTGGGTGGATCGCAAGGTCAGGAGTTCAAGACCAGCCTGGCCAGCATGGTGAAACCCCTTCTCTACTAAAAATACAAAAATAAAAATAAAAAACTAGCCAGGCATGGTGGCACATGCCTGTAGTTCCAGCTTCTTGGGAGGCTGAGGCAGGAGAATTGTTTGAACCTGGCAGGCAGAGGTTGTAGTGAGCCGAGATTGTGCCACTGCACTCCAGCCTGGGTGACAGAGCGAGACTCCACCTCAAAAAAAAAAAAAAAAAAAAAAAAAAGAAAAGAAAAGAAAAGGAAATGCAACTTGTTGACTAGGTAGTGTGAAGATAAAATAAAAAAGAAAACGCATATCTGACACCAAAAAAAAATGAAGAAAATGTAAGGTTTTCAAAAATATACTTATGTCCCTGGTGTTGCAAATGGGGTATTTGGCAGAAGGACCACCAGGGCATCCTCCGGATGTCCACATCCCCAAAGAAAGAGGAGCACCTTCTACCATAAAAAAGAATAAGATCCCATCATTTGCAACAATATGGATGGAACCAGAGGTCGTCATGGTAAGTGAAATAAGCCAGGCACAGAAAGACAAACATTGCATGTTCTCACTTAATGTGGAATCTAAAAATCAAAATAATTGAACTCATGGACACAGAAAGTAGAAAGATGGTTACCAGAAGCTGCGAAGCTAGTGGGGAGTTGAGGGGAGGTGGCGAAGGTTAATGGTTACAAAAAAAATAGAATTAATAAGGCTTACTTTTGATTGGGTGACTATACTAAATAACAACTTAATTGTACATTTTAAAGTAAAGAGTGCAATTATATTGTTTATAACTCAAAAGATAAATGCTTGAGGGGATGGATACCCCATTCTCCATGATGTGCTTATTTCACATTGCATGTTTTTATCAAAACATCTCATGTATCCCATAAATTTATACAACTATTATGTACTCACAAAAAAATTTATAAAATAAATTAAAAATTAAAAAGTATTTTAAAGAGGAACACCAAGCTGTGACTCATGGGAGACCCAGCATTCCTCCCAAGGTCAGGATCCCAGGAGAAAGAGGCCTCCCTCAGGTCAACTCCACCCTGACTCAACAGATCCTTCACAAGGTCCACAAAGAGCATGACCTGATGCTCCTGGTGCTGGCTGCCACAGCTCAGGACCTTCCTTCTATTCAACATGACCACTAGACCACAGTTCCACTGGTCCAGGCCCTGGTCCTCCACCTCCTCCCCTTGTCAGACCTCAGATGTTTAGAGAGTCTTAAAGGGACAGGTCCTAAGAAAAGAAACCTCTGCTCTTCCCCTGTTCCAGAAATCCAGGACACAATTGCCTAGGAATCCTTTTCACCAGGGAGCTTCCCTGGCTGGACACATCCTCCCCATTCTCCTCTGGCCACAAGAAATGTTGGACACCAAGCACTGTCCACTCAGCCTGAAAACGAAAGTGAGTCACCCCTGGATAGATCCCACCTCCCACTGAGCATGCTACTACACAACCACAACCACAAGAGCCCTTTTCCTCTGCTCTACAATAATTTTCATATTTTCTATTTTAGTTTTATTGCCAGTGAGTGATTATATCATGTATAAGATGAAAAAAGACAGGATTCTGCTTCATAATGTGCTCTGCCTGTAGATTATTTCAATAACAACACTAATAAATTAATTACTTCCATTTTATTCTATTTGTAAGTAGCATAATTACAGTTTTATGTTGTTTTTAGCAAAGCCTCTAAAATAATTCAGGAAAACAGCAACTATTTTATTCCAACTTACTTTTTAAATAATTTTATTTGTTTCTCTATTGGTTTTATTGCCATAATTTAATGTATTAATAATTACACATCTCGAAAGAAGACCTGATAGGATTACAATGTTTAGGATTGCAGTTTTAAAATGTGCATGATGTAAATGCAAATTATATTTAACCCTGAGAGCACAAGCTTCCTTCTCACCCCAAACTCCCTTGGGGTGTCCACCGGGAAGCCACCTTAACCTTGACTCTGAAGGGTGTCTCAAGTGGGTTTACAGGTCAAAGCCAACACTCTTCAGTGAGGACCAGCCCCAGACAAAATTATGTGAACACTTTTCGAGGATCCCTGATTCTCTTCCCTGTTCTGTGTCCTCTCTGCCCCATCACAAGCCTGGACTGAGAGTTGGAAGGACCACAAAGGCTAAGTAATCAACCCTTTCCCTATCTCCTCCCTGAACTGTCTCACCTTTACGACTGTGAGGCCAATGTCAGCATTTAAAAACCATAAATAAGACCATGGGCCATGCTGCTCAAAGCCCTCCAGTGCCTACAACTTACACTGAGACTCAAATCTATGCTCTCCTGGCCCATGAGGTTGTCCATGCCCTGGTCCTTGCAGGTGTATACCTACCCAAGCACCTCCTGTGACTCCACTGACCACGATTTTGTCCAGTTAGCATGGCAGGCTCACTAAGTCTCAGAATTTTGCACTGGGCATTTCCTCTGCCGAGAATACCTTTACACCACATATGTGGTGGCTGCCTCCTTCATTTAGATACCAACTCTAATCACGTCTTCTTAAAGTGCCCTTTCCTGACCACTGTAGCTTAGTGATGGTGCTTCCTCATCCCTCTCTGATATGGTTAGGCTCTGTGATCCCACCCAAATCTCATCTTGAATCCCCCTTGTAATCCCCATAACCCCATGTGTTAAGAGAGAGACCAGGTGGAGGTCATTGATTCATGGGTGCAGTTTCCCCCATACTGTTCTCATGATAGTAAGTGAGTTCTCACGAGATCCGATGGTTTTATAAGTGGTAGTTCTTCCTGTATTCACTATCCCTCCTGCCACCTTGTGAAGAAGGTGCCTTGCTTCCCGTTCACCTTCCACCATGATTGTAAGCTTCCTGAGGCCTCCCCAGCCATGCAGAACTCAGAGTCAATTAAACCTCTTTCTTTTATAAATTACTCAGTCTTGAGCAGTTCTTTATAGCAGTATGAGAACGAACTAACACATTTTCTATTCCTTTGGTCCGATTTATTACCTCATAGCACTCATCCTTTCTGAATCATCATATTTCTGTGTTTATTCCTTGTGTATTTTCTGCATCATCCTCTGCACCATATGGGCTGGTGTGGCAGAGAGATTATCTTACTCCCTCTGGGTAGCACAAGACAGCCACTCATTAATGCAGTTTATATAGAAGGCAGGGGAAGCTCAAGTTTGTGGGAAAAGAGGAAAGAGGTGTTAAGGAAAAAGACATGGTAGGATAGCCACTGGCCTCCTGCACCACAGTGTTGAGCAGGGAAGACCTTTGGTGCTTTTGTGTTAATGGAAAAGCTACTGGTCCTCAGAGGCTGAGATTATTTCACTGACTTGGATTGTCCTTAACAATACAAAGGACCTGCAAGTGCTTAACAATCAGCTCTTCCCTGGGTGTCATCGATAATATTCCTTAGGCCCACAACTCACAAAACACAGGATTCCTCTCCCCATCCCATTTATAAAACTGGACTCGGGGTTGGAAAAGACCTCAGACACCAAGCTGCCAGCCTTCCTGTGTTGCCCCCTCTGATATGGTTTGGCTCTGTGTCCCCACCCAGATCTCATCTCAAATTGTAATCCCCATGTGTTGAGGGAGGTAAGTGATTGGATTATAGGGGCAGTTTTCCCCATGCTGTTCTTGTGATAGTGAATAGATTCTCACTAGATCCAATGGTTTTATAAATGGTAGTTTTTCCTACACTCATACATACTCTCTCTCACCTGCTACCATGTAAGAAGTGCCTGCTTCCCCTTCCACCATGATTGTAAGTTTCCTGAGAACTTCCCAGACCCAGACATGCAGAACTGTAAGTCAATTAAACCTCTTTCCTTTATGAATTACCCAGTCTCAGGTATGTCTTTATAGCAGCATAAGAACAGACTAATATACCCTTCTTCCTTCTGGATGACACCACCCAGTCAATCCACTAACAGATGGGTCTGATGACCATGGACTGACTAGAACTCTGGCTTCCTTCAGGGCAGGGCCAAGATAGTTGGCCCAGAGGCACAGACCAGAGTGTAGGCCCAATTTCCCATGACTGACCCTATGAAACTGAGTTATGTTACCACTGCTGCATAGCAGGGCTGCCGTGAGACTTAAACACAGTATTGGGTTTTCCAGGTGCCTTCAATTCAGATTCTGCAGCTGGAAGTGAGCCAGACTTTCAAGAATCTGAGAGTTTCCAGGCAGAGACTCTCGCTCCTTCCTGTTCCCTCTCCTCATCAAGTGACACACTTGTCCCACTAGTATCAGTCAGGGTTTATTTTTCCCCATCCCGAACTATCTCCCCACCCCATCTCACCTACATAACCATGCATCCAGCATAATTTTTCAATAAAATACATGAGATCATGAGACCACGGTTCTCAAAGCCCTCCCGTGTCTCCAACTTGACTGAAACTCAAATCTGTGCTCCTAACTCTCCTCAACGATACCTTACATGCCCTAGTTCTTGAGTGTGTCTGCCCAAACCCATCCTATCTGACCACTGACCTTACCTCTGTTTCCCTAACATACCAAACTCCCTTTCATCTAAGGACCCTGCACTATTTCCTCTGCCAAGAACACCTTTCCCAGATAGGCGAGTGGCTGCCTCTTTCATTTAGACACGAGCTCTGCTCCTATTTTCTGAAGTGCCCTTTCCTGGCCACCACAGACTAGTGATGTGCTTACTGTATCCCTCTTTACCTTCACCCTATTTATGGCCTCGTAGTGCTCATCCTCTCTAAAATCATTTTGTTTCCATGGTTTTCCCTCATGTATTGTCTGCATTGCCCGCTCAACTGTAAAGGTTGTTAAGGCAGAAGGTTTATCTCAGTCACCACTGAGTCCTCTCTCCTGCCTTGCACATGGGAGGCACTCATTAAGGCTTTGGGAAAGTGAGCAAGAAATGGACAAGTGAATCCAGTGAGAAGACCTCTGAGATCTCAGACCTGCCCACACATCAGAGTAAGGCTGTTCAGGGCCTCCCAGGGCAGGACCCATAGACCTGGGGGTACCTCCTTGGCACCTACCTAGGCTCCCAACTGCCTGAACATTCCTTGAGACACTCTGGCTTTTTCCTAGAGTCTGTACCACCCTCATATGTGGGTTTCTCACTGGCTCCTTTGTGTCCAGCCCCTGCCAGTGAGTCTCAAGATTCTATGTCAGTGGGGATCATGGGGATGAATGGTAAGGCCAGTTGCAGGTAAAAGAGGAAGAAGATGCTTAAAAAAAGATAGATGGTTGGGTAGCAAATCGCTTGCTGAACCACAGTTGAGCAGCAAAGAGCTTAAGGGTTTTTGTGTTTAAGAAAAGGCCTCTGAACCCCAGGGATCGAGGCCATTTGACTGGTTTGGGTAATTCCTAGTGACGAGGCCGCCATGCAGAGGCATTTATCAGCTCTTGCCTGATTGTGTTTGCAAATATTTGTGAGGCACCCAATGCCTGAAGCACAGAGTGTCATATAAACTTACGCAATGTTTTGTTTATCCCAGTTAACTTCCCATATGGTTAATCTCTACTACAGGAATTACATTCAAACATGAGGAAGCTGGCTTTCAAACAAGCTCTGAATCACACAACTTGGAGAAGTGGTTGACAGCTCAGGTGCGGAGCCAGATGCCTGGGAACTAGTCTCATTCTGCACCTTACCTGCTGTGTACCTTGGACCTGTTACCTAATTAACATTTGGGTTCCTTGACTTTCTCATCTCTAAAATAAATGAAAGTCGTACAGGCTAAATGAAATGAATTCATTTTAAACTCTTAGCACATGTTAAACCCTGTGTGATTTGCTGTTTTTAGCATCATATTCTTTTTTATTGATTGATTGATATGGAGTTTCGCTCTTGTTGCCCAGGTGAGAGTGCAATGCCGCAATCTCGGCTCACTGCAACCTTTGGCTCACTGCAACCTCCGCCTCCTGGGTTCAAGTGATTCTCCTGCCTCAGCCTCCCAAGTAGCTGGAATTACAGGCATGCACCACCACAGCTGGCTAATTTTGTATTTTTTAGTGGAGACGGGGTTTCTCCAGGTTGGTCAGGCTGGTCTTGAACTCCCGACCTCAGGTGATCCTTCCACCTCGGCCTCCCAAAGTGCTGGGATTACAGGCATGAGCCACCACGCCCAGCCAGCATCATATTCTAAGGTGATGATAAACTTGGCATTGAATCCAGGACCTCTGCTCCCACATCTTTTTCACTTTCCATGATCTGAAAATTTGCTGTTCTTTAAGCTGTGTTCACCTGGTACACTGTTTGGAAACATGGAGATTATGAGGGACTTTCATGGTGAGAAATTGTAAATATCATTCGCTTGAAGAAGGGTCCCTAGTGATTGTGAGTATGCATCTGCTTTGACCAGTTGTGTGCAGGTTGGAAGCATAGACCATGCCTTTCAAGGGGCAGATCCAAGCCCCAGTGGGCACAGGGGAAGGGAAGGGCTCAGCGGGAAGTCTTGAACGCCAGATGGCAAAAACACCCCCAGGGCTCTGGAAAATTAAGGGTAAAGGGGCATTTCAGGCTCACTGTGAGTGATAAAGAAATGCAGGCAAAGTCACTAATTCGTGCAACCCCAATTAGAACGCCAAGGGCATACTTTCTGGGTATTGGCAAAACGTGGAGCTCACTGTCAGAATAAATGGGAGGGTATAATTAAGGGAATGTTGGAAATAAAGAAAAATTCAGGGCTTCTCTGGAATAACAGCTGAAACCCAGTGAGTGCTCAAATCCAGTAACTCATGTCACCACCGTCTGAGTATCATATAATGCCATCATTTGACTCTGAGCCTCTTTTAGTGTTCAGAATGCAGTGATTTTTTCTGCCTCACAACTGGCCATGGGAATGCTGCAGAACTTTACAGAGACAACTCACTGCTCGGTGTGGGAACTTGATAGGATTATAATTTTCAGATGATGCTCTGTAACTGTAGATTTTTTCGATGTGACTTATTTGTGCTTCCATATTATTACATTCGTAGAGAGTAGCAGAGTGACAGTATTTTGTGGTTGCTAAGAAGTCCATGAAAAGAGTCCAGAAACAGAATTTTATTTTGTCTTTCTTCTAAAATGATTTAGACTTTCTTCCCTCTTCTGCTATGTATCATGGCTAGTATTTCAGTAGGGACAGGATTTTGGTTGACTCCCTTTAACAAGGCCCTATAACAAGAACCTTAGAAAGAATTTTACATGAGTAGTTTCACAACTAGAAAGATTTGGAATGCATGGCTCTGTTCATTCATTGCGATTCACCTTAGGATTGAGGTGAAATTAGCACCTAGATTACAGTGGGATTGGAAGTCAAGAAAGGAAGCTTGTTCAGTGAAAACTACATACTATTGTAGCCATTCCTGGTGCATTTGGCTCCAATTCGAGGCTACGAAGCTGCAGCCTAGAGGTCACTTTGAACTTGCGCATAGCAGTGCTGAATCTGCAACTGCCCCAGTGTGTCCCGCATGCATACACACGGTGCTCCTATGGACCTTACTCAGCAGTGGCTCTTGATCAGCACATTATGGATCCATGCCCCACACACCATGAACACACCCCACAGTGCCATGTTTCCCATCCGGTTGGGCCTGAGGAGGGCTGCAGCCCCTGTTGTAGTTTGGAGAGGATCTTCCTTCTTGATGGCCCGCTAGTCGGTGTTGAAGTCCTCCAAGCTGCAGCTCCTAAGGGACAACAGTGTAGATGAGCCATGTAGACACCTCTGAATGTTGAAACTTGGTGTATTAGTCAGGGTTCTTCAGAGAGACTGAACCAGTAGGGTGGATGGATGGATGGATTGATTGAGGAGAGAGAGGATATTTGTTAGGGCAATTGGGTAATATGATTATGGAGGCTGAGAAATCCCATGACAGGTCGTCTGTAAGCTGGGGACCCTGGAATACTCCAGGAAGCTCAGTCCAAGCCCAAAGGCC
The DNA here is from genome assembly GCF_000001405.40 of Homo sapiens. Lineage (NCBI taxonomy): Eukaryota > Metazoa > Chordata > Mammalia > Primates > Hominidae > Homo > Homo sapiens. The sequence continues at coordinate 75,751,924 of NC_000016.10, read as the reverse complement.
TCAGAACCAGAGAAGCTAATGGTGTAGCTCTCAGTCCAAAGCCAAAGACCTGAGAACCCATGGCGTCACTGGCATAAGTCCTGGAGTTCAAAGGCTGGGGAGCCTGGAGTTCAGATATCTGAGGCAGGAAAGGAAATAAAATAAGTGGAGAGAGAGATCAACTCTTCTTTTCTCTGTTTTTGGTCTACTGGGGTCCCCATCCTATTGGATGGTGCCTGCCTACACTGAGGGCAAGTCTTCCCCCACTTAATTCACTCAGACACATATGCTAATCTCTTCTGGAAACACCCTCACTTTAGGTATTCCTTCATCCAGTCAAGTTGACACCTAAAATTAACCATCACACACTAGGGATGGAGGACATGGCTTTGCGGCCTCACAACCTTTTTTCTAAGGAGGCCTGGTCCCTTATATTGGGAAATGAACTTTAGAAACCAACAAGCGAGTACCAGCTGTGCTCATTACTACTGAGGTGTCATTGTTTCCAGAACTTTTTAATAGACAAAGCTATTAAATAAACACACACACACACACACACACACATATACACACATTATGAATTCGTACTAATAACCCTAATTCCAGTCAATACCCTGGGACTGGTGCTCTCTTCCCTCTTTCATATCTGTATCTTCTTTTTCCAATAAAGGGGCCCTATTTCCCAACAACTGGAATATATTTAATCATGCACTAATTTATATAATACATATAAAAGACATTTCAGTGGCTCACATCTGTAATACCAGCACTTTGGGAGGCCAAGGTGGGCAGATCACAACGTCAGGAGTTTGAGACCAGCCTGGCCAACATTGTGAAACCCCGTCTCTACTAAAAATACAAAAATTAGCCAGGCATGGTGGCGGGCACCTGTAATCCCACCTATTTGGGAGGCTGATGCAGGAGAATCGCTTGAACCCACGAGGTGGAGGTTGCAGTGAGCCGAGATCATGCCATTGTACTCCAGCCTGAGCGACAAAAGTAAGACTTAATCTCAAAAAACAAAAACAAAACAAAAAAAACACTTCAGAATTGCTACATTCATACCCCTTCAAAAAACACATCTATCAAGTGTCCTTAGGAATTCTTGAGGTTTTTTTTTTTTTTCATTCAAGAAACATTAATGATTTACCAAGAACCAGGCGCTGTAAGAGGTGTCTGCTTTATCTCATGACACTCAGGTAAACACTGAAGTCATTATTTTTATTGCACAGATAGGAAAGCAGGCTGGGAGAGGTGAAATTAAGTCCTGTGGCCCTGAGTAGGCAGTAACAGCATTCATAATGTCAGACTCAGATCTCGTAACTGTAAATAGCATCCTCACCACTCTTCCCCGGCTGCCCTCTCTGTTAGCTTCCCAGCAGGGGCTTCAGAAAGCTGAAGGAAAGCAGCCTCAAATTGGACTTCATAAAAGGCTGCATTGTGATGGTTTTCTTAGAAGCCAGGGTTTGGCTTTACAGTGTTAGAAATTCAATATCTGACCATTCCACTTGTCCAGGGTGACCAAATGCTAGAAACAGTCATTCTTCCTCTGTTGTAGCCAGGTGCACGCATATCAAAGATTAGGCACCAGAAAATGAACATTAATTACCAAAGTGTGGCTTGCAGGGCACAAGACCCAAACAAAAAAAAGGTTGGTTGATCTTGAGGAATGTGGGATCTGGACTATTCTGGAGCCTGTTGGTTGATTCCTGTTGCCCAAGAAAAACCCTCTCCAATAACTTTTCAATAACTAGACACTTACTTACAATGGTCAGGTTTCATCTCTGCCTGCCTGAGACAGCTCCAGAGGACACACCACACCAAATTCTGTTCTTTGTCTACTCCTCCTTTTATTACCAGGGCAGCCCTGGAGATATAGCTGAGAAAGCTTATTATTTTCTTAAACAATAGATAGCTAAGAAAGCTCATTATTTTTTCTTAAACATGTTTTTTTTTTCTATTCTCTTTATTTATAGGTGTGTTTGCTTAAAAGAACTCCAGATGCCCCAGGGGGCTGCAGGAGCTTCAGGACCCTTCCCCAGTTACCAAAGGACAATAAATCAGCTCAAGGCTGGGGCAAACTGGAACCAGCAACTGCTTGTTACCTTTAGATCATTAACATGTCCTCATAATACTAAACTCCCCACCCACAGGAGAAAATCACCACCATTTTCTGAATGTACCTGGTATGAAAAGGCATGTTTATGAGATGCACCTTCATGTCTGGGGTTCCTCTCTTCACATGATTACATACCTCCCCACCCCACATCTAACTCCTCACAATTCCCCAGCTTCCCATCTCTAGTGGAGAAGCTGTTTTTATTTTATTGATTGATTGATTGATTGATTGAGACGGAGTCCCACTCTGTCACCCAGACTGGAGTATAGTGGCACACCTCAGCTCACTGCAACCTCCACCTCCCGGGTTCAAGTGACTCTCATGCCTCAGCCTCCCGAGTAGCTGGGATTACAGGCACCCGCCACCACACCTGGTCTGTTTTTTTTTTTTTTTTTTTTTTGGCAGAGAGGGGGTTTCCCCATGTTGGCCAGGCTGGTCTCGAACTCCTGACCTCAGGTGATCCGCTCGCTTCGGCCTCCCAAAGTGCTTGGATTACAAGTGTGAGCCACTGCACCCAGCCGGAGAAGCTGTCTTTAGAGCAAAAGCTCTCTCCTTCTCCATTCTCCAATAGGAATAAAATCTACTTGCCTTTACCCAACCTCTCCCGCAATTGAATGTTCTTTCTTTGCAACAGATACTGAGTAGGGAAAGAACTCAGTTTATCAATGACATTTTCCCTTCCTCTTTCTCCTTTTTGGCCATCCTTCCTCCTTCCCTTTCCTTTTTTTCCTCTTCCTCATTCTTTTTAGATTCCATGGTGGCTATGTCACTTCTGTTTGTATTTGTCCCTTCCAGATTTTTTAAAACAGATTTTTTCCTAATCTTAAATTCTGGAGAGGCTCATTAATACACACTGACTTGTGACACCTGAGAAACATTCTAATTTATGTTAGCGATGAGCAGGGATTTCAAGGGAAGAGAGTGTAACTGCCCAATGGGTTCACCTTGCCTGCTGCCTAGATAGAGCTAATTTATGAAGATGGGGGAATTGCAACAGAGAAAGAGTAATTCACGCACAGCCGGCTGTGTGGGAGACCATAGTTTTATTATTACTCAAATCTGTCTCCCTGAGCTTTGGAGATCAAAATTTTTAAGGATAATTTGGTAGAGGGGCAGGGCACCAGTGAGCTAGGAGTGCTGATTGGTCAGGTCAGAGATGGAATCATAGGCAGTCAAAGCTGTCTTACACTGAGTCAGTTCCCGGGTGGTGGCCACAAAATCAGATGAGCCTGTTTATCGATCTGGGTGATGCCACCTGATGCATCAAGTACAGGGTCTGCAAAATATCTCAAGCGCTTTTCTTGACTGTACAATACTGATGTTATTCCCAAAAGCAACTTGGGAAGGGTCAGAATCTTATAGCCTCCAGCTGCATGACTCCTAAACCATAATTTCTAATATTGTGGCTAATTCGTTAGTCCTACGAAGGCAATCTAGTCCTCAGGCAAGACAGAGGTTTGTTTTGAGAAAGAGCTGTTATCTTCTTTGTTTTAAACTGAGTTTCTCCCAGTGTTAGTTTGGCCTATGCCCAGGAATGAACAAGCACAGCGTGGAGGTTACAAGCAAGATGGAGTTGGTTAGGTCACATCTCTTTTGCTGTCTTAGTTATAATTTTGCAATGGCTGTGTCAAGAGTAGTGTCTCTTGATTGGGTGTCCTCTACTTTTTCTGATCCATATTTCTTATCTTCAGTTAAATGATATCTTTCATTATTCTTGAAGGATATATAATAATTTCTCAGGGAATTCTGGTAGGAGGGGTGAAATTGGTCACTTGTAATTAGAAGTAGTAGTGGGAGAAAGAAGATTGACAGTGGAAGAGGCATGGTACAAATATCTCCTAAATTAGCTCTTGTGAATGGAGAAGGGAATATTTATAATTTCTAGTAAGAGTGTAGCTGAACCCAGATTTGGCCACCCACTGCTGGAAAATTCAGATAACAAGCACCAGGATGGTAAAAAGAATGTGACTTTTATTTCAAAACCTAGCTGAACGGAAGCAGTACAGACTCCTGCCTTAAAGGAACTGCTTCAGCTTTCTGGACAGAAAGCAGGGGCTTTAAAGGGGGATTTGGTGTGAATGGCATGCAGGGTAGGGGACAAGGAGATGCGGGGTCTACATGACTTGCTTTAATGTCTTATCTATCAGATGGTCTGGCTGATGCCATCGTGGGCAGAGCTAGGTTGTAAATTGACCATTGTCTCGAGTCAATCTGCTGGGGGCAGGGGAGAGTCACAGAGAGTGTCTGGTTTGGTTCAACATTTGGTCCTCAGAATTTCTAAGCAAACATATAATTAGATAAACATGCCATGCAGGGAGTGCCTGGTAGAGAGAAGGTAAAGGTTATAATTGCATCCCTAAAGAACTAACAGGTGAACACACAGGGAAAAAGAGAAAACATAAAAATAATTTTTGGGAAAATGGAGGCTGGTCACAGTGGCTCACGCCTGTAATCCCAGGACTTTGGGAGGCTGAGGTGAGGAAATCACCTGAGGTCAGGAGTTCGAAACCAGCCTGGCTAACATGACAAAACCCTGTCTCTACTAAAATACAAAAATTAGCTGGGCATGGTGGCGGGTGCCTGTAATCCCAGCTACTTGAGAGGCTGAGGCAGGAGAATCCCTTGAACCTGGGAGGCAGAGGTTGCAGTGAGCCGAGATCATAGCATTCCACTCCAGCCTGGGTAACAGAGTGAGACTCTGTCTTAAAAAAAAAAAGAAAAGAAAGAAAAGAAAAAAAAGACAGAAAAAGAAAAAGAAAAATTGGGTACTCGGTTACAACTCCTTACTGTCAAATTCCATTCAATTGCTATGGGATTTGGGTGTCATATTCATTTTGACTACTTTCTGCTGAAAGGGGGTATAGCTATAGGGCATCGAAATGGAATCTGCTTGCCTGGAGTTGGAAATATTCTCAAGCTTACAGCAGAATCTTGCTGAAGCATTATGGTGAGGGGACCCAAGGGTTTCTGTGGACATTTGTCTTGCATCCCCATACAGAGTGTATAACAGCAATAAAAGCCACAGAAGCTGGACAGGTCACTGTGCAGAATATAAATTATATAATAGATATAAGTCTTCCTTGCACTAGGAAGCCGACTACATAATAGGGTCCTGATAGGGGGCATCTGTAACAGAAATATAGAAATCTATTGCATGCATAGCTTGAGTTATAATGTGAGAATAATATGGTATTATATATAATACTCAGCCTTAATTAATGCACAAGTACTGCCCTGGGCGGCAGTCAGGCTATCTAAAGCCCTATGACTTAACAACATTATGGGATTAGACATGGCATTAGTTTGCTTGTGCATGTCTTGTAGGACTGAGGATATGTTTCTGGAGTCATCTGGGAAGTACACACAGCATTTAGTCTTAATTATAGTGCACGGTCCCAACTGTAAATTGTACCCTGAGTTCCTGGGGGGATATGACAACAGGTTGATTAAATATACATATTTAACAAGTTATAGGAGAAGTTATAAATATTCATGAAGGTGGTCCTGACACATGTGTATTGAACAAATATAACATATGACTCATGTTTATTTTGGGATTGAGACTTACTATTTAAACGTATTTCTATTAGGCCTTTTATGTCAAAAAGGCTTTTCAGGACATAAAGGCATGCAGGTGTGACTTTTCTGTAAACTAGACAGAACTGGTCCATGGTCAGTGGTCTTTTATCAGGAGAAAGTTACTGACATTAGTTCCTTGTCTAACTAAAGCCGTACTTATGGCTGGAGGAACAGGGGCTGAGAATTAGTCATCTTATTTTAAGGCCAGTACTTATTTGACTGCTAGAGAAGAGAAAGTTTGTGGCAACTGTAAACATAGTTTACTTTTTTAAGGGTAGGAGTGTGTGACTTCCCCTTGCCTAGCATGGTCTTAGGTCTTGTTTATAATGTGGTATTTTATTGTTCTAAAGAGTCTGTTTTGCAGCCTTGTAGTTTTTATTTCAATATTAATGCTAATCAGCTGTGCCTGAATTCAAAAAAGTGAGGGAAGGTTTAGCAAGGAGTGTCTGACCATCCCCCACACCACCATCACTTCTCATCATGGCCTGAACTAGTTTTTCAAGTTTTTTAGGTGGGGAGGTTCCCCTTTGGCCAAGAAGGAGTTAAGGCAAACTAAAAATGGCCTGAGAAGAACTCCATACTTCTATATTTGAGTCCTTGTGAAGGAACTGTAACCTAACTTAATAGTTAGACAAGATTGAAAACCTAACTTAGGAGTATGCATCTGTAACAGTAGATGAGTCTTGGCCAATCCCAGCAGCCATACTTCAACCACTCATACGCTGCTGAGTGTTCAAACTGTGTTCAAATAATTCAAATGCCAACCTGTAACCAATCCAGCTGTTTCTGTATCTCACTTCCAATTTCTGTGTGTCACTTCCCTTTTTTTGTCTGTAAATTTCTTCTGACCATAAGGCATCCCTGGAGTCTCTCAGAATTTGCTATAATTGTAGGGCTGCCTGATTCACAAATCATTCATTGCTCAATTAAACTCCATTAAATTTAAATCACCTGAAGTTTTTCTTTTAACAAGGGAAAGCCCATTCAGTCAGGGGGGTTTCAGATTTTTGTTTTGTTTTGTTTTGTTTCGAGAGAGGGTACCACTCTGTCATCCAAGCTGGAGTGTAGTGACATGATCATGGCTCACTGCAGTCTTGACCTCCTCAGCTCAAGCAATCCTCACATCTCGGTCTCCTGAGTAGCTGGGACCACAGGTGCATACCACTATGGCCAGCTCTTTTTTTTGGGGGGTTGGGGGGGCAGAGACAGAATCTCACTATGTTGCCCAGGCCGGTCTTGAACTCCTGGTTCAAGTGATCCTCCTGCCTCAGCCTCCCAAAGTGCTGTGATTACAAGCATGAGCCACCAAACCCAGCCCAGCCTGAATTTTTTTTTCAGTTTCTATTCCCCTCTTTTGTCAAGATATGCCAGAGGCAGTACCAATGGCCAAGCTTTTATTTTGTCTTCTATTGATGCTGCAGTGGTGTGCTACCTTCCCTGTGTAGCATATCATGTCCCTCAGCAGGACCCCTGTGGCCAAGAGACTTAAGAGTCAAAAGACTTATCACCAATTAAATGTTCTAGGCCAGTTGGAAATGGAGGTGGGAAGGCACTCATTACCCTTAAAACCCCTTTTATGCAATGTAAGAGCCAAAAACTAAAAGCAAAAAGGCCAGGTTATAAAATTGGCGTATCTATAAATTTTATGCATTGAACTATTGTAATCTTGGCTTGTAACAAGTAGCTGTACAAAACATAAGCATTTTCGTTTAGCTATTCAGGTACCTGTGTGCCCATTCTTGATTTGGAGGGTCTGAATTAATTTTTTCCCTCAAGATCAGCCCTTAAAATCTCACACATCCACCTTTTCCACAATCCTCCCTGGGCTTGGAAGGATTGAATAGTTTCACATTTTGGAGGTAAGATAAAACCTTTTAAAAATTACCAACATTTTAAACAAAAAGGTCATAAACCTTGCCTAGTTCCAAGAATGACAGGAAAGGAAGCCCACAGGTAGCTAAATATTTAAATTATATTATTTCACATACAGGCAAAATTATTAAGCAAATCTTAATTTTTTGGATACAGACCCTTCCCTATGTCTCATGAAAGCAGTTTACTTTGTCACCTTTGCCCAGGTTTAAAGATGAGGCTTCAGTTGACTTGAGTTTGGTGTCAGATACTGGCAGGAGTTGGTGCCTTCTTTAGAAATGATACGTGTATCCAGAAGTCAAAGCTCTTTAAATTAACAGCACAAGGATTAGCTGATAGCACCTTGATGAGGACTTTTTCAAGGGGTTGGAGGTGGTGATACTGGAGTTCATGACCTGACTGGAAGCTGTAAAAATATTTTATAACCTTGCAGTGATTCATTGGTAAAACTTTGCTAAACCCCAGCAATAAGTCAGTAATTTAATTTAGGATTCAATTTTGAAGACGTCTATCAAAGACGTTAAAAAGATTAAAACATATGCTCAAAACAGAACCACAGGTTCTTGTAAAACAATAGTTATTCATTTATCCAAAGTGATAATTAAAAGACTTTAAAGGCAATACAGAAGGTTACATGGGTATAAAAACTAATTCTTTCAAATCTCAGGGGATTTTTAAGCAATTAAAAACTTAAAGACAACATATGAGGCCAGGTGTAGTGGCTCATGCCTGTAATCCCGGCACTTTGGGAGGCCAAGGTGGGTGGATTATGAGATCAGAAGATCAAGACCATCCTGGCTAACATGGTGAAACCCCATCTTTACTAAAACTACAAAAAATTAGCCAGGCGTGGTGGCACACACCTGTAGTCCCAGCTACTCAGGAGGCTGAGGAGAATCGCTTGAACTCGGGAGACGGAGGTTGCAGTGAGCCGAGATCACACCACTGCACTCCAGCCTGGGTGACAGAGTGAGACTCTGTCTCAAAAAAAAAAAAAAAAAAAAAAAGACACCATGTGAACTATCTTGATAAAATGTAAAATCTTATCTTTAACCCAGTTACCAAAAAGGCAAAGAAAAAAACCTTCTTCAGTGTGACTGCTTCTCCTCATGGGAAGCCAGTTTAGATAATCTGGAAGACAAACTTGATTTAAAAACTACTTGGAGTTAATTGGACACAGAAAGAATGTGTTCAAGTTTATGAATATAGCAGGGAAATACATGACTCTTAGTAATTGCATGAGAAGTTTCCTGATTATATTGAAAATTGAGACACATCAAGAAAAGCCAAGCGTATAGAATCAAGTTATGCTAGAGGAAAACATTGATTTTATGGACCTCTAAGATAAAAATATTTCAGCATCAGGCCACAACAACAGTTGGAACCAGAGGAGAAAATTTACAGGAGCTGATGAAAAAGTTGAAGGAGGAAGTTATCATCTCAGACCATTTTAAGGGGCAAAAAAAGCTGAAAGCAGTGAAACAACAGGTGAACTTTTAAGATACTAATCTGAGAAGTTTTTTTAAAAAAAAATAGGTTGTAGAATTGAAACACAAAATTTCTTGTAATCTTATAAAGGGCAAATCAATATCTTAAGAAAATGTTGCTTTAACGTAGGGGAATGTTCTTTAGAAAGGGTATTATAAATAATTCCCTGTTAATTAGAGCTAAATTAATCACATACAAAATTCCTTTTTTAAACTCCCCTTCATGAACTTTATCACAACTTACAAAGACCATCTGTGACATGCTTGGACTTTCTGACTTGCCCTATGCTACCTCTTTCTTAAATAACCAGCCATTTTACTTTAGGACAAGAATTTACCATACAAGATTGTTTCTCAGATAAAAGTACTCATTTTCTTTACAATCTTCCTTACCAAAAAGACATCTTCATATCCCTATCTTTCTTCACATCTCTCTCCCCTACTTACTGGTAACTATCTACCTTGTTTCATAAATAACATTTTCAAATCCATAATTCAAATCAACTCTTAGATAAGTTTTGAATTAGACAAAATTATTCTTTTTCTCAATAAGAACACATCTTCTTTGACATATTTTACATAAATCTGGGAAGCAAGAAACCCTGAACTCCCTAATGAATATTAACATTTTATAAATGACAACTATTTCACATATAATAACTGTTTCTTAATTGGAAATGACCCAGATATCCGATAAGCATCCTAAATGCTTTTAAGATTTTAAACTATATAAAAAGTTCATTTACAAGCATTTATCTAATTTACATGTACTCAATTCTTCCATTTTTAATAGCGTATCTAGACTACTTCTGAAAACTGAACTGTTACACAAAGGTAATTATATTCATTTGTTCTCTTATTGTTGTAAAGAAATACCTGAGACTGGGTGATTTCTAAAGAAAAGAGATTTAATTGGCTCATGGTTCTGCAGGCTGTACAGGAAGCATGATGCTGGCATCCGCTTGGCTTCTAGGGAGGACTCAGGAAACTTATAATCATGGCAGAAGGCAAAGGGGGAGCAGGCACATTACATGGCCAGAGCACAGGAAAGAGAGAGAGCGAGGAGAAGCCACACACTTTTAAATGCCCAGATCTCATGAGAACTAACTGTCATAAGGACAGAACCAAGCAGTTGGTGCTAAACCATTTGTGAGAAACCTACCCCCACGATCAAATCACCTCTTACCCAGCTCTACCTCCAATACTGGGCATTACATTTCAACATGAGATTTGGGTGGGGACACATATCCAAACTATATCAGTAGTCATTATTTAAATTTGCTCCTCTGTTCACCATTTTTAAAGCCTGTGAACATAAGATGTTTATCTAAGGACAACAAGTTAAACATCCAGGCATTTTGTCAATAACTAAGAAGATTTAACTGTTTTCATTGAACAAATAATACCAAATTAGTCTTATTCATCAAAAAAAATCACATAAAGATTATTCTGGTTTTGGCTGGGTTTATAGTCTTATAACATTTATATATCAAACCCTGACATCTTAATATATGACAATACAAAACAATTTGGTCAATAAACTCAGACAAAAATATGTGTTGACAATTATGAAGACATATCTATTTTTATCTCACCAATATTCTTAAAACTAAGTTTTATTTATCAAGGATTACTAAATTCACATGAACTTGAAAAGCATTTGGACTTAATTTATGAGTACTTACTTACTTATAAGCCAACTTAGTAGCATGCTGAACACGAAATACAATATATGTACATACACATAAATGTATCTAAACACATATATACACACACAAAGGTCCAATAGCTTTTACTTTGGAATTCTAGCTAAAAATACAAACTCACCATTTTATAAAAGATAGCTAGATCCACATTATTCTTTGATGAAATTGAAACTTGTTTAAATGGCTGAACTTTGTTTGCCACAATATATAATCCAATGAAAACTGTGAACCAGGGGGTGGAGCCAAGATGGCCAAATAGGATCAGCTCCAGTCTACAGCTCCCAGCATGAGCGAGGCAGAAGATGAATGATTTCTGCATTTCCAACTGAGGCACCGGGTGCATCTCACTGGGGATTGTTGGACAGTGGGTGCAGGCGAGTAAGTGCAGTGCACCGAGCCTGAGCCAAAGCAGGGCGAGGCATTGCCTCACCCAGGAAGCACAAGGGGTCGGGGAATTCTCTTTCCTAGGGGTGACGGATGGCACCTGGAAAATCGGGTCACTCCTACCCTAATACTGCGCTTTTCCAATGGTCTTAGCAAATGGCATGCCAGGAGATTATATCCCACGCATGGCCAATGGAGCCTCGCTCATTGCTAGCACAGCAGTCTGAGATCAAACTGCAAGGTGGCAGCAAGGGTGGGGGAGGGGCACACGCCATTGCTGAGGTTTCAGTAGGTAGACAAAACATCTGGGAAGCTCCAACTAGGTGGAGCCCACTGCAGCTCAAGGAGGCCTGCCTGTCTCTGTAGACTCCACCTCTGGGGGCAGGGCATAGCCAAACAAAAGGCAGCAGAAACCTCTGCAGACTTAAATGTCCCTGTCTGAAAGCTTTGAAGATAGTAGTGGTTCTCCCAGCATGCAGCTGGAGATCTGAGAATGGACAGATTGCCTCCTCAAGTGGGTCCCTGACCCCTGAGTAGCCTAACTGGGAGATACCCCCCAGTAGGGGCAGACTGACACCTCACACGGCCAGGTATGCCTCCGAGACAAAACTTCCAGAGGAACGATCAGGCAACAACATTTGCTGCTCACCAATATCCACTGTTCTGCAGCGTCCACTGCTGATACCCAGGCAAACAGGGACTGCAGTGGACCTCTGGCAAACTCCAACAGACCTGTAGCTGAGGGTCCTGACTGGTAGAAGGAAAACTAAGAAACAGAAAGGACATCCACACCAAAACCCCACCTGTACGTCACCATCATCAAAGACGAAGGTAGACAAAACCACAAAGATGGGGAAAAAACAGCAGAAAAACCGGAAACTCAAAAAATCAGAGCCCCTCTCCTCCTCCAAAGGAACGCAGCTCCTCACCAGCAATGGAACAAAGCTGGATGGAGAATGACTTTGACGAGTTGAGAGAAGAAGGCTTCAGACAATCAAACTACTCCAAGCTAAAGGAGGAAGTTCGAACCCATGGCAAAGAAGTTAAAAACCTTGAAAAAAAAGATTAGATGAATGGCTAACTAGAATAACCAATGCAGAGGAGTCCTTAAAGGACCTGATGGAGCTGAAAACCATGGCAGGAGAACTACGTGATGAATGCACAAGCCTCAGTAGCCGATTCAATCAACTGGAAGAAAGGGCATCAGTGATGGAAGATCAAATGAATGAAATAAAGCGAGAAGAGAAGTTTAGAGAAAAAAGAATAAAAAGAAATGAACAAAGCATCCAAGAAATATGGGACTATGTGAAAAGACCAAATCTACGTCTGATTGGTGTACCTGAAGGTCACAGGGAGAATGGAACCAAGTTGGAAAACACTCTGCAGGATATTATCCAGGAGAACTTCCCCAATCTAGCAAGGCAGGCCAACATTCACATTCAGGAAATACAGAGAACACCACAAAGATACTCCTCGAGAAGAGCTACTCCAAGACACATAATTGTCAGATTCACCAAAGTTGAAATGAAGGAAAAAATGTGAAGGGCAGCCAGAAAGAAAGGTCGGGTTACCCACAAAGGGAAGCCCATCAGACTAACAGCGGATCTCTCGGCAGAAACTCTACAAGCCAGAAGAGAGTGGGGGCCAATATTCAATACTCTTAAAGAAAAGAATTTTCAACCAGAATTTCATATCCAGCCAAACTAAGCTTCATAAGTGAAGGAGAAATAAAATCCTCTACAGACAAGCAAATGCTGAGAGATTTTGTCACCACCAGGCCTGCCCTAAAAGAGCTCCTGAAGGAAGCACTTAACATGGAAAGGAAAAACTGGTACCAGCCACTGCAAAAACATGCTCAATTGTTAAGACCATCGAGGCTAGGAAGAAACTGCATCAACTAACGAGCAAAATAACCAGCTAATATCATAATGACAGGATCAAATTCACACATAACAATATTAACCTTAAATGTAAATGGGCTAAATGCTCCAATTAAAAGACACACACTGGCAAATTGGATAAAGAGTCAAGACCCGTCAGTGTGCTGTATTCAGGAAACACATCTCACATGCAGAGACACACATAGGCTCAAAATAAAGCGATGGAGGAAGATCTACCAAGCAAATGGAAAACAAAAAAAGGCAGGGGTTGCAATCCTAGTCTCTGATAAAACAGACTTTAAACCAACAAAGATCAAAAGAGACAAAGAAGGCCATTACATAATGGTAAAGGGATCAACTCAACAAGAAGAGCTAACTATCCTAAATATATATGCACCCAATACAGGAGCACGCAGATTCATAAAGCAAGTACTTAGTGACCTACAAAGAGACTTAGACTCCCACACAATAATAATGGGAGATTTTAACACCCCACTGTCAACATTAGACAGATGAATGAGACAGAAAGTTAACAAGGATATCCAAGAATTGAACTCAGCTCTGCACCAGATGGACCTAATAGACATCTATAGAACTCTCCACCCCAAATCAACAGAATATACATTCTTTTCAGCACCACACCTATTCCAAAATTGACCACATAATTGGAAGTAAAGCACTCCTCAGCAAATGTAAAAGAACAGAAATTATAACAAACTGTCTCTCAGACCACAGTGCAATCAAACTAGAACTCAGGATTAAGAAACTCACTCAAAACCACTCAACTACATGGAAACTGAACAACCTGCTGCTGAATGACTATTGGGTACGTAACAAAATAAAGGCAGAAATAAAGATGTTCTTTGAAACCAACGAGAACAAAGACACAACATACCAGAATCTCTGGGACACATTCAAAGCAGTGTGTAGAAGGAAATTTATAGCACTGAAAGCCCACAAGAGAAAGCAGGAGAGATCTAAATTGACACCCTAACATCACAATGAAAAGAACTAGAGAAGCAAGAGCAAACACATTCAAAAGCTAGCAGAAGGCAAGAAATAACTAAGATCAGAGCAGAACTGAAGGAAATAGAGACACAAAAAAACCTTCAAAAAATCAATGAATCCAGGACCTGGTTTTTTGAAAAGATCAACAAAATTGATAGACTGCTAGCAAGACTAATAAAGAAGAAAAGAGAGAAGAATCAAATAGACGCAATAAAAAATGATAAAGGGGATATCACCACTGATCCCACAGAAATACAAACTACCATCAGAGAATACTATAAACACCTCTACACAAGTAAACTAGAAAATCTGAAAGAAATGGATAAATTCCTGGACACATACACCCTCCCAAGACTAAACCAGGAAGAAGTTGAATCTCTGAATAGACCAATAACAGGCTCTGAAATTGAGGCAATAATTAATAGCTTACCAACCAAAAAGAGTCCAGGACCAGATGGATTCACAGCCGAATTCTACCAGAGGTACAAGGAGGAGCTGGTACCATTCTTTCTGAAACTATTCCAATCAATAGAAAAAGAGGGAATCCTCCCTAACTCATTTTATGAGGCCAGCATCATCCTGATACCAAAGCCTGGCAGAGACACAACAAACAAAAGAGAATTTTAGACCAATATCCCTAATGAACATTGATGCAAAAATCCTCAATAAAATACTGGCAAACCAAATCCAGCAGCACATCAAAAAGCTCATCCACCATGATCAAGTGGACTTCATGCCTGGGATGCAAGGCTGCTTCAACATATGCAAATCAATAAACGTAATCCAGCATACAAACAGAATCAATGACAAAAACCATATGATCTCAATAGATGCAGAAAAGGTCTTTGACAAAATTCAACAGTCCTTCATGCTAAAAACTCTCAATAAATTAGGTATTGATGGTACGTATCTCAAAATAATAAGAGCTATTTATGACAAACCCACAGCCAATATCATACTGAATGGACAAAAGCTGGAAGCATTCCCTTTGAAAACTGGCAAAAGACAGGGATGCCCTCTCTCACCACTCCTATTCAACATAGTGTTGGAAGTTCTGGCCAGGGCAATCAGGCAGGAGAAAGAAATAAAGGGTATTCAATTAGGAAAAGAGGAAGTCAAGTTGTCCCTGTTTGCAGATGACATGATTGTGTATCTAGAAAACCCCATCGTCTCAGCCCAAAATCTCCTTAAGCTGATAAGCAACTTCAGCAAAGTCTCAGGATACAAAATCAATGTGCAAAAATCACAAGCATTCTTATACACCAATAACAGACAAACAGAGAGCCAAATCATGAGTAAACTCCCATTCACAATTGCTTCAAAGAGAATAAAATACCTAGGAATCCAACTTACAAGGGATGTGAAGGACCTCTTCAAGGAGAACTACAAACCACTGCTCAATGAAATAAAAGAGGATACAAACAAATGGAAGAACATTCCATGCTCATGGATAGGAAGAATCAATATGGTGAAAATGGCCATACTACCCAAGGTAATTTATAGATTCAATGCCATCCCCATCAAGCTACCAATGAATTTCTTCACAGAATTGGAAAAAACTACTTTAAAGTTCATATGGAACCAAAAAAGAGCCCATATTGTCAAGTCAATCCTAAGCCAAAAGAACAAAGCTGGAGGCATCACGCTACCTGACTTCAAACTATACGACAAGGCTACAGTAACCAAAACAGCATGGTACCAGTACCAAAACAGAGATATAGACCAATGGAACAGAACAGAGCCCTCAGAAATAATGCCGCATATCTACAACTATCTGATCTTTGACAAACCTGACAAAAAACAAGAAATGGGGAAAGGATTCCCTATTTAATAAATGGTGCTGGGAAAACTGGCTAGCCATACGTAGAAAGCTGAAACCGGATCCCTTCCTTACACCTTATACTAAAATTAATTCAAGATGGATTAAAGATTTAAATGTTAGACCTAAAACCATGAAAACCCTAGAAGAAAACGTAGGCAATACCATTTGGGACATAGGCATGGGCAAGGACTTCATGTCTAAAATACCAAAAGCCATGGCAACAAAAGCCAAAATTGACAAATGGGATCTAATTAAACTAAAGAGCTTCTGCACAGCAAAAGAAACTACCATCAGAGTGAACAGGCAACCTACAGAATGGGAGAAAATTTTTGCAACCTACTCATCTGACAAAGGGCTGATATCCAGAATCTACAATGAACTCAAACAGATTTACAAGAAAAAAACAAACAACCCCATCAACAAGTGGGTGAAGGATATGAACAGACACTTCCCAAAAGAAGACATTTATGCAGCCAAAAGACACATGAAAAAATGATCATCATCACTGACCATCAGAGAAATGCAAATCAAAACCACAATGAGATACCATCTCACACCAGTTAGAATGGCGATCATTCCAAAGTCAGGAAACAACAGGTGCTGGAGAGGATGTGGAGAAATAGGAACACTTTTACACTGTTGGTGGGACTATAAACTAGTTCAACCATTGTGGAAGTCAGTGTGGCGATTCCTCAGGGATCTAGAACCAGAAATGCCATTTGACCCAGCCATCCCATTACTGGGTATATGCCCAAAGGATTATAAATCATGCTGCTATAAAGACACACGCACACGTATGTTTATTGCGGCACTATTCACAATAGCAAAGACTTCGAACCAAGCCAGATGTCCAACAATGATAGACTGGATTAAGAAAATGTGGCACATATACACCATGGAATACTGTGCAGCCATAAAAAATGATGAGTTCATGTCCTTTGTAGGGACATGGATGAAGCTGGAAACCATCATTCTCAGCAAACTATCGCAAGGACAAAAAACCAAACATCGCATGTTCTCACTCATAGGTGGGAATTAAACAATGAGAACACATGGACACAGGAAAGGGAACATCACACACTGGGACCTGTTTTGGGGTAGGGGGAGGGGGGAGGGATAGCATTAGGAGATATACCTAATGTTAAATGACGAGTTAATGGGTGCAGCACACCAACTTGGCACATGCATATATATGTAACAAACCTGCACGTTGTGCACATGTACCCTGAAACTTAAAGTATAATTAAAAAAAAAAAAAAAGAAAAAAGAAAACTGTGAACCAAAATTTGGGTAAGGCCAAGGCAGGAGGATTACTTGAGATAGGAGTTCAAGACTGGCCTGAGCAACGTAGCAAGAACCCCATCTCTACGAACAATTTTTTAAAACTATCTGAGCATGGTGGCACACATCTGTAGTCCTAGCTACTTGGAAGGTTGAGGCAGAAGGACTGCTTGAGCCCAGGAGATGGAGGCTGGAGTGAGCTATGGCCATGCCACTGCACTCTAGCCCGGGCAATGAAGTGATACCCTGTCTCAAAAAATAAATAAATAAATAAAACAAAATTTGAGTAAAGCAGTCTCTATGGCAGTTTGTTTTTTTTAAAGTCTCTTTTATTCTTTTATTTTTCTTTCCGTTTCAAACAAATTTCCAATGTTTACATTCCATTTAGAGCACAAATAATGAGTCTTATCTCAGCACCAGCAACTCAGTAACAGCAGATTCAAAGCAGACAGTAAAGAAAAGAGAGGAAGATAGAGAGCTTTAGAAGACTCTGTTTAACTCTGCAGTTAGTTACGGGCTAACCATTTGAGCTCTGAATTTTTCTTGCTATAATTTGCCCATCCGTTTAAAACATGCATTAAAAATGGGTCATAATATGTAACTAGCTGGAATCCCAAAGAGGATGAGAGTATGAAGTTCCTGGCAGGCCTCAGCAAAGGAGCCAGGCTTTAAAGGAAGGGAAAAGAAGAGAAAGAAAGAAAAGGAGATTTATGAGCCTTAAAGCCACTAAGTGGTGTGTGGGCGGTACCTTCACCACTCCCATTTATCTCCCATCAGGAAGAGCCACAGTATCCTAGACCTGCACGGTGTGGGATGAATCCCTCCCACCTCCGTAAATCACTGGTCAAGGTAAACAGAGCTAAGGGTGCCTTTGGCCAAGAAGATTAAGGCTGTAGGTGGCTCTCTGAGATAATCAGGAAGATAAAGTGAAAAGGAAAGGAAGCAATTAGGGCCTATACACAAAGGTCATACAAATGGAGTATACACAAAGGCATGAACAAATGGAGTGCTTCCAAACAGATCCCCAGTTAAGAGGCTGGGTTTAGTCCTAAATCTCCTGCCTCAGTTCCAAATAGCTCTTCCAGATGACCGAGTCCAAACCAAGCCATGCCTCAAGGGTGATTCACATACAAACACAAATGCAGAAAAAGCTCAAATGTTGTTTCTGGCAGCCAAATCTAAATAGAACAGAGCCACAGCAACACTCCAAAAGAGGCAGGGGGTGGTCAGGTACACTCCAACTTGCTCACCCAGTTCCAAAGTTTGCCTTCTTCAGAGTTCATTTTCTTTGTACCAACGAAGCTTTGAAAGCCGCAGGCATCATGCCAGGAAGTGAAAGACAGTTTCCCAAAAACAAAAGCATCTTGGCAGCTTCAGAGAAATTCCTAATGTTCCAGCCATGGGGTCAGCTAGCCATAAGCAGCTGGTGTTCACAGGCAGCCATATGCCCTCTCCAGTAGAAACCAGACCAGCAAGCTCAGGCCCCTGGAACACACAACAGTCCCTGTATGGGCCACCAAAATTGTAACTGAATGCAGGTTCAGCTTCTTGTAAATTTAGATAACAAGCATGAGGTGGTAAAAGAAAGTGACTTCTATTCCAGAGCTTAGCTGAGGGGAAACAGTACAGGCTCCTCCCTTAAGGAAACCACTTCATCTTTTGGGGCAAAAAGCAGGGGCTTTAAAGGGGGGCATGTCATGAATGGCATGCAGGGGAGGGGCACGAGGAGGTGCAGGGTCTATGTGACTGGCTTCTATTCTTAGCTAGGGGATGGTCTGCCTGGCACCATCTGGCCAGAACTAGGTTGTAAACTGACCATTGTCTCTATGCATTCTCCTGGTCGGGAGGAGTTCCAGAGGGTGCCTGGTTTGGTTCAACATTTGGTCATTAGAATTTCTAAGCAAACATTTAGTAAGATAAACTTGCCATGCAGGAAGTGCCTGGTGGAGAGAAGGTAAAGGTTATCATTGCATCCCTAAGGAGCTTAAGTAAGAGGTGAACACACAAGAAAAAAAGAAATGGTAAAGGTATTTTTTTAAGAAAGTAGGGTACTTGGTTACAAGAGTAAAACATATATATGAGTAAATAGTTGAACTCAATGAAAATATCTTCCTACATCTAAAAATCTTATATCCATGGAGGCCCTTTAAGAACAAAGATTCCACGTTGTCATGGTATCTTGTATTTATTGGAATCCTGTGTTGCCTTGGTTTTGTATTCTTTGAATTCTACCTCCAAAGTGATGGTCTCTGGTCACTATAAGTTTTTTATTTCTTTAACTACTGCATTTTTTTTCATAGAAATTTCTCTAAAATGGGAACTTCTTGCTCGAAGTTACAGCCAGGTATTTCCTGAGTAATTTTCTTGATCCTAGTCTTTTAACTGTCAAGCCATTGTAATCCTGGTTTTGTTTGCAGGGTTACTTTTGTAATTGTTAACTCATTTGCTACTTTACATCGCAATTGCATTTGGGTTTCTGATTAAAAAGTATATATTGTCACATAAATATTTCATTTATTAGAAGACAAAACTGCCCTGACAGCCAATAAATAGTAATCACTTTAATGGTACTTTTAAGATAAAATGAGAAATGTTCAACTATATCTTCTTAGGTCTCATTAACGATATTTTAAAAATAAAATAATAATAATAATAATAATAACAACCATCCAACTATGAATTGCATTAATTTCTTTTTTTTTTTTTTTTTTTTTTTTTTTTTGAGACAGAGTCTTGCTCTGTCGCCCAGGCTGGAATACAATGGCATGGTCTCGACTCACTGCAACCTCTGCCTCCCAGGTTCAAGTGATTCTCCTGCCTCAGCCTCCCAAGTAGCTGGGATTACAGGCACCCACCACTACACTAGGCTAATTTTTTGTGTTTTTAGTAGAGACAGGGTTTCACCATGTTGGCCAGGCTGGTCTCGAACTCCTGACGTCAGGTGATCCACCCGCCTCAGCCTCCCAAAGTGCTGGGATTACAGGCGTGAGCCACCATGCCTGGCCTAAAAAATTTTTATGATAGACAGAAAAATAAATTCTTGGTAAGTCAGTGAAGTTTGTAAATGGGGACTTTGACTTTTGACAAATTTATTTTGAACAAATAGATTTAAGACAATATATTGATTCAGCAATTATGATAGAAGTGGTTTTCTAGTGCAGATGACTAGGCTGATACAATACACTTCTCTGTAAGATTCAGTTATTTTATTTATTTTTTATTTTTTATTTTTATTTTTTGAGATGAAGTCTTGCTCTTGTACTCCAGGCTGGAGTTCAATGGCGTGATCTCGGCTCACTGCAACCTCCGGCTCCCGGGTTCAAGCGATTCTCCTGCCTCAGCCTCCTGAGTAGCAGGGATTATTACAGGTGCCTGCCACCACGCCCGGCAGGCAACTGTATTTTTAGTAGAGAGGGGGTTTCATCATGTTGGCCAGGATGGTGTTGAATTCCTGACCTCAGGTTATCCTCCCATCTCGGCCTTCCAAAGTGATGGGATTACAGGCGTGAGCTACCACGCCCGGCCATGATTCAATTATAAGGACCATGACATTTTATCTTATTATCACAATCATCATCTGCAAAATCAAAACCAAATTCATATAGATCTACTTCAATCTGAGAAAGCTGATTGAAAAATTAAATACAATTAAAAATAATATCAAGCTAGTAATATGCGATTTGATTTATCTGCTTTTGCTGACTTTAAGTTGTCTTAAGACGTTAGATTCTGTGACCACTTTTTAAATTTAAAAAATTGTATTGTTGTAATGAATTCCATATAGCAGAATTTTAAGTGATATTGATCTGCATATCATTTTCCTCCCCTGGATAGTGTTAACCACACAAAAAATAATAATGTATGTAATAATATATGTATATGATCTTGTAAGTATACCAATGCAGGATGACCTGGCTCTAGGCGCGGTTCTGCTGCATACTTAGAACTGGGATCTGGGAGTAAACCATGAGCTTCTCTGTGGGTTTGATTATTCGCCTGACACAGAAAGAAAGGAGAGGAATCACTGGCTTTAAACTTCCTATAATAAAAGAAAATTGTGGGGGCATGCAGTGGCTCACACCTGTAATCCCAACACTTTGGGAGGCCAAGGCGGGCGGATCACCTGAGGTCAGGAGTTCAAGACCAGCCTGGCCAACGTGGCAAAATCCCGTCTCTACTAAATATACAAAAATTAGCAGGGCATGGTGGTACATGCCTGTAATCCCAGCTACTCGGGAGGCTGAGGCAGGAGAATCGCTTGAACCCAGTAGGCAGAGATTGCGGTGAGCTGAGATCACGCCCTGCATTCCAGCCTAGGTGCAGAGTGAGACTCCCTCTCAAAAATAAAATAAAATACAATTGTGCCCTTTAAACAACAATCGAAATTCCATATTTTAAAAGGATGGCCAGGTGTGGTGGTGCACACCTGTAGTCCCAGCTACTGAAGCAGGGGGATCACTATGTTTGTGCTTGTGAATAGCCACTGTACTCCACCCTGGGCAATATAGCAAGACCCCCATCTCAAAAAAAACAAAGAAAAAACTAAAAAGAATAAAGGAGCAGGGAGTAGAATAGTGGTTGCCAGGGGCTGGGGTGTGGGAGGAATGGGGAGATGTTAGCCAGAAGGTATAAAGTTTCAGTTAGATGAATAAATTCTGGAGACCTATTGTACCACATGGTTAATGATAATATATTGTATACTTAAAAATTGCTCCTGCAGGCCAGGCGCAGTGGCTCACGCCTGTAATCCGAGGACTTTGGGAGGCCGAGGCGGGTGGATCACGAGGTCAGGAGATCGAGACCATCCTGGCTAACACAGTGAAACCACGTCTCTACTAAAAATACAAAAAAGTAGCTGGGCGTGCTGGTGGGTGCCTGTAGTCCCAGCTGCTCGGGAGGCTGAGGCAGGAGAATGGCATGAACCCGGGTGGCGGAGGTTGCAGTGAGCCGAGATCGCGTCACTGCACTCCAGCCTGGGCTACAGAGCAAGACTCCATCTGAAAAAAAAAAAAAAATTTGCTCCTGTAATCCCAGCACTTTGGGAGGCTGAGGCAGGCGGATCACAAGGTCAGGAGATCAAGACCATCCTGGCCAACATGGTGAGGCTCCATCTCTACTAAAAATACAAAAATTAGCAGGGTTTAGTGGCATACAACTGTTGTCCCAGCTACTCAGGAGGCTGAGGCAGGAGAATCACTTGAACCCGGGAGGCGGAAGTTGCAGTGAGAAGAGATCAAGCCACTGCACTCCAGCATGGTGACAGAGCGAGATTCCATCTCAAAAAAAAAAAAAAAATTGCTAAGAGACCAGATCTTAAATGTTCTCACCACAAAAAAAAGAAAAAATGACAAGTATGTGAGATGACAATATGTTAATTGGCTGGATTGAAATCATTTCACAATACACACATATATCAAAACATCATGTATGCCATATACATATACAATTTTATTTGTCAATTATGCCTTAATCTGTGAGTAAAAATGATAAAGGCATGGCCAGGCGTGATG
Source organism: Homo sapiens (assembly GCF_000001405.40). Classification (NCBI taxonomy): domain Eukaryota; kingdom Metazoa; phylum Chordata; class Mammalia; order Primates; family Hominidae; genus Homo; species Homo sapiens. The sequence goes on along the minus strand of NC_000016.10, from coordinate 75,729,297 downwards.
GCTCACATCTGTAATCGTGGCACTTGGAGAGGCTGAGGCGGGCAGATTATTTGAGGCCAGGAGTCCAATACCAGCCTGACCAACATAGAGAAACCCTGTCTCTAACACAAATACAAAAAAAAATTAGCTGGGTATGGTGGCACATGCCTGTAGTCCCACCTACTCGGGAGGCTGATCTATCCTTGTCTTTTTTGACAGTAAAATATGTGTCATTGTCAAAAAATAGAATGGCATATAGTGTCCCCAAGTTCTACACTTCACTTATAAAGCAATGCATTTCTAAGCCATGATTGTACTTTAAAGATTCCCTGTTGTGCAAAAAGTAACACAAATGATGATTTTTCTTTTTTAGGCTGTCATGATTTGGGGAAGAAAAAAAGAAATTTCCTAGAGAAGGTTAAAAACTAGTAGATAAATTTGATTATAATTTCAATTATTTTATTCCCATAGCATATATAAAACAGTATAAATTGAAGTATACTATTAATATTTGATTAATTGTGATCATGGGCTGTCACTTATTTAAATGCAGGGATATACAGATAAAATTAGTTGAATAGGTAGCTTCATTGTCTGGGTGATTTAGCCCTTGAAAATGTTTTCTCCTAATTATAGCTGTTGCTTTAGATATTTAACAGTTGAACTGCTGAGTAAAGATTATGAGTCTTTACCACTTTTTTTTTTTTTTTTTTTTTGAGACAGAGTCTCGCTCTGTCACCCAGGCTGGAGTGTAATGGTGCTGTCTTGGCTCACTGCAACCTCTGCCTCCCAGGTTCAAGTGATTCTCCTGCCTCAGCCTCCTGAGTAGCTAGGATTACAGGCATCTGCTACCATGCCTGGCTAATTTTTGTAGTTTTAGTAGAGACGGGGTTTCACCAGGTTGGCCAGGCTGGTCTCAAACTCCTGGCCATAGGTGATGCACCCGCCTTGGCCTCCCAAAGTGCTGGGATTACAGGCGTGAGCCACTGCTCCTAACCATTACCACACTTTATTCGCTGTGGAGTGAGTTCCTTGATCAAAGTCAAGGCTATGAGGATAAATAAGACATTCCTAAGTCCACAATAGTAATTCTGATGAAATGTTACATGCAGGAAAGGTAAATCTGTCTCCAGATTATCTATTCCAATAAGAACAATGCAGTGACCCTTCCACAAAGGAAGTGGTCCAGCGTAATTCATCTGTCCCTATGTTAGCACTCTAAGTGGGTCACTCAGTGTCCGTCGCTGCTGCGGGTTAACTTTGGCACTCAGCTGGGGCTGTCCAATGGCAATGTTTGCCACATCGTGCCATGGACTACCAGTGCCCTCTTTACCACTGGAACTGGAGTCCTTATATAAATAGAAGACGTATATAACTTTAAATATACCTATTTTTAGTTGTATATTTATAAACATACATATCTCTGTAAGGTTCTGTTCTTACAGAACCACCTCCAATACCAAGGTCTTTATCATTCAGGGTTCAATCAGAGAAACAATCAGTAGTGTTCTGAAGTCAAATCCCATAGTGAACTAGTGAGCTATATAAAACGTATGTGCGTGTGTTTATACTATAAATATATAAATACATATACATACATACATATACATACTCGTACATATATAGAGGGACATATATGTGCCTTAGTCCATTTAGGCTGCTATAACAAAATATTATAGACCAGCTACTTTATAAACAACAGAAATTTATTTCTCACAGTTCTGGAGATTGGGAAGTACAATCAGGTTTGGTGTCTGGTGAGGGCCCATTTCCTCCTAGACAGCCGTCTTCTCACTTTAACCTCACATGGCAGAAGGATCACAGAGGTCTCAACCCTCCCTCCCCCTCTCTGCTCTCTTTGATAAAGGCACTAATCCCTTTCAAGAGGACTTTGCCCCCGTGACTCAATCACTTCCTAAAGGCCCCACCTCCTAATACCATTACCTTGGTGGGGAGGATATTGACCTATGAATTTTGAGGCTACATAAACATTCAGATCATAGCAATATAGAACTCACTTCTATAATTGTAGGGGCTGGATAGGCAAGAATAAAGTCTGTAGGGCAAGCCCTTTGGAAAACCAGTCAGAAACGCCTGAGGCAGCAGCTGAGCATGGGTGGGAAATTTTTTAATTTTCATATAAATAAGATAGGGTCTCCCTGTGTTGCCCAGGCTGGTCTTGAACTCCAAGGCTCAAGTGATTCTCCTGCCTCAGCCTCCCAAAGTGCGGGGATTACAGGCACGAGACACCACGCCCATCCAGATGTGCTTTCCCGCTTCCCTCCAGAAAAACCTCACCTTTGCTCTTAAGCCCTTTCACTGATTGAATTGAACCCACTCAGTTTATCCAAAATATTCTCATTTACTGAAAGTCAACTGATTATATAACCTAATCACATCTACAAAATACCTTCACAGCAACATGAATAAAACAGCCTAGATTCATGTTTTATTGAAAAAATAGGGAGTGTAAAGCAGCCAAGTTGACACATAGATAGCACCATCGCAATGATGAAAAGACGTGGGTTTCAGAAGAGCCGAGGAAAACAAAAAATACAGAGTAAGGTAAGGACATTCTTATAATGTAGAAACTAATGTAGCCAAATCAAAATAATTAAACAAGAGTCATATTTGAAAAGGTGTTATTAAAGAGAAAAAATCACCTAGTACGATCTGTACTTCCACTTAATCTAATTACTTCAAGTTTCTTTCTGCAGGTGTTAAATATTTAATGAGGGGATTAAATTGAAAGCTATTTAAGAAAGGGGCGGGTCATCTTGACCCTATATAAAGCCTGTGTCTTTAGGAGCTGCTCAGTTGCTTGCTGATCTCAGTTGCTTGCTGGTCTCCGTGAAGTCCAGGTCTTCTACCCCAAGATGAATTTGGACGGCACTTCAGGTGGTAAGTTCCCATCAGCTTTTTCTCTTACAATGCTACTTCCCTTGCTTTTTCTCAATAGTGTGTCAAAGTTTAAAGCACAAACACAGAGGTACAGATTGTTGGAGCAGCAGCTGTTTTTCACCGGTAAATTGTGTTAGGGCATTCATGGGTACTTTGAAGTTGGACTCTTGAATTTCAAATGTAAAATGGCAGCCGTGAGTCCCATACAAGGATCATCTACCTAAAGTCAACACTTTAAGTGGAGAAAAGAATGTATGAACTACCTAATGCATCCTGTAGAATTTTATTAAGATGTATTACTTTCCATTACAAAGTACCAGTTCTTGTGTATCTTTCTTAACCTCAATTGTTCCACAAGTTTTACCTCTTTCATTAATTTTCATTAATTTTCCTCTTCCCTACTGCTTCCTCTTTTGGTAATTTTGTACATTTTCAGTAAATTCTTTCTTTGGAAACTTAGGTCATCGATTATAATTTTCTAATATGTACATTTAAGTGTTTATCCAATTTAGTATGACTGGCTGTATGCCTAAAGTAAAAATACAGAGTAATAATAAAACAAGGAGGCCAAAGCAGGGGGATCAATTGAACCCAGGAGTTTGAAACCAGCCCAGGCAACATAGCAAGGTTGCCTAAAAAAAAAAAAAAAAAAAAAAAAAAAAAAGACGCCGGGCACGGTGGCTCACTCCTGTAATCCCAGCACTTTGTGAGGCCGAGGCGGGTGGATCACGAGGTCAGGATATTGAGACCATCCTGGCTAACACGGTGAAACCCCGTCTCTACTAAAAATACAAAAAATTAGCAGGGTGTGGTGGCGGGCGCCTGTAGTCCCAGCTACTTGGGAGGCTGAGGCAGGAGAATGGCGTGAACCCGGGAGGCGGAGCTTGCAGTGAGCCGAGATGGTGCCGCTGCACTCCAGCCTGGGCGACAGAGCGAGAGTCCGTCTCAAAAAAAAAAAAAAAAGAGGAAGCCACAGTGGTGCCTATGTGTAGTCCCAGCTACTACAAAAGTTGAGGTGCAAGAATAGCTTGAACCCAGTAGGCGGAGATTGCAGTGAGCTGAGAGCACGCCACTGCATTCCAGCCTAGGCGACAGAGGGAGACTGTCTCAAAAATAAAGAAAAAAAGAAAGTTTTTTTTATTATTATACTTTAAGTTTTAGGGTACATGTGCACAATGTGCAGGTTAGTTACATATATATACATGTGCCATGTTGGTGTGCTGCACCCATTAACTCGTCATTTAACATTAGGCACATCTCCTAATGCTATCCCTCCCCCCTCCCCCGACCCCACAACAGGCCCGGGTGTGTGATGTTCCCCTTCCTGTGTCCATGTGTTCTCACTGTTCAATTTCCACCTATGAGTGAGAACAAGCGGTGTTTGGTTTTTTGTCCTTGTGATAGTTTGCTGAGAATGATGGTTTCCAGCTTCATCCATGTCCCTACAAAGGACATGAACTCATCATTTTTTATGGCTGCATAGTATTCTGTGGTATATATGTGCCACATTTTCTTAATCCAGTCTATCATTGTTGGACATTTGGCTTGGTTCCAAGTCTTTGCTATTGTGAATAGTGCTGCTATAAACATACGTGTGCATGTGTCTTTATAGCAGCATGATTTATAATCCTTTGGGTATATACCCAGTAATGGGATGGCTGGGTCAAATGGCATTTCTAGTTCTAGATCCCTGAGGAATCGCCACACTGACTTCCACAATGGTTGAACTACTTTACAGTCCCACCAACAGTATAAAAGTGTTCCTATTTCTCCACATCCTCTCCAGCACCTGTTGTTTCCTGACTTTGGAATGATCGCCATTCTAACTGGTGTGAGATGGTATCTCATTGTGGTTTTGATTTGCATTTCTCTGATGGCCAGTGATGATGAGCATTTTTTCATTTGTCTTTTGGCTGCATAAATGTCTTCTTTTGAGAAGTGTCTGTTCATATCCTTCACCCACTTGTTGATGGGGTTGTTTGTTTTTTTCTTGTAAATTTGTTTGAGTTCATTGTAGATTCTGGATATTAGCCCTTTGTCAGATGGATAGATTGCAAAAATTTTCTCCCATTCTGTAGGTTGCCTGTTCACTCTGATGGTAGTTCCTTTTACTGTGCAGAAGCTCTTTAGTTTAATTAGATCCCATTTGTCAATTTTGGCTTTCGTTGCCATTGCTTTTGGTGTTTTAGACATGAAGTCCTTGCCCATGCCTATGTCCTGAATGGTATTGCCTAGGTTTTCTTCTAGGGTTTTTATGGTTTTAGGTCTAACATTTAAGTGTTTAATCCATCTTGAATTAATTTTTGTATAAAGTGTAAGGAAGGGATCCAGTTTCAGCTTTCTACTTATGGCTAGCCAACTTTCCCAGCACCATTTATTAAATAGGGAATCCTTTCCCCATTTCTTGTTTGTGTCAAGTTTGTCAAAGATCAGATGGTTGTAGATATGTGGCATTATTTCTGAGGGCTCTCTTTTGTTGCATTGGTCTATACCTCTGTTTTGGTACCAGTACCATGCTGTTTTGGTACCAGTACCATGCTGTTTTGGTTACTGTAGCCTTGTAGTATAGTTTGAAGTCAGGTAGCATGATGCCTCCAGCTTTGTTCTTTTGGCTTAGGATTGACTTGGCAATGTGGGCTCTTTTTTGGTTCCATATGAACTTTAAAGTAGTTTTTTCCAATTCTGTGAAGAAAGTCATTGGTAGCTTGATGGGGATGGCATTGAATCTATAAATTACCTTGGGTAGTATGGCCATTTTTATGATATTGATTCTTCCTACCCATGAGCATGGAATGTTCTTCCATTTGTTTGTATCCTCTTTTATTTCATTGAGCAGTGGTTTGTAGTTCTCCTTGAAGAGGTCCTTCACATCCCTTGTAAGTTGAATTCCTAGGTATTTTATTCTCTTTGAAGCAACTGCAAATGGGAGTTCACTCATGATTTGGCTCTCTGTTTGTCTGTTATTGGTGTATAAGAATGCTTGTGATTTTTGCACATTGATTTTGTATCCTGAGACTTTGCTGAAGTTGCTTATCAGCTTAAGGAGATTTTGGGCTGAGACGATGGGGTTTTCTAGATATACAATCATGTCATCTGCAAACAGGGACAATTTGACTTCCTCTTTTCCTAATTGAATACCCTTTATTTCTTTCTCCTGCCTGATTGCCCTGGCCAGAACTTCCAACACTACATTGAATAGGAGTGGTGAGAGAGGGCATCCCTGTCTTGTGCCAGTTTTCAAAGGGAATGCTTCCAGTTTTTGCCCATTCAGTATGATATTGGCTGTGGGTTTGTCATAATTAGCTCTTATTATTTTGAGATACATCCCATCAATACCTAATTTATTGAGAGTTTTTAGCATGAAGGAGTGTTGAATTTTGTCAAAGGCCTTTTCTGCGTCTATTGAGATAATCATGTGGTTTTTGTCATTGGTTCTGTTTATATGCTGGATTACGTTTATTGATTTTCGTATGTTGAACCAGCCTTGCATCCCAGGGATGAAGCCCACTTGATCATGGTGGATGAGCTTTTTCATGTGCTGCTGGATTCAGTTTGCTAGTATTTTATTGAGGATTTTTGCATCAATGTTCATCAGGGATATTGGTCTAAAATTCTCTTTTTGTTGTGTCTCTGCCAGGCTTTGGTATCAGGATGATACTGGCCTCATAAAATGAGTTAGGGAGGATTCCCTCTTTTTCTATTGATTGGAATAGTTTCAGAAAGAATGTTACTAGCTCTTCCTTGCACCTCTGGTAGAATTCGGCTGTGAATCCGTCTGGTCCTGGACTTTTTTTGGTTGGTAAGCTATTATTGCCTCAATTTCAGAGCCTGTTATTGGTCTATTCAGAGATTCAGCTTCTTCCTGGTTTAGTCTTGGGAGGGTGTATGTGTCTAGGAATTTATCCATTTCTTCTAGATTTTCTAGTTTACTTGTGTAGAGGTGTTTATAGTATTCTCTGATGGTAGTTTGTATTTCTGTGGGATCAGTGATGATATCCCCTTTATCACTTTTTATTGTGTCTATTTGATTCTTCTCTCTTTTCTTCTTTATTAGTCTTGCTAGCAATCTATCAATTTTATTGATCTTTTCAAAAAGCCAGGTCCTGGATTCATTGATTTTTTTGAAGGTTTTTTTGTGTCTCTATTTCCTTCAGTTCTGCTCTGATCTTAGTTATTTCTTGCCTTCTGCTAGCTTTTGAATGTGTTTCCTCTTGCTTCTCTAGTTCTTTTCATTGTGATGTTAGGGTGTCAATTTTAGATCTTTCCTGCTTTCTCTTGTGGGCATTTAGTGCTCTAAATTTCCCTCTACACACTGCTTTGAATGTGTCCCAGAGATTCTGGTATGTTGGGTCTTTGTTCTCATTGGTTTCAAAGAACATCTTTGTTTCTGCCTTCATTTCGTTTTGTACCCAGTAGTCATTCAGGAGCAGGTTGTTCAGTTTCCATGTAATTGAGCAGTTTTGAGTGAGTTTCTTAATCCTGAGTTCTAGTTTGATTGCACTGTGGTCTGAGAGACAGTTTGTTATAATTTCTGTTCTTTCACATTTGCTGAGGAGTGCTTTACTTCCAGCTAATGTGGTCAATTTTGGAATAGGTGTGGTGTGGTGCTGAGAAGAATGTATATTCTGTTGATTTGGGGTGGAGAGTTCTGTAGATGTCTATTAGGTCCGCTTGGTGCAGAGCTGAGTTCAATTCTTGGATATCCTTGTTAACTTTCTGTCTCATTGATCTTTCTAATGTTGACAGTGGGATATTAAAGTCTCCCATTATTATTCTGTGGGAGTCTAAGTCTCTTTGTAGGTCTCTAAGGACTTGCTTTATGAATCTGGGTGCTCCTGTATTGGGTGCATATATATTTAGGATAGTTAGCTTTTCTTGTTGAATTGATCCCTTTGCCATTATGTAATGGCCTTCTTTGTCTCTTTTGATCTTTGTTGGTTTAAAGTCTGTTTTATCCGAGACTAGGATTGCAACCCCTGCCTTTTTTTGTTTTCCATTTGCTTGGTAGAACTTCCTCCATCCCTTTATTTTGAGCCTATGTGTGTCTCTGCACGTGAGATGTGTTTCCTGAATACAGCACACTGATGGGTCTTGACTCTTTATCCAATTTGCCAGTGTGTGTCTTTTAATTGGAGCATTTAGCCCATTTACATTTAAGGTTAATATTGTTATGTGTGAATTTGATCCTGTCATTATGATGTTAGCTGGTTATTTTGCCCCTTAGTTCATGCAGTTTCTTCCTAGCCTCGATGGTCTTAACAATTGAGCATGTTTTTGCAGTGGCTGGTACCAGTTTTTCCTTTCCATGTTAAGTGCTTCCTTCAGGAGCTCTTTTAGGGCAGGCCTGGTGGTGACAAAATCTCTCAGCATTTGCTTGTCTGTAGAGGATTTTATTTCTCCTTCACTTATGAAGCTTAGTTTGGCTGGATATGAAATTCTGGTTGAAAATTCTTTTCTTTAAGAATATTGAATATTGGCCCCCACTCTCTTCTGGCTTGTAGAGTTTCTGCTGAGAGATCCGCTGTTAGTCTGATAGGCTTCCCTTTGTGGGTAACCCGACCTTTCTCTCTGGCTGCCCTTCCCATTTTTTCCTTCATTTCAACTTTGGTGAATCTGACAATTATGTGTCTTGGAGTTGCTCTTCTTGAGGAGTATCTTTGTGGTGTTCTCTGTATTTCCTGAATGTGAATGTTGGCCTGCCTTGCTAGATTGGGGAAGTTCTCCTGGATAATATCCTGCAGAGTGTTTTCCAACTTGGTTCCATTCTCTCTGTGACTTTCAGGTCCACCAATCAGACGTAGATTTGGTCTTTTCACATAGTCCCATATTTCTTGGAGGCTTTGTTTGTTTCTTTTTATTCTTTTTTCTCTAAACTTCTCTTCTTGCTTCATTGCATTCCTTTGATCTTCCATCACTGATGCCCTTTCTTCCAGTTGATCGAATCGGCTACTGAGGCTTGTGCATTCGTCATGTAGTTCTCGTGCCGTGGTTTTCAGCTCCATCAGGTCCTTTAACGACTTCCCTGCTTTGGTTATTCTACTTAGCCATTCATCTAATTTTTTTTCAAGGTTTTTAACTTCTTTGCCATGGGTTCAAACTTCCTCCTTTAGCTCGGAGTAGTTTGATCGTCTGAAGCCTTCTTCTCTCAACTCGTCAAAGTCATTCTCCATCCAGCTTTGTTCAATTGCTGGTGAGGAGCTGCGTTCCTTTGGAGGAGGAGAGGCACTCTGATTTTTAGAGTTTCCGGTTTTTCTGTTCTGTTTTTTCCCCATCTTTGTGGTTTTGTCTACCTTTGGTCTTTGATGATGGTGACATACAGATGGGGTTTTAGTGTGGATGTCCTTTCTGTTTGTTAGTTTTCCTTCTAACAGTCAGGACCCTCAGCTACAGGTCTGTTGGAGTTTGCCGGAGGTCCACTCCAGACCCTGTTTGACTGGGTATCAGCAGCAGAGGCTGCAGAACAGCAGATATTGGTGAGCAGCAAATGTTGCTGCCTGATCGTTCCTCTAGAAGTTTTGTCTCGGAGGAGTACCCGGCCGTGTGAGGTGTCAGTCTGCCCCTACTGGGGGGTGTCTCCCAGTTAGGCTACTCAGGGGTCAGGGACCCACTTGAGGAGGCAGTCTGTCCGTTCTCAGATCTCCAGCTGCGTGCTGGGAGAACCGCTACTCTCTTCAAAGCTGTCAGACAGGGACATTTAAGTCTGAAGATGATTCTGCTGCCTTTTATTTGGCTGTTCCCTGCCCCCGGAGGTGGAGTCTAGAGAGGCAGGCAGGCCTCCTTGAGCTGCAGTGGGCTCCACCCAGTTTGAGCTTCCTGGCAGCTTTTTTTACCTAAGCAAGCCTGGGTAATGACAGGCGCCCCTCCTCCAGGCTCGCTGCCACCCTGCAGTTTGATCTCACACTGCTGTGCTAGCAGTGAGCGAGGCTCCATGGGCGTAGGACCCTCTGAGCCAGGCGCAGCATATAATCTCCTGGTGTGCCGTTTGCTAAGACCATTGGAAAAGCGCAGTATTAGGGTGGGAGTGACCTGATTTTCCTGGTGCCGTCTGTCACCCCTTTCTTTCACTAGGAAAGGGAATTCCCTGACCCCTTGCACTTCCCAAGTGAGGCGATGCCTCACCCTGCTTCGGCTCATGCTCGGTGCCCTGCACCCACTCTCCTGTACCCACTTCCCAACACTCCCCAGTGAGATGAACCCAGTACCTCAGTTGGAAATGGAGAAATCACCTGTCTTCTGTGTTGCTCACGCTGGGAGCTGTAGACTGTAGCTGTTCCTATTTGGCCATCTTGGCTCAAAAGAAATATTTAATTGAAATATAGCATGCATGCCAAAAATAGCAAATATTTATACATGTTTAATTTAACTAATGTTCACAAATCAACTACACTCGTGGAACTCAGCACTCAGATAAAGAAAACTTAGTGGCACCCAGAGGCCTCTGTTCGCTCACTTTCAGGCTCCCGATTCCATTCCCTCAGTAGCCCATGTCCTGCCTTCCAATCAGTATAGATCAGTTTTTCCTGTTTTACCTTACGGTGATGAAATAATAAAATATTCTTCTGCAATTAGTTCTAATTTTAAATATAAATTCTCAAATCCAGATAGTAAATATGTTAGGCTGTGTCGACCCTAGACACATTGGAGCCTCAACTACTAAGCCTGCTGTTGTGGCTTGAAAACAGCCATAGGCAATGCATAAGTGAATGAATGTGATGGTGTTTCGATAAAACTCTATTTACAAAAACAGGCAACTGGGTGGATCTGGCCCATAGGCCTAGAGTTAGCCAATTCCTGCTTTCATTTGTAATTTTATTATTGTGAGTAGCTATGAGGTCACACGTGGATTTCATCTTGGGAAGGGGAGGGAATCTATGGTGCTAACACTGTTGGGAACTCTTCTTTGGTCTGGTTATTACCAATATTCTCTAATGCCCTTCTCGCTACTTATACTTTTGTCAGGTTTCCCAGCTGAAGAGGATCATCATAATGAAGAAAGACAAACAAAGAATAAAAGAAAAACAAAACACCGACATAAATTTTCTGAAGAATTACTGCAGGAACTTAAGGAAATATTTGGAGAGAACTGTTATCCCGATTACACAACTAGGAAAACACTGGCCATCAAATTTGATTGTCCGGTAAATGTGATAGATGTAAGTTCAAGACCTCATATGTATATTTCCTAGATTTTTTTTTTTTTAGACAAGGTCTCACTCCTATCACACAGGCAGATGCACAGTGGCATGATCACGGCTCACTGCAGCCTCCATTTTCCAGGCTCAGGTGATTCCCCCACCTCAGTCCCCTGAGTAGCTGGGACTACAGGCACACACCACCCCGCCAGGCTTTTATGTTTTGTAAAAAATGGGGTCTCACCATGTTGCCCAGGCTGGTCTTGAACTCCTGGGGTCAAGAGATCTACCCACCTCAGCATCCCAAAGTCCTGGGGTTACAAGCGTGAGTCACCACATCCAGCTGTTCCATATAAAATTAAAGGGCAATAAGTACAGATGGAGGTAGAATGCAGGGGATTGGATAGGAAGGTACAGAATTCGAAGAAATGGGAAAGTGCAATCAAAATACATATGTATATACAGTTAATCCTCCATCTCCACTGGGTCCACATGCACAGATTTAACTAACCACAAATGAAAAATATTTGGAAAGTTAAAAAATGAAAATAAGATGGGCGCTGTGGCTGATGCTTCCAGCCCTGATCATACCACTGCATTCCAGCCTGTGTGACAGAATGAGACCCTGTTTCAAAAAAAATGTGAGAGGAGGTTGCAGGTGTGGGGGTGGGGAGCAAATAACAATACAAAAATTTTAAAATGATACAAATGTTAAAACAATACAGAATAAGAAATATTTATGTAGCATTTGTGTTATATTAGGTATCAGGTATTGTAAGTCATCTAGAGATGGTTTAAAGCATATGAGAGAATGTGCATAGTATATATGCAAATACTACACCGTTTTATATATATGAGGGCCTGAGACATCCTCAAACGTTGGTATCCATAACCAGTTTGAGAGAAAATTGTACACATGCACATAACAATATGAAAAATGTAAAGAATTAAGCAGTATATAGCATTTCATCGCATAAGAAAATAGTATTATGTACTTGTGAAAATACAGTGAGTATGTATTGTAAAAACTAGACTGCAGTGAGGCAAATTTGGAAGCAGTGGATGAGTTGATGCTGCTGTAGTTAGTGGTGGTGACGGTGGTTTGGGCCAGCTTGCTAGCTGTGCAGGTGGATGGTACTAATGAGACTGTAGATGTTTGAGATGGAGCTGACAAAGTTTACTATGTGTGGGTTATGCTGTGAAAGGTAAGGTGGACTCAAAGGTTACTTGGACGTTTGACTTAAGTCTATGGAAGATGAAAGTTGCCTTTTACTAAGGAGGGGACCTAGGGAGGGACAGGTGTGTCAGAGAAATCAAAGTTTACATTTTGGACACATGAAGTTTCATATGTCAGATAAACATCCAAGTGGAAACACTAAGTGAACAGTTGAATATGCAATTCTGAAGGGTTGGGAGAGCACTTAGCTAAGATATAAATCTGAGAGTTGTCTACTAATGAACTGACTGTTGGGTGGGTAGCCCCTAGTAGCTTCAGGATGAAAGCTGGAAAGATCCAGGCAGGATTAGAAAATTGAGACTTTCAACCCCACCCTCCAACTTCTGGAGAGGAGGTGGAGCTGAAGGTTAAGTTGATCACCAATAGCCAATGGCTTAATCAATCATGACCATACAATAAAGCCTCCAGAAAAAAAACAAAGACACTGAGTTTGAAGAGGGTCCAGATACTTGAACGTGTGGAAGTTCCTGGAGGTGGCTTATCCAGGGAGGGCAGGAAAGCTCTGCATCCCTTCCCCCATATCTCACCCTATGCATCTCTTCATCTGTATCTTTTGTAATATCCTTTCTAATCAACTGGTAAACCTAAGTGTTTCACTTAGTTCTGTGAGCCACTCTGGCAAGTTAATCAAACCCAGAGAGGAGGTCAGCAGGAGCCCTGACCTGAAGCCAGTCAGCCAAAAGTTTCAGAAGCCCAGACTTGCAACTGGCATCTGAAGGAGGGGCAGACTTGCAGGACTGAGCCCTCGACCTGTGGGATCTGACAGTATTTCCAGGTACATAGTGTCAGAATTGAATTGAAGGACACCCACCTGGTGTGCACTACAGAACTGACTGTTTGCCTGGTGTGTGGAAAAACACATTTGCTCACACAAGCCTTTCTCTGTTGATTGTTGTGGTGTGAGAGCAGAGGAAAAATGTTTTTTTTTTTCCCTCAGAGAGTCATACAACAAATAGATGGTCAAGAAGTTATTCAAACAATTGCACTCTTTAGTTGTAACCCGTGAACCAATGCATGTCAGAATTATGTACATATAAGAAACAGAAATGTGGGCCAGATGTGGTGGCTCATGCCTGTAATCCCAGCACTTTGGGAGGCTGAGGCGGGCAGATCACCTGAGGTCAGGAGTTCGAGACCAGCCTGGCCAACATAGCGAAACCCCGTCTCTACTAAAAATACAAAAAAAATTAGCCGGGCATGGTGGTGCTCCTGTAATTCCAGCTACTCGGGAGGCTGAGGTAGGAAAATCACTTGAATCCAGGAGGCGGAGGTTGCAGTGAGCTGAGATCACACCATTGCACTCCAGCCAGGGCAACAAGAGCAAAACTCTGTCCAAAAAAAAAAAAGTGAAGAAAAGGAACAGAAATGTGTATGTCAGAAAATACACCACTAATTCTCCTTGGCGGGAGAGTATGAGTAAAGTAGCAGGGTTGTGTGAACTATGCATGACTAGGTGGGACAGCTGGGAGCCTCTTCTGTAGCACAGAGTGGGTCTCTTAGTGAACATGCAGGAGAACATTGCAAATGGGTCACAAACAGGTTGGGGAGAGATTCTGGGAAGCCAAGGTTCACATGTAAACCATGGTGTCAATGTCTCCAGTGAAGGAGGTTATGGTTCTAGAAATGCGCAATGCATGACCTGTGTTATCACATGTACCTCTAGGACAGATTGCCTTTATTATTTATATGCTTTAATGTCAGCAGGCAAGTCAGGGACTCTGCTTGGAAGAGGCTTAAATAGAAAAATCCTCCTACATTAAGGAATGCATATAAGAATATATTCAGATAAGTAGAGTCAATAAAACAATATTATCTTTTCTCTCTAGAATTGGTTCCAGAATAAAAGAGCCAGACTTCCACCTGCAGAAAGACGCAGAATATTTGTTCTTCAGAAAAAGCATGATTTTCCAGTCCAAGCCCATTCATTTTTAAGCTGCCAGGAGACCCAGGCTGCAGCTCACAACTATGCCACCAAGCAGAGCCTCTCTGGTGCCCAGAGGGCTCTGATGAGAAGAGCTGGTTGCTCCCATCTGGAGAAACAGTGGATTCCCAGTCAAGAAATGGGCTATAATTGTTTCTCTTTGGAGAACCAAGAGACTCCCAGTCAACAGGTGGGCCCCCAGTGCTCTTATCTGGAGAAACCAGGGATTCCCAGTCAACAGGTGGGTTCCCAGTGCTCCTATCTGGAGAAACTAGGGATTCCCAGTCAACAGGTGGCCTCCCAGAGTTCCTATCTGGTCACAGGCACTGAAAAGCATCCAGGCTGTGCTATGGGGTATGGAGGTGACACAGGAAGTGGGCATTCTGGAAGTGGGCATTCTACTGCCTATCATTTTCTCAGCTACAACTCTGCAGAATGCCTTCATCCTCCCCCATCTTCTGTGCCATATTTTCATGGAGAAAGGACTGAAACCAAGGAAAGCCAGCATGCAAGTCCTTTCCTTTTGGATTACGCTCAAGGTGCATATGGGGTGAAGAAAGACCATTGTCTTTGCTCATTCTGTCTCTCACTGCTGGGACAACAGCAGCAGAATGATTGGCAGTATCACCTGCAGCAGCACCAACAGCCTCAGAATTACTTAGAGGGGATGATGTTGCAGGAACAGCTCCCAATGGACTCGGGTCCTTGGGATCTAGGGAAGCAGTGGTCCTCGGCTCAGTCACAGCTGCAGAGTCAACTGCCTCAGAATAATGGAAAGCCGTTGTGCTCTCAACTGCAGCACATGTCTCTCCAAATAGCTGCCGACTCACCCCTTCTGCCTCTGGGGCAAGATATGCAGGAAAGGGCTTCAGAGCAACCCAGGACCCAAATGCAGCAACTTTAAGTTGAAGAGTGGACAAGGGTCTGCAGCAGGGAACCAAGGATGCAACTCTGCAAAGTAGTGCTAAGTGTCAGAGAAACACAGTCGCAGGTCAGGCCCACAGTCACCCACACAGTAGCACAAGGCAGAGCCCTTACCAGAAGCCTCCACATTAAGAAAAGAAAGAAAGAAAGAAAGAAAAAAGCCAGGTGACATTGTTTGAGCCCAGGAGTTCAAGAAAAGCCTGGGCAACATGGTGAGTCCCTGTCTCTATAAAAAAACTTTTTAAAAAATTAGCTGGGCATGATGGTGTGCTCCTGTGGTCCCAGCTACTCAGGAGGCTGAGGTGGGAGGATCACTTGAGCCCAGCAGTTTGAGACCAGCCAGGGCAATATTGGAAGATCCCATCTCTACAGAAAAATAAAAAAAAATAAAAAATTTAGCCAGGCATAGTGGCTTGTGCCTATGGTCCCAGCTACTTCAGAGGCTGAAGTGAAAGGATCACTTGAACCTCAGAGGTGGAGGCTGCAGTGAGCCGTGATCATTCCACTACACTCCAGCCGGGGTGACAGAGTAAGACCCTGTCTATGAAAAATTAAAAAGAAGAAGAAAAATAAGACTGTCTACAGGAAGGCTCCATGAGCTCTTGGTCCCTTCTCATACAGAAGCGGTGTCCACATGTGTTACAGCTCCTGAGCTCCTGACCATATAGTTTACAGTGGCCTTGAAAAGACTGACTCCATAGAATATGGATTGAAAAACCAACGAGCACAAAGATTGCAGGAGCACTGCTCAAATCACATCATGCAAAGTCTAATGACATTTTGCCTTCAGAAGAAGGAGGCTCTTGCCCAGCCCTTCAGGCATTGTTCCCCTGAGAGGCAATATAGCCAACAAGAACAGAGTAACCACAAAGCCCCACAGCAGTGACAATTGGATGGGGGATTCTAAAGGCTACTCTTGCAAAACTCTCTCCTCCATGGACCAGAGCAGTATCTGCAGGTTGTGAAGCGTGGCCTACCAGGACCCAGCTGTATCTCCTCAGCAGCCAGCCCCACCGAAGAAGCTCTGCCTGTGAAGGGTGCTGCAGCAACATCAGCCTGGCCTTTGCACATCTCAAAGTCAGCCCAGTATAAAGGCAGGAGCTTTTAATTGAAAGGCATTTAAAGACACAGTACATAAAGCCAGGCACAATGGCTCACACCTGTAATCTTAGCACTTTGGGAAGCCAGGGCAGGAAGATCTCTCTGAGCCCAGGGATTCAAGACCAGCCTGGGTACCATGGCAAGATCTTGTCTCTAGAAAAAGGAAGAAAAAAAAAACCATGCAAGAGGACCTGAAAATCCTCAGGAAGATGCTGTGCTGAAGCAGCCCCCACCAGCCCTCTTAGCTGACAGCTGCTGCCCAGGAATCCAGAGTGTTGTGACCAAGTCATCTAGGGATGTGATGCCAAGGCCAACAAACATCTGAAATACCCAGGTGAGTCTCTGAATGCCAGGTGCTGACCTGATTTTTTTTTAGAAAAGATCAAGTGTCTTTGAACCTCTAGGTCTTTTTAATAGTTTTGAGCTTTGACATGTAGAATTATTTCTCAAAGATTCCAGAGTTTTGTCAAATAAAGCATATATTGTAATATTAATTAGGCAACTTGCTTTAAAAGCTGAAATTTCCCACCAATTCTCTCTCTATTTGATGTGTCCTACATAGAAATTCTTCCAAGTGTTCCAAAGAATATACAGCTATAGAAACACAGTATATCAAGTTGACTGATGAAGAATCAAAATAAAGTATAAAGTAATAAGCTAGCACAGTTAATAAGAATGAACTAGATCTATAGATACATGTGAGATTTATGAGGCACAATGTTTCATTCTTTTTTCCAGAGCAGGAGTGGATATTTATTTAAAAGGGCTTTAGAACAGGAAAGAAAGGAAAGTAAGTTTGGAAGAAACCTAAGTTGGGACATGAAGGTCAAGTGTGGTCTTTAACCTTGATCTTAGGACTTTATAGGCTGACCCCTTTTCCATGATTCTTCTCTTAGGGCAGTCTGTCCACATGTGCAGTGCCTTCCTTCTGCTTGAAAAATAAGCACACAAAGTGTGTTTAGGAAGTTGTATATGTACCAATCTGAGGTTTTTCTTCCCCTTTCTGGTGGAGTGTCCCCAGGACATATTCCACTGTTTTGTCTCTTGATGCACATGCCCTGGAAGTTGCTCCTCCCTGGCATCTGCATTCAATTAACACTTTAGTGTAACAGGTATGGACCATCAGAAAATGGCCTCTCCCTGGCCCTGGCAGCCAGTTTATCACCTTTACAGAGGCGATGTGATACTTGCTGAACCATCACCTGACTTTCCTAGGGGGTGGGGGAGAGCCCTCTCCTGCCTGGCTCATGCCTGTCTAACTACCTGTAAAATTTTCCCCCTCAAGAGCCCAAGACCTCAGATCTTTGAAGGAAATTAGACAAAGTTCAGTCTTCTGTAACTGCTTCCCACTGACAAAGGGGCTGTGGTGGTTCTGCAGGTCTTGGCCTCTTGCTAGCTGTCAGGGCAGCAGGGTGACTCCATGGGTTGGTGAAAGTGGTATCTAGCAAGGTCTAAGGGAGACAGGGGCAGGAGTTTGCCTTCCTGTCCCACTGATGGGCAGTCTAGGGGTCCCATGTAGAGGGGTGCCTCTTGAATATTGAGAGGACAGTATCCCACACTGATCTGAAGCTTGATGGCCTGAAGGCAACAGGAGACAAATCATGTTACTAGATTTAGAAGACATGGACCAAAGTAAAATAAGGGAATGAGGACAGCTCCAAAAAATTGAGGCTGCCAACACACCCAGGTAACTGGTGGCCATGGTCCTGCCTGCTAAGACTTGGGCTGCCAACTTATTTCAGTGTGCCCAGAACTCGAATATTGGTGCAGATTTCTAAATAACCCATCTCCTTTGTTTCTTCTGACCTGCAGCGAGGGATCGCTGGTTGGTTCACAGAAATAAGCAGGGTTAGGCTAAAATGCAGACAAAAACTTAAAAACAACTAATGACGTTAGAATGTAATAGTAGGTGTACCATAAATTGTGAAACATAGGTTTTCTCTTTACAATCCTCCTTTTTATTAAAATCAGGATAGGAATGATTTGTTTGCAAAATAAACTTTAGTCTTATTATATTTGGCCTGATTGTTTGCATAAAGTGCAGCAAGGATAATTATTTTTACATAGGCTTTTAAAATTGGCTTCGATGGAACTCCGTTCCATAAGAAATCTCAGATAAGACATTTTAAAAGCCAAGCACAGCCATGGGTTTGTACCCTCAAATACCTGTGAGGAGGGTAGATTTCTCTCCTCTGAGGTCTCTAGAAAACTTGGGGCACCTGGGCCTGTTAGACAGTGACATTCTTTACTCACCACAGGTTAGGTCCCTGTACAGGGACTGTGTAGACAAGTTATGAGGCCTGACTCCCCAAGGGACTTGTATTGGCACTATAAGTCAAGCTTGATTCCTTAAAGGAAAGCATGCCATTCCAGTCAAAGCCCTGGTAAAACAGCCAGTTTCTCCCATGGTGTACTGTTGCAAAAGAAAACATTCTAATTGCACTTATGCCAATAACTATATTGCCACGCATTAAGAATACTCACAAATAGTTTCCAAATTCTGGAGAAATCAGGTAAAGAGAAACAAATATGTGAAATTTTTGTTCACAGGAGTATACTGAATTGTGAAAAGCTGTAGTAAATAGCTCAAAAGAAAAGTTTTCTTGGCTCTGAAAAACAAAGATTTTGCAAAAAGTCAAAAAGATTACTTCACTCTTCTATTAGTTCAGTCCATTCAGTTAACTCTCATTCTGCTTGATATTCATGAACATTTACACTGTAATATATGTATCCGCTTGGCTATCTGCTTTTAATTAAGCTGACTTTTAACCATAGCGCTCTTAAAAAAATGCTCTTACATCTCTTATTACCCTACTTTATCCAGGCCAAACGAACAATATTTCTGGCCTTTGAACATTATCAAAAGTAACCTCACAGGTGAAACCAATAAGTCTTAACTAAGGTTATGACTTAACCATGAGCATATGAGGTATTTTTAAAGAGGTGGTAAGGAGTTTTTAAAACATTTAAAGTCTCCAGAGGTAGCTCAGAGAAAGGAAAATTCAAGAAGGGAAGTCAGAAGTCATTCATGGAGGGGCAGAGAATACGGTGATTTTTACCATTCCTACAACTGGTTTGCATAGAGAGAGAGAGGCCTGAAGTCTGACTGGTAAAAATTTTTATGCTTTTGCCGGCATGCCAGGCTTCTGGGTTCCCTTTCCCTGATGAGCCCTAGTGACCCTGGAGTCCTGTGAAGGGGGCGCAGATAAAGAGGTTATCTGCATACTGCAGAAGTTATCTCCCCTCTCACAGGGATGCTAAGATTGCTGCCTGGACCTTCACTGACCATGCTGTCCTGGGTGGTACTTTTTGCTGCCACCACAGTGGCCCTCTCTCTGAAGAATGCAGCCTTCCTAGGTCCAGGGGTATTGCAGGCAACAAGGACATTTCACACAGTGCAGCCACACCTTGCCCTTCTACCACCTCTTCCTGAATACGGAGGAAAAGTTCATCCTGGACTGATCCCTGAGGAATTCTTCCTGTTTCTTTATCCTAAAGCTGGTGTAACAGGACTCTATGTGCTCGGAATTGGGCTTATTTTGTATGCTTTATCCAAAGAAATATATGTGATTACCACAGAGACCTTCTCTACCATATCAGTAGTAGGGTTACTTGTCTATGCAATTAAAAAATATGGTGCCTCTCTTGCAGAATTTGCTGATAAACTCAATGAGCAAAAACTTGTCCAACTAGAAGAGGCGAAGCAGGCTTCCATCAAACAAATCCAGGATGCAACTGATTTGGAGAAGTCACAGCAGGTACTGCCATTACTTTTTGATGTGCAGAGGAAAAACATTCCTATGGCTTCAGAGTTTACTTACCAGGAACAGCTGTATAGAGTACATAAGGAAGTAAAGAATTGCCTAGACTATCATATATCCGTGCAGAACATGATGCATCAAAAGGAACAAGAGCACATTATAAATTGGGTGGAGAAGCATGTGGTTCAGAGCATCTCTGCACAGTAGGAAAAAGGAGACAATTCCCAAGTGCATTACAGACCTAAAGCTGCTGGCAAAGAAGGCTCAAGCACAGCCAGTTATGTAAAGGTATCTATCCCAATTGAGACAGCTAGAAACAGTTGACTGACTAAATGGAAGGTAGTCTATGTGACAAAATATTTCTGTATTGGTGTCTACTGAAGTTATAGTTTACCTCTCCTAAAAATGAAAAGTTTATTTCATACAGTGAGAGAATTAATATATCAGCCAGTTAGATGTTTCTCATCCTTCTTACTCTGCATTTGAGTTGTTCCCTGATCACTTCTGAATAAGCAGTTTGCCTTTATTAAAACTTGCTGCCTGACTAAAGATTACCAGGTTATAGTTTAAATTTGTAATTCAACCATCTTGCAATAAAGCGACAATTGAATGAAAAAAAAAAGAAGTTATCCCCCCTGAAGAGACTGCTCAGTTAGATTTTTTTTGCTAGGGCTTTTCTGAATAAGTGTGGGATATTTCTAAACCTCTGAGGTAAGACTATCTAGGTTGAAGCTATTAGTTAATGATTTAGGTAGCTTTTCTGGGAGAAATAGGGCTATTAGAAAGATGTATTCAGAGGACAGGTAAATATTAAGTGAGCACTGATCTTGGAGATTATATGTTTGCCCCAAAGAGGTATGAGGTATTTAGACATTACCAAGGACCAGTGGGAGAATGGTAATTGGTCCCTTAAGTAATAAAAAGGGGTGTTAATCTTTTATTTGAGGGGAAGGGATGCCATTTGCCCTACCCAACAGGCTTAGCCCTGTTCTTCCTCTTCTGCTCTCAGTTATGAAAGACTGAAGAGGCTAATCTGAGGACTTCCTGCACAGGGGCACTGGGTTCCAAGGCTGACTTTTGTAATTTTCTCCTAGTTCATTTATAAGCCAAACAGTTTAAGGTTTGGGGAAATTAAACTTTTCCCACTTTTAGGGGATGCATCCAAGGGGCGTGTCCTGTGGTATGAAGACATAACTACCCATCTGGGAAGAGAGAACAGAGGAGGAAGAAAGGAAAAAGAAAACAGAAGGCATCCCCCCTTTCTTCTGTTATCCTGAAGGGGGTGTTTCCCATCATCCTGGGTTCCGGACTTAACCAGTCTTTACCATCTACCCTTAGTAACCATCTCATCACAATTACCCACTTGAGAACAGTGGGCCCTTGTCCATCCCTGGGATTCTGGAATTAACTAGTCCTTACCAGAGACACAATGTTTAATTTTAAAGCAAGTTGCCTAATTAATGTATGGTACAATAATTATCAAAATGAAACAAAGTAAAGCTTGCTATTAATTATTCTTGAATACACATAAATATATGCATACACACATAGTAAAAATATTTCTAAAAATATAGTTAGATATTGTGTTGATATTCTTTAAATTACTGAAAGTTGAATTTGGACAAGATAAGAAAGAATAGCTTTTCTCCTCTGTTATGAAACTGAGAAATAAAAATAAAATTTTAAGAGCCCAACCTACTGAACAGACCACGTCTTAACCAAGGGGACCTAAGAGTTAACCTAGAAAACTGAGTTCTCGGCCATGACAGGATGGGAAGTCAGACACAGCTCGTTAATACCTGCTCTTTCACTGACCATCATTAAGCTTTCTTCTGTAAGAGCTAAACAGAAACCAGCCCTTTCAAAAGATTCCGCCATTGTGTCAACTGCTTGACTGCTCTCCCTTCTTTTAGCAGTTTCAACATAACAACTGATGAGCTTTTCTTCCTGATGAGAGACCACCAACCATGGAATGATTCTGGCCAGTCTATGACGAATGCCCAGTGAGGGTTTTTGTGTCTCTACTTCACCTTTGGATGTCAAAGAGCACAACACTCCACCCTGGGATCACGCTGATGCCGCCGTTTTTTGAACGTGGGTCCTACGGAGAGGCATGAAGCTCAATTGCATATATATTTGTTTCTCTTCATAAATATGCATTATTTTTTCTATAGCTCATTGAATATGTATATCTGGCCATCCCATTCAGCATAAATTCCTGTCTTATTCTTTGGACCCTTGAAGTGTCTATTCCTAGTTTCTGGCTGGGGAGCTATGCTTCCCAGCTTGTCAGAACGGCCACCCTGCAGGCTATAATCCTTTATGAAAAACAAAGCTCTCCTTTCCATATTTATGAACCTTATTCTTCAGTTGACAAAACATAGCATATATCAACAGAAATTTGAAAAAAACAGTCAATCTGTGGATTCACTGGATTTTGTATGCACACAATCACACCATCTGCCAATAAAAGTATTCTTATTTATTTCCAATACTTCTACTTTGATTTTCTTCCTAACTATTTGGCTGAGAACTGCAGTAAAATACTAAATTGGGGTAGAAACAACATCATTGCCACATCTCCAAGCTTCACATTAGGTATATCTCCAAATATGTATTACCAAATAGGGGCTTAAGGGGTTCCCTTTTATTTCTATTGTTCTCAGCTTCTTCCCTCAAAAATCCAAAGTCTCTCTGAATTTTTAAGTTTTTAAATGTTTTCATCTGTTGTGATGATGGTATTATTTTTCTTCCATAATCTGTTCATGTGATTATTTTAAAACATTGTGATTTTAGAAAAATCCAACTAGCTTATGACATACCCTTTTTATGTATTTCTAGATTAGAGGTGCCAGTAGTTTAAGATTTTGGTATCTATGTTCATGACTGATATTGGCTTCATTTATTCCTTTATTAAATGCTTGAAATTTAAAGTGACTCTGCCTGGCTCTGACATTATTTTCATGGAAACATTGTTAACTACTGATTCTGTACTTTAAACAATTAGAAGACAACCGTTTATCTTTAGATCAGTTTTGGGAAGTTGAAATTTTCTAAGAATATATCCATTTCATCTAAATCTTCAAATGTATTATCAAATCACTCCAACATCCTCTTAACTTTTTCATTCCTAGGGCATATGTAGCAGCGTACTGTTTGTAATGTTTCATATTTGGACTTTCTATGTCTGTTCTTGATTGTTTGCCAGATATTTGTTCTCTCAAACAACCAATGTCTGCAGGAAAGACCATAGTGACCTCAAGGCTCCTTGTGGGCATGACTTTCTGGGGCAGTGGGGGCTGCTGAGGGCCAGGGGGCCTGTCTGTTTAGGGTCCTGGGCCTCTCCCAGGTGGCTCAGGTGTCCCAGCTTCTGTCAGTCCTCTGAGCCCGAGCTAAGCCATCATATCCCCTGTGACCTGCAAGTATACCTCCAGATGGCCTGGAGCAACTGAAGATCCACAAAAGAAGTGAAAATAACCTTAACTGATGATATTCCACCCTTGTGATTTGTTTCTGCCCCACCCTAACTGATCAATGTACTTTGTAATCTCTCCCACCCTTAAGAAGGTTCTTTGTAATCTCCCCCATCCTTAAGAAGGTTCTTTGTAATTCTCCCCACCCTTGAGAATGTACTTGGTGAGATCCACCCCCTGCCCACAAAACATTGCTCCTAACTCCACCACCTATCCCAAAACCTATAAGAACTAATGATAATCCCACCACCCTTTGCTGACTCTCTTTTTGGACTCAGCCTGCCTGCACCCAGGTGAAATAAACAGCCTTGTTGCTCACACAAAGCCTGTTTGGTGGTCTCTTCACACGGATGTGCGTGACAGCTCCCGCCAGCAGGTGCCCACATCCCCTAGCCACTGAGGGCCTCTGTGAAAAGGCGTCTGCACGTTTCAGGGAGGCCCTGACACTGCACAAAGGATTCCTGAGGCCCTGGGACTCAGGCTAAGCAAGGACTTAGTTAAGAGCGAGTCATGTCGCAGGCTTGCGTGCAGCAAGATCCCAGTTTCCTCCACAAAGACAATCGCTCACAGGAAGGCCCAGAGGCCCCAAAAAGCCCCTTTTACTTGTGTCCTCCTCAGACTTCTAGTGCCTAAAAACCCAGGGAGGGGAAGCCTCAAGGTTGAGGTCCCGGATCCAACAAGGCATGTTCCAGTCCTGGTCACGTGGACACTAAAGCCTTAGGAGACAGAAATAGGGACTCAAGCTCAGGGGTCAAAATCAGGATTTAACCCTTGGAGGGCTGTCATGGCCTGAATTCTGCCCAATCCCCCATTCATACGATTCATATGTTGAAGTCCAAACCCCTAGTACCTTCAAATGTGAGGGTGTTTGGAGATAGGGCCTTCAAAGAGGTAATTAAGGTAAAATTGTAATAACCAGTTGGGTTTATCTTGCCTGCTGCCCAGAAAGCCAGATGCCCTGAGAACAACAGGTATTACAGCAAAGAAAGAGGTTAATCATCACAGGGCCAGCCAGGTGAGAACAAGGAGAAACTTCTCAAACCCATCTCCCTGATAATTCCGAGGCCAGGGCTTTTTAGGATATTTTGGCCGGCAGGGTGCTGAGAAACAATTGATGAAATCACAGGGGTGTGTAAAACTGTCTTTATGCAGCTGAGTTAGTTTCTGGGAGGGCGGTCTCACAGACCAGGAGGGGCTTTTGATCTGCTAAAGTGCCAAATCTGAAAAATATCTCACACACTCATTCTTTGAGTTTTACATTTGCAATGCTATTTATAGGGGTAGCTGGGGAAGTTATAAATTTTGTAACCCCTGGCTACGTGACTCCAGAGCACTCAACACTTATAGAAAAACAAGCTGATTGATGGCAGGTTATTGGTTAACTATGCCTATTTTTTAGAAAATTAGGCCGGGCGTGGTGGCTCACGCCTGTAATCCCAGCACTTTGGGAGGCTAAGGCAGGCGGATCACGAGGTCAGGATATTGAGACCATCCTGGCAAACATGGTGAAACCCTGTCTCTAATAAAAATACAAAAAAATTAGCCAGGCATGGTGGTGAGCACCTGTAGTCCCAGCTACTCAGGAGGCTGAGCCAGGAGAATGGCGTGAACCCAGGAGGCAGCAGAGCTTGCAGTGAGCGGAGATCACGCCACTGCACTCCAGCCTGGGCGACAGAGCAAGACTCCGTCTCAAAAAAAAAAGAAAAGAAAAGAAAAGAAAAGTTTAAGTCCCTGCCATAATTTTAACCTTGTCTTATGAATGTTGCTTTAACCTCCGAATTGGCGGGGGCAAGAAGTGGAAGGGCTCAGTTTTTCTTGCCTCATGTTTAATTATAAACTAAATATTTTTCATGGTTATCTATGAGAACTCTGTGTTAGAAAAAGGAAAAAAAAAAAGGATGGGGGGGGGGGCCTGTCAGGTTAGAAGCAAGTTGAAGTCTGTCATATTAGATTATTCTTATTATCATTCTGCAAAAGGCTGGGCACAGTGGCTCAGTCCTTTAATCCCTGTACCTTGGCCTGGCCAAAACCACTTTTAAACACTCAAACTATACAGCAAAAAATCATTAATAAAAATGTTGACCAGGCTGGGCATGGTGGTTCACACCTGTAATCCCAACACTTTGGGAGGCCGAAGCAGATGTATCATCTGAGGCCAGGAGTTCGAGACCAGCTTGGCCATCATGGTGAAACCCCGTCTCTACTGAAAATACAAAAATTAGCCTGGTGTGGTGGCACAAGTCTGTAATCCCAACTACTCGGAAGGCTGAGGCTGGAAAGTCGCTTGAACCTGGCAGATGGAGATTGCAGTGGGCAGAGACTGAGTCACTGCACTCCAGCCTGAGTCACAGAGCCATACTTCATCTCAAAAAAAAAAAAAAGAAAATGTTGGCCAGAAATAGTGGCTAATGCCTATAATCCCAGCACTTTCAGAGGCCAAGGCAGGGGGATCACTTTAGCCCTGGAGTTTGAGGCTCCAGTGACAGAGCCAGTCCCTGTCTCTAAAAAAAGAAAAATAATGCTATATTAGAAACTATTCATTTAATGCAAAAGAAAGCAGTAAATGTCAGGCCTCTGAGCCCAAGCTAAGCCATCATATCCCCTGTGACCTGCACGTATACATCCAGATGGCCAGAAGCAACTGAAGATCCACAAAACAAGTGAAAATAGCCTTAACTGATGACATTCCACCATTGTGATTCGTTTCTGTCCCACCCTAACTGATCAATGTACTTTGTAATCTCCCCCATCCTTAAGAAGGTTCTTTGTAATTCTCCCCACCCTTGAGAATGTACTTTGTGAGATCCACCCCCTGCCCACAAAACATTTCTCCTAATCCACCGCCTATCCCAAAACCTATAAGAACTAACGATAATCCCACCACCCTTTGCTCACTCTCTTTTCAGACTCAGCCCACCTGCACCCAGGTGAAATAAACAGCCTTGTTGCTCACACAAAGCCTGCTTGGTGGTCTCTTCACACGGATGCGCATGACAGTAATTATGATTTTGGGCACATCAACATCTGTATCATTCAGGGTTCCATCAGAGAAACAATCAGTAGTGTTCCGAGGTCAGCTATTAACTAGTGAACTATATATAATATATGTGTGTATGCCTGTGTGTGTTTATATTATAAATATATAGGTATCTATACACATACACACTTGTACATATATATATATAAAGACATATATATGCCTTAGTCCATTCAGGCTGCTATAACAAAATACCATAGACTGGCTAGCTTATCAACAACAGAAATTTATTTCTCATAGTTCTGGAGACTGGGAAGTACAATCAGGTTAGGTGTCTGGTGAGGACCCACTTCCTAGTAGACAGTCATTTTCTCACTCTAACCTCACGTGGCAGAAGGATCACAGGGATCTCCCTCTCTCCCTCCCTGTCTGCTCTCTTTGATAAAGACACTAATCCCCTTCATGAGGACTCCACCCTCATGACTTAGTCACTATCCAAAGGCCCCACCTCCTAATACCATTACCTTGGTGGTGAAGATTTCGACATATGAATTTTGAGGCTACATAAACATTCAGGCCACAGCAATACAAAACTCACTTCTATAATTGTAGGGTCTGGGTAGGCAGGAATAAATTCTGTAGGGTAGGCCCTTCAGAAAAGCAGGTGGAAACTCCTAAAACAGCAGATGAAGCAGCTGAGCACTTACGGAATTTTTTTAAATTTTTACATAAATAAGGTCTTCCTGCGTTTCCCAGGCTGAAATTTAACTCCTGGGCTCAAGCGATCCTGCTGCCTCAGCCTCCCAAAGTGCTGGGATTCCAGGCTTGAGTCACCACCCCCAGCTAGATGTGATTTCCACCACCCCCACCCTCCCAAGATGTGATTTCCACCACCCCCACCCTCCAGGGCAACCTCAGCTTTGCTCTTTAACTGATTGACCTTTAACTGATAGAAAATAACCCACCCAGATTATCCAGGATAATCTCATTTACTGAAAGCCAACTGATTATATAACCCAATCACGTCTGCAAAATACCTTCATCGCAATGCTTAGATTCGTGTTTTATTGAAAAAATAGGGAGCGTAGAGCAGCCAAGTTGACACACAGATAGCACCATCGCAATGCTGAAAAGACATGAGTTTCAGAAGAGCCGAGGAAAACAAAAAATGCAAAGTAAGGTAAGGACATTCTTATAATGTAGAAACTAATATGGCCAAACTGAAATAATTAAACAAGAGTCATATTTAGAAAGGTATTATGAAGAAGACAAAATCACCACGTAGAATCTGTACTTCCACTTAATCTAATTACTTCAAGTTTCTTTCTACAGGTGTTAAATATTTAATGAGGGGATTAAATTGAAAGCTATTTAAGAAAGGGGCGGGTCACCTTGACCCTATATAAAGCCTGTGTCTTTGAGA
The DNA here is from genome assembly GCF_000001405.40 of Homo sapiens. NCBI lineage: Eukaryota > Metazoa > Chordata > Mammalia > Primates > Hominidae > Homo > Homo sapiens. The sequence continues at coordinate 75,701,468 of NC_000016.10, read as the reverse complement.
GCTGCTCAGTTACTCGCTGATCTCCGTGGAGTCCAGGTCTTCTGCCCAAGATGAATTTGGAGGGCACTTCAGGTGGTAAGTTCCCATCAGCCTTTTCTCTGTTCTTTGGGATTGCTGCATGTCTTGCTTATTTTTCAGAGTTTGTCAAAGTTTATAGCACAAACATGATTAGAGGTACAGACTGGTAGAGCAGCAGCTGTTTTTCGCTGATAAATTGTGTCAGAACAGCCATGGGTGCTTTGAAGTTGGACTCTTGAATTTGAAATGTAAGATGGCAGCCATGAGTCCCATACAAGGGTCATCTACCTAAAGTTTTAAAGTTGACAGTTTATGTGGAGGGGAGAATGTATGAACTGTCTAATGCAGCCTACTGAATTTTACTGAGATATATTCTTTGTCATTAGAAGTACCAGTTCCTGTGTGTCTTATTTCACCTGTTCAATTGTTCCATGAGTTTCACTTTTTTCATTGATTTTTGTTAATTTTCCTCCTCCCTACTGCTTCCTCTTTTGGTAATTTTGTACATTTTCCGTAAGTTCTCTCTTTGGAAACTTAGGTCATTGATTATCGTTTTCTAATATATATATTTAAATGTTTATATACCCAATTTAGCATGACTTTAGCTCTATGCCTAAAGTAAAAATACAGAGTAATAATTAACAGTACGGGTGCGGTGGCTCACTCCTGTAATCCCAGCACTTTGGGAGGCCGAGGTGGGCAGATCACGAGGTCAGGAGATCGAGACCATCCTGGCTAACACGGTGAAACCCTGTCTCTACTAAAAAATACAAAAAATTAGCCAGGTGTGGTGGCACCCCAGCTACTTAGGAGGCTGACCGGGGAGAATGGCGTGAACCCGGGAGGCAGAGCTTGCAGTGAGCTGACATGGTACCACTGCACTCCAGCCTAGGCAACAGATCGAGACTCCATCTCAAAAAATAGTAACAATAATAATAATAATAATAATTAACAAAATGGGGAGGCCAGGACAGGAGGATCAATTGAACCCAGGAGTTCGAGGCCAGCCTGGGCAAGATAATGAGACCTCATCTCTACAAAGAAAAAAAAATAGCCAGGCACAGTGGTGCATACCTGTAGTCCCAGCTATTCCGGAGGCTGAGGCTTAAGAATCGCTTGAACCCAGGAGCGGAGGTCGCATTGACCCGAAACTGCATCACTGCACTCCAATCTGGGCGACAGAGTGAGACTCTGTCTCAAAATAAATTAATTTAATCAAAGTACAGATTTAAACCCATAAATATATTATTCACACTATTCTCCCCCTTTTCTGTTCATCAGGCATACTTCAAAAAGAATTCTGGAGAAACAGAATTCAGTATAACCAGAGTCAAAAGGATATCCTCCAATCATGGTTTCAACATGACCCTTTCCCTGATAAAGCTGCCAGAGAACAACTGGCCAAAGAAATTGGGGTTCCAGAATCTAATATTCAGGTAGGCATTAGATTTCTACTTCATTACCTGTCAGAACCATGGTAAAGAGAAAGACTAGGCCCAGCGCTTTTGCCAATTCTCTTATATCAGGTTATATCAGGTATTTTGCTAAGAAACGTTTTCCTGTTCTACAAAATTAGAAAACAAATAAAAAGGCTGGGCGCGGTGGCTCACGCCTGTAATCCCAGCACTTTGGGAGGCCAAGGCAGGCGGATGACGAGGTCAGGAGATGGAGACCATCCTGGCTAACATGGTGAAACCCTCTCTCTACTAAAAATACAAAAAAAAATTAGCCGGGCGTGGTGGCAGTCGCCTGTAGTCCCAGCTACTCTGGAGGCTGAGGCAGGAGAATGGCGTGAACCCGGGAGGGGAGCTTGCAGTGAGCAGAGATCACACCACTGCATTCCAGGATGGAAGACAAAGCGAGACTCCGTCTCAAAAAAAAAAAAAAGAAAAGAAAAGAAAACAAATAAAAACAAGGATGCGGTTTATGTATTTTACCAAAGGTGGAAATATCATTTGTATTCACTAATGGGGAAGGAGAATATACTGGCTCAGTCTCTCCCAATAGGTAATTAAGTCATATTTTGAGATTTAGAGAATATAGGAAATGAAATCACCATGATAATTATGTCCTATATTTTAGTATTAGAATATTCAGATCGATTATTAATATGTAATTACAAGGAAACTGGGGTAAGAATGCATGTGCATTCCGAAGTCTCAGGCTATTTCTTAATTTAATGTCTCAAATGTGATTCATACACATAGCGTTTGAAATAAAATTCCATACTGAATTATTTTAAATAGAATAACTGACATAAAATGAAACTTAAGTTAAATCTCTCCAGTTATCAGAAAGATACCTGGACTGGGTAGGGTGACCCACACCTGTAATCCCAACATTTTCAGAGGCTGAGAGTGGAAGATCACTTGAGGCCAGGAGTTCAAGATCAGCCTGGACAACACAGTAAAACCCCATCTCTCCAAAAACATGTATTTTAATTTGCTGGGTTTGTTGTTCCACACCTGCAGTCCCAGCTACTCAGGGGCTTAGGTGGAAGGATCATTTGAGCCCAGGAGGTCAAGGCTGCAGTAAGCCGTGATTGCACCACTGCACTTCAGCCTGGCAGACAGAGCGAGACCATGTCTACCAAAAAAAAGAAGTTATCTGTGATTCCTTCTCATGGTGGTGTGCACCTGTACTCCCAGCTACTTAGGAGGTTGAGGCAGGAGAATCGTTTGAGCCCAGGCATTCTGTGCTATACTGTGCCTGTGTTGTGTGGATTGAGTGCCTGCAGTAAGTTTGGCATCAATACGGTGACATCCCAAGAGCTGGGGACCGCCAGGGTGCCTAAGGAGGAGTGAGCCAGCTCAGGTCAGAAACAAAGCAGATCAAAACTCTCATGCTGACCAGTAGTGGGATCATGCCTGTGAATAGCCACTGCACTCCAACCTGGACAACATAGCAAGACTTTGTCTCAAATAAAGAAAGAAAAAGAGATACCTGTAAAGAATATAATTCTATCAGAGAAAATAGTAATTAAACCAATGAAGACCAAGTGAAAATGTGTTTTTAGAGGAAAATAATGAGTTCTGGGTTTTGCATCATATGTATAGTCTCCAACAAGCCATTGGCTATAAGGATCTCAGTCTGAGAGGATATAGGAGAGAAGAAATTTTACTTGTCTCTTCATGTATCTATACTGGATGTGAGAGGCAAGGATTACTCAAGTCCCAGTAACAAAAGTACATTCTATGGGAATACTGGTAATTGGCTTTGAGAGAGGTACCAGTCCCACTTGGAATCATGGTGAAAATGACAAGTTCAGGAAATGACGTAGCTGGAGGTTACCTCTGCCATAGTGTTTATACTTTTTTCACTTGTTTCCAGTTTCCATCTGTACTTAAGATTTCTTAACTAAAACTATTCTGATTCATTAATTTAGAGAAGAGATATAACCTTTTAGCATAGCGGTCTCCAATTTTTTTGGTACCAGAGACCAGTTTTGTGGAAGACAATATTTCCACAGACAAGAGGGGGTGGGTAATGGTTTTGGGATGAAACTATTCCACCACCGGTCATCAGGCATTAGCTATTAGTTAGATTCTCATAAAGAGCTCACAACCTGGATCCCTCAACTGCACAGTTCACAGTAGGGTTTGTGCTCCTATGACAATCTAACACAGCAGCTGATCTGACAGGAGGCGAAGCTTAGGCAGGTAATGCTCACTGGCCCTCCACTCACCTCCTGCTGTGCAGCCCAGTTCCTAACAGGCCATGGACTGCCTGTGGCCCGGGGGTTGAGGACGCCAGCTTTAGCACAATGCCTATGATATAAGAGTGGTTTATTGGATATTCGTTGTCATTAAGATGCTAAATGTTCTTAAGAATGATCTAATTATCAAAATAATAACACTTAGAAATCATTAGAAAATATATTGCAATTCTGACTCTAGTAATGAGGAAACAAGCAAAGAGTTCAATTGGTTTTGTTAGGGACAACGGTGACAAAATGAGGTGTGTGGCTTGCTAGGAGTCTCCTCATCTATTGTTAACCCCGGGACAAAAATGACTAAGAGGAAATACTGATAAGTGTTAGTCCAACTCTTTACTGTGGCTAATTCTGCTCTCCTATTTAAAGAAATTTTTGTGCAATTAATTCCATATGTATTGCATGTTATGAAACCTGATATTTCCTATGAAGAAGTGTTGAGGATCAAGAAAAGATATTCAGAAACCGAAGTCCTGCTAGGAGGGAGGGAAAGAGAGAGACAGAGAGCGATCCTTTGAGAGACCTCATAGGGTCTCCTAAATCAAACAAATTTACTCTGGATGCCACAAAAAATGACCATGAAAGAAAAGCTCCTTTGATTTGAAGGGAGATGCGTGTGTGGTCCTGAATCATATGCCAATAGCAGCATCATTCCTAGGATAATGGATTGCCTTTCTCTTGTGGGCATTATTCCAGCCACAGGCAGTCAAATCAGTTTTGTTCAATTGAATTGATATTTGGCAATATTGACATACACTGAGTTGTATGACTATCACATCTTCTTCTCCTACTTAGGTTTGGTTTAAAAATTACAGAGTAAAACAGAGAAAACTGGATTATAAGTGCTTCTCAGAAAAAGATCAAACCCAGGGGCATGACCAGTCCCAGCATCTGACTCAAGGTAAGAATGCTCAATGGGTCCCATTGAGAGTACGTTGTGCCCAAATTCTGCATCAACATCTCTTAGCTCAGAAGCCAGGGATAGCTGGTTCTGGCATCCTGGTGACCAGAGATAGAAACATTATCCTACATTTTTTTTAGGTGAAAGTAAGTTTGTTATAGAAGTAAATAAACAAAAGAATGGCTACTCCATAGGCAGAGCGGCCTCCCACAATTGAATGAGACAGTCAGGTTCTTAACAAGCAAGCTCGGGGCTTTTTATTTTTTTATTTTTTATTTTTGTATTTTGTTTTGAGATGGAGTCTCACTCTGTTGCCTGAAGTGCAGTGGTCTGATCTCAGCTCACTGCAACCTCTGCCTCCTGATTCAAGTGATTCTTCTGCCTCAGCCTCCCAAGTAGCTGGAACTACAGAGGTGCACAACCACGCCCAGCTAATTTTTTGTATTTTTAGTAGAAACGGGGTTTCACCAGTTGGCCAGGCTGGCCTCGAACTCCCAACCTCAAGTGATCCACTTACCTTGGCCTCCCGAAGTGCTGGGACTACAGGCGTAAGCCACTGGGCCCAGCCTAGCTCTGGGCTTTTTGGTCCTGCTGCAGAGCAATGACCTCTTCTGCCACCTCGGGGATTCAGAGAGAACAAATATGGCCAGCATTATCTTCATGGGTTTGTTTTTCTGGTTTGAATATGAAAATTCCCCAACAGCTTCTGTGTTCTCCTTTAGAATACTTACCTAAAGAAGCCCGACAAAAACAGACATTCATCACATGGACTCAAAAAAACAGGCTAGTGCAAGCCTTTGAGAGGAACCCATTCCCTGATATTGCTACCAGAAAAAAACTGGCTGAACAAACAGGCCTGCAGGAATCAAGAATTCAAGTAAGTTCTATGTGTGTGATCCCAACTATGTCCTGCCTGTGATACTGCCCCCTGGAGGTGTTATTGAAAAACTTACAGCTGACTTGGGTTATCAAAGTCATCAAGGGCGGAAACGGGGGATGGTAAACGCCTGGCACTGAAAGTCCCGTTTTTGTCAAGGAAGAATTTTCAAATCAAATTGCTGTGCACGGATTTGGAATCACTAGCAGAAACTACCCATTTTGAGAACATTGTTAGATTTTCTACAACCTTGGGAGTGTTGTCATTTTGGCTCAGATAATTCTTTCTTGTGAGGGGCCACCCTGTGCATGGTAGGATATTGGTCAGCATTCCTGGCCTCTACCATCTAGATACCAGTAAAGCAACTGCCCACATTCTCTCCCCCCTATTTGTGACAACCAAATAAATCACAGACATAGTCAAATGTTCTCCCACTGAGGGACAAAATTGGCCCCCAAGGAGTATTTTCTTTTACCTAAGTTATGGGGATAGTGATTTAGCGTATGTTAAGTGCTCATGACTGAGGAGGCACAGCCATGCATGGGCTTATGACACAAACTCTCAAATACATTTATTTGTGTTTGTTAGTCATTAATCAGATGAATACACATGTACACAAACTACGAATTCTTATGCACACATCCGTGAAGAGGAAAAAAATGTCAGCCTGGTCAAGAGATCTTTTTTGCTGATCCATTGTTGCAGTTAGAGGGAGAATTCGAGAACACGTTCCTTTCCAGTCAGAGATTCAACTCACCTATACTTAATTGCTAACTGTGTTATAACCTCAATGTATGTATTTGTGTGTTTATGTATATATACAAACATACACATTACACACACATATATACACACATGAACACATGGACTGGAGTTAATTTCACATACAAAATGTATAAGATTTCTTTTTCTCAAACTCACATAAAAAAGAAAAACAAAAGTAATAAAATAAATAATAACAAACATATGTACATACATGATTTCATATACAGTCATCCCTCAGTATCCATGAGGGATTGGTTCCAGGACCTTCTCCTGAATACCAAACTCCAAGGATGCTCAAGTTCCTGATATAAAATGATGTAGCATTTGAATATAACCTGTGCACATCTCATGTATTTTAAAACCTCTCTAAATTAATTGTACTACCTAATACAATGTAAATGCTATGTGAATAGTTGTTAAACTGTATTTTTCTTTGTATTATTTTTATTGTTGCATTGTTTTTTTATTGGGTTTTCTTCTAAATATTTTCAATCCATGGTTGTTTGAATCAGGGTATACAGATGGAACCCATGGATTCAGAGAGCCAACTCTATAAAATCACCCTGTGATTTGTCCTTAGGTTAATAGCTCCTTTGTTTTATAGAGTATCTGATGCAGAGTTACAATTGCTTATGTCTTATGATGTCATGTTGCCCTTTTTCTCATTTAGATGTGGTTTCAGAAACAAAGATCTCTGTACCTCAAGAAGAGCAGAATGGAGCCCATGAATTTATTGGTAGACGACCCAAATGAGAGACCAGATGCAACTGTTGGGTGGCATCCAATCAACCTGTTCCTCCCCACAGACAGCTCTCATTATTTTTCTTGCTCACATTCTTCCAGCGGGCATGAAACTCTTCCACCTGTTCTTCCTTCAACCCAGGCTCCTTGGGATCCCTTCAGGTTCCATGTGAGCCAAGGACCAAATGTCATGATCATGCAGCCCACACAGGCTGTGCAGGAAGGAGAGAAGTCTGATCAGCCTCTGATAATTCCGAATCACCTCCTGACACTGCCAATTCTGACAAAGGACTTAGATACTCCGACTCCCTTCTGGCTCCAATACCAAGAAGAACACCAAAATCACAAAGAACACTCTGGCTCGGGAGTACCACAGGTCAAGAGCCATTCTCAGCCTGAACCTGAGCACAGGGAGCAACAACCTCTAAATCTGGGTCAGTTTGACATATCGAACATTTTGCAAAGGTGGGACGAGATCTGCCAGGCTCTGCTTGCTGAATGGGACCCTCTCAAAGGGACACACTGAGACAGACTTGTGGCAGCAGTAGGCACACTCAGCTGAGAAACATGTCATCCACTTGGCTAATTGTCCCAGCAATATGTGGAAACCTCAAGCCTTTAGGTCAACTCCTGTAATGCAGAGTTCTCCAGTAAAAGGTACAACTTGGCCGGGCGCAGTGGCTCACGCCTATAATCCCAGCACTTTGGGAGGCCAAGGCGGGCAGATCACGAGGTCAGGAGTTTGAGACCAGCCTGGCCAACATGGTGAAACCCTGCCTCTACTAAAAATACAAAAATTGGCTGGGCGTGGTGGCGCGCGCCTGTAGTCCCAGCTACCCAGGAGGCTAAGGCACGAGAATCGCTTGAACCTGGGAGGCGGAGGTAGCAGTGAGCCGAGATCACGCCACTGCACTCCACCCTGGTGACAGAGTGAGACTCCGTCTCAAAAAAATAAATAAATAAATAAGTACAACTTGGCAATTTCTGACATATAGAAATTGGAAGTGAGGTATGGATGGCTGGATTGGTTACAGCTTGGTGTATGCCTTATTTGAACAGAGTTTGAACACTCAGCAGTGTATGAGTGGTTGAAGTATGGCCACTGGAATTGTCCAAGACTTAGCTACTGTTACATATACATACTACTAAGTTAGGTTTTCAATTTTGTCTATTAAGCTAGGTTACAGTTCATCCACAAGTACTCAAATATAGAAGTACAGAGTCCTTCTCAGGCCACATTTACTTTGCTTTCACATGGGTTAGCATCCGAGATAGAGTGATTTTAGCCTCCACAGGATGTATGTGGGGTTTACTTTGGTACAATAAAAATATCTTTGAAAAATATTCTTTTTTTTTTTTTGAGACGGAGTCTCGCTCTATCGCCCAGGCTGGAGTGCGATGGTGCAATCTCGGCTCACTGCAACCTCTGCCTCCCGGATTCAAGCGATTCTCCTGCCTCAGCCTCCTGAGTTACTGGGATTATAGGCGTGTGCCACCATGCCTGGCTAATTTTTGTATTTTTAGTAGAGACGGGGTTTCACCATGTTGGTCAGGCTGGTCTCAAACTCCTGACCTCATGATCCGCCCATCTCAGCCTCCCAAAGTGCTGGGATTACAGGTGTAAGCCACCATGCCCAGCCTTGAAAAATATTACTTGTTTATCTTATCCTTTTGAATTCTGTTCCATTATACAATACTTTCAATTCCATATAAAGGTGTGGAAACAAGGTCAGTACATACAGATCTAGTTTTACAAAGATACCAGTTTGCACTACTACAAACAGTTATGCAGTGAACATCCCTACCAGTGTCTGTGTCCATTATGTGAAGGGGTTCTCTAGGGTTTACATGCTGAAGCACAAGTGCCAGAATATTTTGACATTAGTATTTATTGCTAAATTGGCCTCAGCTGAATTTGTTGCTCCTAATTTGAGCTGCACCTTCATTAATCTAGGGAATCAAAACACATGCACATTCACACACATTAGTGGAGCAAGCCTACCTGAAAAGATTCTGATAGAATTATTTAACAGTGTTAATACCAAAGCAGTGTCATCATCTGGGGTAACACCTGAGGTTCACTGTCCCACGGCCACGGAAAACTAGGATACAGACACACAAGAATGAGGTTAAGAATGAGGCCAAAGAAAGAGAAGAGCTCTCTGTGCAGAGAGGGGTCCTGGAGAAAATGGTTTGCCACTTCCACAGAGAAATGCAGAAGGTTTTATAGATGAGCTTGAGGGGGTGGTGTCTGATTTACATAGGGCACCAAAGATTGGTCAGACCAGATGTGCCATTTGCATAGCACGCAAAGAAGCTGGCTACCCCATCCAAATCTTATTATGCAGATGTGTTCTCTACCTGGCCGCCACCATGTTGCCTGCTTTTTTACTGTACACGTAGTGACAAAGAAAAAAGAAAAGAAAGCCTCCATGTTGAACCTAGCTGGCTTCCAGGTAGCCCTTTTCTATTAGCACACCTGCTGGCATTTATTCATGCGAGCTTCCAGCTTGCTTATCTATGTCTACAGTTCCATTTGACAGGCTGTTTTTTGTTAGTAAAGATTTGGGGCTGCTTTTGTTAAAAGGGAAGTCTTGTTGGGGATCCTTTTACCCTCCCTATCTGCCTAAATAATTTCTCTCTACCTCCTGTATCAATACCATGCCTAGCTTTATTTTTAAATTGCTCCCCTGGATAATTCTTGTTTGCAGGCAAAGATTAGAGCTCTTAGTATAAACAGTCACTCCTCCCTACTTCCAACACATATGTGGAAGGAGTACCCCAGGTTACAAAAACAAGTTTTATATTTTTTTTTTCTGTTTTGTTTGTCAGTGTGTTTTTTGGTTTTTGGTTTTGTTTTTGAGACAGGATCTCACTCTGTTACCCAGGCTGGAGTGGAGTGGCACCATCTTGGCTGACTGCAGCCTCAACCTCCTGGGCTCAAGCAATTCTCCCATCTCAGCCTCAACCTCCCAGGCTCAAGTGATCATCCCACCCCAGTCTCCTGAGTAGCTGGGACTACTGGCACATGTGCCATCACACTGAGCTAATTTTTGTATTTTTGGTAGAAACAGGTTTTCGCCATGCTGCCCAGGCCGGTCTCGAACTCCTGAGCTCAAGGAATCAACCCACCTCAGCCTCCCAAAATGCTGGGATTACAGGTGTGAGCCACCACACCTGGCTGAAGACAGGTCTTCTGAAATACCTTAGTCAGATGAAAAGCAAAGAATAAAAGAATAAAAAAGAATGAAGAAAGCCTATATGACATATGGGATATCATTAAGTGAACAAATATAGAAATTTGGGGAGTTTCAGAAGGAGAAGAGATGGGAAAAGGCATAGAAAAGCCTTTTTGTTAGAAAAGAAATGATTTGGGGGCTGCTTTTTGTTAGAAGGGAAGCCTTGCTGAAGACTCTTTTTACCTGCATTATCTGCCTCCAAAACTAGCCAGGACCAGTCTATGTTCATGTTACCAAAATACCAGGGCTTCAGTCTAGGTCCTGCTGCTGGCCACATGGAAAGCCAATCACGAAACAATAATTATTGCCAAAGAAGAAGGCTTTAATCGGGCACTACAGCTGAGGAGACAGGAGATCAGTCTCAAATCCATCACTCTTACTGATTAAATTAGGGAGTTACATAGCAGGGAAGAAACGTAACTACGCATGGGACAACAGGAACTTGGAAAGGGTAAGGAATCATTCATGATGAATGAAGGGCCTGGCATTCAATCGTTTGGATGTGACTATCTGGTGACTCTCAGTTCTTTGATACTTTTTGAGAGGCCTGGGGGCTTCTTTCCTGCGGAAGGAACTCAGATAAAATAAATGTTAAGTTTCATCCTTTAAGACCAGAAGGGTTGATTTCTATGTTTATTCAAAAAAAACTGTCTATAAGACTATTGGGTCAATTTCAGTCCAGTCCGCTTTTTCTATTTATTGATTCCTCAATCATGAGGAACCTGATCGCCAGCCTTACTGGCTCCTTCATGCTGAGGAAGAACGTTGTCGGCAGCTCCATGCTATGGGCGACCACGTGGCCACCCAGGAATCAAAGGTTAATCTAATACTGTAGTTTTCTTCAGAAACACAGTCTTTCTCTCTTCAGTCCCCAATTTCCGCCAAAGACAAATCACAGCAGAACCAACCTACCTGCAAAATAAGCTTCAGTCCCATATACTTGGCCTGATTACCCACACAAAGTGCAGCAAGAATCATTGTCCACATAGCCTCTCCTAAAATGGCCTTGCTAGAGCCTCCCACAAAGGCATTTCGGTCAAAGCCCTGGGAAAATAACCAGTTCCTCAAACTGTGTCCCATTACAAAAGAAAACGATTCTTTTTTTTTTTTTTTTTGAGACGGAGTCTCGCTCTGTCGCCCAGGCTGGAGTGCAGTGGCGCGATCTCGGCTCACTGCAAGCTCCGCCTCCCGGGTTCACGCCATTCTCCTGCCTCAGCCTCCCGAGTAGCTGGGACTACAGGCGCCCGCTACCACGCCCGGCTAATTTTTTGTATTTTTAGTAGAGACGGGGTTTCACCGTGTTAGCCAGGATAGTCTCGATCTCCTGACCTCGTGATCCGCCCGCCTCGGCCTCCCAAAGTGCTGGGATTACAGGCGTGAGCCACCGCGCCCGGCCTTTTTTTTTTTTTTTTTTTTTTTTTTTGAGACAGAGTTTTGCTCTGTCTCCCAGGCTAGAGTGCAGTGGCACGATCTCAGCTCACTTCAAGCTCTGCCTCCCAGGTTCACGCCATTCTCCTGCCTCAGCCTCCCGAGTAGCTAGGACTACAGGCGCCCGCCACCATGCCCAGCTAATTTTTTGTATTTTTAGTAGAGACGGGGTTTCACCATGTTAGCCAGGATGGTCTCAATCTCCTGACCTCGTGATCCACCCACCTCAGGCTCCCAAAGTGCTGGGATTACGGCGTGAGCCACTACACCCGGACAGAAAACAGATTCTTATTGCACTTATGCAAACATGTTGCCAGGAATGAAGAACATTCACAACTAATTTACAAATTCTTGAGCAATTAGGCAGAGAGAGAAATAAGCCTCAAATTCTGTTTACAAGAGTATACTCTACTCAATTGTTAAAGGGTATAAATAGCTCAAAAAAAAAAGCTCTCCAGACTCTGAAGAATCAGCAATGTTTGTAATAAACAACATCAACAAAAAGCAATACAAATTTATTTCAGTCCTCCATTAGTCCAATCCATGCAATCAACTCCCTGCTGTGCTTCAAAATAGGTCAGCAATATTTATGAACATGTCAGCCTTTCCATTCATGCCCTGGAAATTTTCTCTCTCATCCAATGGCACAATCTCCAAAGTTATCAGAAATCTGCATTTAAGAGTCCTTTTTGGCTGGGAACGGTGGCTCACACCTATAATCTCAGCACTTTGGGAAGCCGAGGTGGGCAGATCACTTGAGGTCAGGAGTTCCAGACTAGCCCAGCCAACATGGCAAACCCTGTTTCTAACAAAAATATAAAAATTAGTCAGTCATGGTGACACACACCTGTAATCCCAGCCACTCATGTGGCTGTGGCAAGAGAATCATCTGAACCTAGGAGACAGAGGTTGCAGTGAGCCAAGCTTGTGCCACTGCATTCCAACCTGGGTAACAAAGAGAAAATCTGTCTCAAAAAAAAAAAAAAAAAAAAAAAAAAGATTTTTTTTTTTATGAACTCTCCCAAAGACCCGTGTCTCATGAAAACAATTCATTTTGATTGTCATCTTCTACTGAGTCTGAAGATAAGACTTCAACTGGTGTTAATGCTTAAGATTTAGCAGGGGGTGGTGGCTTTTTCAGACTCAGGAGTCAAAGAAGCAAGCCCTGGACTGTAGTTATAAGTCATTTTTTGGAGAAGAATCAAAGCAAAAGAAAACAATAATAGGTGACAAAATCTTAAGACAGCCATAGTTAAAGACACAGTCAACAAGGAAATTTGCTTATTTCTGTGGCATACAACAATTATAATAATCATAATTACTACTGACAATATATATTAAGACATACGAGAATTTTAAAAATCTCATAGAGTATTTTATTAACATTAACAACACATCTATATAAATACGACCCAAAGGAAGCTAAACACCACCTCAGATTTGACAATGCTTCCTACATAGCTCTAACATAACAAATAAGTCTAATAAGCCTAATATGTCTCTCTTGGACTTCAGGAAACTAATTTTAATTAAATTAAAATTGAATTAATTTTGTGATTAATTTTAACTATTAAAATTTTAATCAGTTCCACCATAAGGAAAGATTTCCATCAATGTTTTATAACCTTTTTTTTTTTTTATTAAAGAGTAGATCTATGTTCCAAGAAAACTCTGCTTTTCCAATACAAGGGATCAGATGCTGGCCATGCATCAGTGTGCTTTTGATATTAATGTCTGATTTATAGAGAAACTCCAGGCTCAGTGTGGTGGCTCACACCTGTAATCCCAGCACCCTGGGAGGCCAAGGCAGGTATGGTGGTGTGCATCTGTGGTCTCAGCTATTCAGGATGTGGAGGTGAGAAGATTGCTTGAGCCTGGGAGGCAGAGGTTGTGGTAAGCCGTGATGGCGCCACTGCACTGGGTGACAGAGGGAGACCTTGTCTCAAACAAACAAAAAGAAAAACTGAACTAATCTTCTCCCTCAAAATCAGCCCTTACAGTCTCAGGCAACCACCTCTACTTTGATAGTCCCTGGGCCTAGAGGGATTGAGTGGTTTTTATTCCTGGACCCATGTCTCATGAAAACAGTTCATTTTGATTGTCATCTTCTACTGAGTCTGAAGATGAGACTTCAACTGGTCTTAATGCTTAAGATTTAGCAGAGGGTGGTGGCTTTTTCAGACTCAGGAGTCAAAGCCCTGAAACTTAACAGAACTAGCATTAGGTAATGGGATATTTATACCACAGAAAGTACTGTCATTCTCTCTAACATGTCACAAATGAAAACACTGTGATTTGGTGTCCAAGAGTTACTGTCTGCAGCACTTCAAGACATTTTATTAATGTAACCAAGTTATTCATTGCATATATCTAATTGCTAGCATTCTAGTGACAACTGTCACCAAAAGCTTCAAAAAGTGATAGATCCTATGTCAAACTTATCAAAGTAAGATAACGAACTTTTCTCTCCATCATTAAAAAATGGCAAACACAAATATCAGTTTTGGAAATTCAATATGAGGCTAAATAATCTCCCTTCACTTAATATTATAGGACAAAACAAGGACAAAGTAAAAGCAGGCACAGAATAATTTCTTTTCAGCTATTTTGAAAAAACGTCATCACACATTTCTAAGATTGGTTTCTAGATAACATACTGACAACCGATTGGGTAACTTTTCATTACTAAAATCTTCAAACCAGTGCAAGATTTGTATATATTTTGTTTTAAAGTACATACATGAAGGCTCATCAGTGATAGATAAATGGCCTAGGATTAAAAATAACTAGAAAATGGCTGGAGGTGGTGGCTCACATCTGTAATCCCAGCACTTTGGGAGGCTGAGGTGGGCGGATCACTTGAAGTTAGAAGTTTGAGACCAGCCCGGCCAACATGGTGCAACCCCGTCTCTGCTAAAAACACAAAAATTAGCCAGGTGTGGTGGCAAGTGCCTGTGATTCCAGCTACTTGGGAGGCCAGTGCATGAGAATTGCTCAAACCCAGGAGGCAGAGGTTGCAATGAGCCAAGATTGAGACACTGCACTCCATCCTGGGCAACAGAATGAGACTCTGTCTCAATAAAAAAAATCACTAGAAAGCCTCACATTTTAAAATTACTACTTAATCCAAATGAATGTCACTTAAGTTTAATAATGGTCAACACAACTAAATTAGTTTGAAAGAAATCCCAATCCATGTAATTTCCTTATGGAAAGGCCAATTGTTTCTGAACATTAAAAATGTGTGCCCATAACACAGTGTTTTCTCATTACCTGAAGGAAAAGATCTGAAACCAATTCAAATTATTGATTGAATTGAATTACCTTGGAAATAAACACTATTTAAACATTTTTATTCTCATCTACCTTTTCAAACAAGAAATGTACTATTTCTGCTCAGAACTTTTAAAATAAGTCTTTTAATTATTTTGGCCAGAAACCTTAAATCTTTTATAGCTCTCTAGATTACTAGAGGTAAGCAAAACGAATCAAATTTTAAATAGTCAGTGCCCTTTATCAATTTTTACAGGCTTGACAAAGGTAGCTTAAGAACTTTAGATAAATAGAGCAAACAATGAATTATTAGAAACTCATAGAAAACATGATGACTATTCATAGGACCAAATAAAAGCCTTTCTTGGGAAACCTAAAACACATCAATTGTTTTTATATGTATATATAAGTAAAACCCAAAAGAGAAAAGCAAATAAATGAAAATTAGAAGCAAAAATAAATAAACAGGAAACCAATCCCCAATTTTTCTCCTACTCAGTTTACCTTAGAGGTTAAAGTGTTACCAGAACCTAAAAATATATATATATGGATATTTTGTTCCTGATACACAATTTGATGTTTTTAAGTTCACCATTAACAGTACACATTTTGTGCAATTAAGAAATTCACTTTAGGTACATGACCAACAAGCACTTTACTGATAGTACTATCTATACAGAATTGCAAATATAGCGTGAAGCACTGCAAGCATGTGTGAAATTTGGCTGCAAGCTAAATCTGGCTTCATGCTTAACTATATTAAAAAATAATTGCCAGCCGGGCGCAGTGGCTCATGCCTGTAATCCCACCACTTTGGGAGGCCGAGGCAGGTGGATTACGACGTCAGGAGTTCAAGACCAGCCTGACCAATACGGTGAAACCCCATCTCTACTAAAAATACAAAAATTAGCTGGGCATGGTGGCATGTGCCTGTAGTCCCAGCTACTCAGGAGGCTGAGGCAGGAGAATCATTTGAACCCGGGAGGAGGAGGTTGCAGTGAGCCAAGATCATGCCACTGCACTCCAGGTTGGGTGACAGAACAAGACTCCATCTCAAAAAAATGAAAATAAAAAATAATAATAATAATTGCCAAACTGCCAATGTGTTTCTTTATAACATTTCTTCTTTTACTTTCGTCAACACTAAGACCTTTAACTCTGAGCAATGTTAATTAGCCAACCTTCTCCAATTTTCTATCAGGTTTTAAAGAATATTTTATTATCTAAACTTTTTCATCTTTCCATTTTCTTTTTATGTGCATGAAGATAGATACAGAGAAACAGAAAAAAACTGCAAATGACTTACACAGATCATCTATGGCATGCTTGAAGTTTTTGTTTTGTCCTAAATGTTTTCTTTTTTTCTTTTCTTTTTTTTTTTTAGTAATGATTCATTTTACTTTAGAAAAAAATTCACCAAACAAGGTGCTTTCTCATACAAAATTATTATCTTTTCTTTATAACCTTCTTTATGAAACATACGTCTTCTTTTTTTTCTTCTTCTTCTTTTTGAGATGGAGTCTCTCTCTGTCACCCAGGCTGGAGTGCAGTGGCAGCAATCTGAGCTCACTGCAACCTCCACCTCCCAGGTTCAAGCGATTCTCCTGCCTCAGCCTCCCAAATAGCTGGGATTACAGGTGCATGCCACCACACCCAGCTAATTTTTGTATTTTAGTAGAGACAGCATTTAGCCATGTTGGCCAGGCTGATATTGAAATCCTGGTCTCCATACTTTCTTTCAGATCTTTCCTTGTATTCCCTCCCCACAACCCTGGATAGTTCACTCCAATTCTTCACACTAATAATCCAGGAGCTATGGCTGCAGGGCACCTTTCAACATTTCACTCCTACTCAAATCTCCTTTTTCTCCTCTTGTCTTCTTTGTCTGTGGGATGTTCTAAGTCCCCACCCCCAACCTTTGGCAGTTGGGCACCCTTCGTCAACCTGCCACACAACCTCCTTAGCCAAGCCAGCCTCCCCTCTCCTCTAACTGCTGGTTATGCATATCCCCACAGACCCAATGGTTCACCGCCATCCCTGCAGACTTACACACCTGGACCCTGTCTGTCATAACCCTATACCTCACATATGAGGGCATTCCATTTACAGAAACTTTTTATACCCTCAGCCATTTAAACACCTTCCCTCCACAAACATTTCACTCTTTCCAAAACCCTGAACGCAGGGCTGTTACCCTACTATAACTCCTTAATCCTCGTCTATCCCTAACAGAGGCAAATCCCCCCAGACCACCCACTGAAGGCCTTATTTCCACCCAGACGTCACTCATAGCTCAGGGCCCCCTCTGCTTTAGCTGATTCTTCTCCAACCCCCTCATAAGACTCTAGGGGGGAGCCTACTTCCATCCCTGTGCAACTTCACCCTCACTCTCAACCCATCTCAGGATCATCAAAATCACCAAATAAATCACTGAATAGGGTCTTCCTCAGCCTTCAAAAATCTACTGTTATTTTCTGGCCCCTCTTTCATCTCAGCACCCACTTCCCTTATCTTCTCCCCCACCCCTCTCTGTCAGCGACACCCACCAAGTGTTAAGGGACTCCCTTGGAGGAAATGCCATGACTCCTCTCTCTCATGCTTCCTCCATCCCAGCCCTTCTTCCAACTCACAATGGCTGTTAGTGGACAGAACCTCTTTTTTCCTTTCCCTGCAAAATCACATTTCCTTCACCTCTTCCCCCACTGACATACCTTATCAGCTTCTCACTGGGGCCGCCCTTGCAGATGGCTTTTCAATATGAGAGAATGAGAAAAGCATCCGAGAGGGCTTCTCTGAAGACTCAGCTCCCATTTCCTTATGGTTTGCCACCAT
Organism: Homo sapiens; assembly: GCF_000001405.40. NCBI lineage: Eukaryota > Metazoa > Chordata > Mammalia > Primates > Hominidae > Homo > Homo sapiens. The sequence continues at coordinate 75,683,682 of NC_000016.10, read as the reverse complement.
AACCTACAACATTTGTCCGTCCACCCCACGTGTCTTCTTCCTTTGTGGCAGGAACTCTTATCTCTGCCTACCAACCAATTGGTCAGGAGCATGCACCCTAGTGTCTCAATCTCCAGACATTAACATCCTGCCAAACAACCAGACCATCCAGGTTCCTTTAGTGACCCCTATCTCATCCTCTTCCACATGCAGTAGGCAGGGTCTGCATCTCATTCCCTTGTTAAGAGGGTTAAGCATCTCTGCCACACTCAGCACCAGAACAGCAGGTGTATCAACCTCGACGGCCTATATCAAAAAATCTCCACAGTCCTTTATAGTACCCTAGAGGACATGCATACCTCCATTACAAACCTCCAGAGGCAGATAGACTCCGTTGCTGGAGTCGTCCTCCAAAACTGGAGGGCCCTAGACCTGCTAATCACTGAGAAAGGGGGCACATGTATATGCCTCCAAAAAGAATGCTGAGGTGTTTTTTTGTTTGTATTTTTTTTGAGAAGGAGTCTCGCTTTGTCGCCCAGGCTGGAGTGCTGTGGCGTGATCTCGGCTCACTGCAACCTCCACCTCCCAGGTTCAAGCAAGAATGCTGTTTTATGTTAATGAATCTGGCATTGATTGTGACACAGCCCGCAGGCTCTGTGACAGGGCTGTAGAAATCTGACTTCAAGTCACTGACTCTTGGTGGCAGGGGTCATTCCTCCTAAAGTGGATGCGTTGGGATGTCCCTTTCTTAGGGCTTCTAATCTTCCTCCTCCTAATACTAACAATTGGCCCATGCATACTCACCTTCATATCCCTCTTTATCTCCCAAAGGCTGAACTCTCTTGGCCAGGCAAACACCCAGAAACATATTGATACCATCCTTCTCCTCCACCAAGTCCAGTATCAGAGCCTCCGTGAAAGCGACTCTGAAGTCCGACATCCACTGCTTCAAAACCCAAACCCTGATTTCAGCGCCCCTACTCAGCAGGAAGCAGTCACATAATCAACAACGCCTCTATTCGTTTTATACAGAAGTAAAAGACAGGAATGTTAGCCAAGCTGTGCCATCCTGTAAACCCCTGCCATTATGGACACCCTCGCCAGGATGGAAAATTCCACTGGGGCCTAGGCCGTGGAAACAACCAGGCAGGTCCCAGGCCCAACCACCTGACCACGGGAATTTTCTCCCTTTTCAGCAGCTAGCGGCACTACCCCCATCCCGTTTTGCAACACTTCCCTCCCTCCCCGCCGGACCTATAACTGCCCTAGTCTGTAAGCGGGGCTAGGACTCCTGCGCTCAGTGGTGTCTCTCTCCGCAGATTTCCTCATCCAATAAACGCGTGTTACTGTCCAGCCACCCCAACCCTTGTCTCTGTCTCTTTTCTGCCTCTTACCAATCACTTATTATCAGGAAAATGCAAATTAAAACCACAATGAGATACCACCTTACTCCTGCAAAAATGGCCATAAATTAAAAATCAAAACATAGTAGATGTTGTCGTGGATATGGTGAAAGGGGAACACTTGTACACTGCTAGTGGGAACGTAAACTATGCAACCACTATGGAAAACACTATGGAGATTCCATAAAGAACTAAAAGTAGAACTACCATTTGATCCAGCGATCCCACATCAGAGGAAAAGAAGTCATTATAGGAAAAAGACACTTGCACACACGTTTCTAGCAGCACAATTCACAATTGAAAAAATATGAAACCAGCATAAACACCCATCAACCAATGAGTTAATTTTTAAAATGTAATGTATATATATACATACATACCATGGAATACTATTCAGTCATACAAAGGAATGAAATAATGGCATTTGCAGCAACCTGGATAAAGTTGGAGACCATTATTCTAAGTGAAGTAACTCAGGAATGGAAAACCAAACATTTTATGTTCTCACTTACAAGTGAGAGCTAAGCTGTGAGGATGCAAAGACATAAGAATGATATAATAAACTTTGGGGACTCAGGGGAAGGGTGGGAAACAGTGAGGGATAAAAGACTACACATTGTGTATAGTGTACAATGTTCAGGTGACGAGTGAACCAAAAATCTCAGAAATTACCACTAACAAACTTATCCATGTAACCAAAAACCACCTGTTCCCCAAAAAACATTGCAATTTAAAATAAATAAATTTTAAAAAGAAATATATTGCTTCACATCATAACTTTGTCTTCATTGGAAATGACCTTGACATCCAATGAGCATCAAAAATAATTTTAAGATTTTCAATGACACAAAGAGTTCACCTGCAACATTTATCTTATTTACATGGACTCAATTCTTTCATTTTTAACAATTTACTTGGATTACTTCTGAAAATTGAGATTTTTTTTGAAAACTGAGATATTAGACACAGCTAGATAAACTTAGTTATTTCCTTGTTAATCAGTCTTTTTAATAGCCCGTGAACATCAGGTACTCACCTAAGTAGGAATCTTAAAGGTAAATACGTAGATATTTTTCCCGTAACTCAGAAGATTCACTAACAACATTAAATTAGTCTCACTTGTCAAAAAAGGCACATAAACCAAGATTATTTTGTTTTTTCTGGGTTCATAGTTGTATAACTTTTTTTTTTTTGAGATGGAGTTTCACTCTTGTTGCCCAGGCTGGAGTACGATGGCACGATCTTGGCTCACTGCAACCTCTGCCTCCCGGGTTCAAGCAATTCTCCTGCCTCAGCCTCCCAAGTAGCTGGGATTACAGGCATGCGCCAGCACACCTTGCTAATTTTGTATTTTTAGTACAGACGGGGTTTCTCCATGTTGGTCAGGCTGGTCTCCAACACCCGACCTCAGGTCATCCGCCCCGCTCTGCCTCCCAAAGTGCTGGGATTACAGGCATGAGCCACTGCGCCCGGCCCCATAGTTTTATAACTTTCTATGCCAAACCTTGAGGCCTCAAAATATCTAGCAGAGACAAATATAAAATCCAGACAAAAATTTATGCTGACAATTCTGAAGGCCTTTCTATTTTTTCATTTTACCAATAATCTTAAAGCCTTTTTAAAGGTTTACCTAAGTCACATGAACTTAAAAAATGCTTTTGGTTTAATTTATGAGCGCTCTTTTATTTATAAGCCAATTTGGCAAACACAACATATAATAAATGTACGTACAAAAACACATCTAGACATGTATACACACACATAAACAAAGATCCAGTAGTTTAACCTCAGAAGTCTAGCCATAAGACAGCAATACTAACTCACTGGTTTACGTGGCTGCACTTTGTTTGCCCTGGTAGGTAATCCAATGAAGGCTATCAACCAAAATTTTTGGTAAAGCAGTTTCCATGGCAGTTTGATTTTTAAAGGCCAAACCTCCCCAGACTCTAAAGAATAGTGGGGCCAAACAGCACCACAGAAAGACGTCACATACTAATCAGGCCCAGCCCTGCTTAGAACAACAGCATCAAAGCCTGGATACATGGAATTCCATTCCAATTTCCCACTCAACAGCAAACTTCAGATTTCAAAAAACACTTGGGCCAAACAGTATTACCAGATAACATCAGTTTATCAAACTCTAATTTCCCATGATTTGCCTGGCGTGGTGGCTCATGCCTGTAATCCCAGCACTTTGGGAGCCCAAGGTGGGCGGATCATTTGAGGTCAGGAGTTCGAAACTGGCCTTGCCAACATGGTGAAACCCTGTCTCTACCAAAAATACAAAAATTAGCTGGGCATGGTGGTGGGCACCTGTAATCCCAGTTACCTGGGAGGCTGAGGCAGGAGAATTGCTTGAGCCCGGGAGGTGGATGTGGCAGTGAGCAGAGATCGCACCACTGCTCTCCAGCCTGGGTGACAGAGTGAGACTCTGTCTCAAAAAATAAATTAATTAATACATTAAATAATTTCTCATGACTATATTAACACACACAACAATCACCAAAATACAATCCAACTGCTGCAGCAGCAAGCAAGTCTGGAGAGTGTCCACACTGAAAGAATCAGCGTGCTTCCTCTCTCCATCAGTTGGGCTTGATCGACCTACAAACAAAAATTCCTTCGTAATTTCTCAGTTGAGAACCAATCCTGTTGTCTGGTACCCACAAAAGACACTCACTTGCCTGGGCTCACACACAATGCACAATTACACAACAATCCCTCAGGAATGTCCACTCTAAAACAGGGCATTTCCTCTCTCAGCCAGTTGGCCTTGTTCAACCTACAAATGGAACTTCCTTTAAAAATTTCCCAAGTTGAGAGGAGCAGATCCTGCCGTATGGACCCACAAAGGACATTCACCTATCAGGATACAGATGTCAAATTTCAAAGGCTATTCTTCCCAGGCAATCGGGAACATAGCTGGGGCTGGCTGCAGTGTGGCCAGGGAGAGACAGAAACTCACCTCCAGCCAAAATTGGGTTGGTAGCAGCTTAGGAGAGCTTCTGAGACTCCCAGCCCTTGGCAGCCAAGCCATGAGCAATGCATTCCCAGTCAGGGAACCAAAATCTGTTACCAAAACACCAGGGGTTCAGTCTAGGTCGGGCTTCTGGCCACAAAGGAAGCCAATCACTGAGATAATGATTATTGCAGCCTAGGAGGTAGGAGATCAGTCTCAAATCCATCTCCCTGACTGACTAAAATTAGGGGTTTATATAGCAAGGAAGAAATGTAACCATGTATGTGAAAACAGGAACTCAGGACGGGTAAGGAAGCAATTGTGATGAATGAAGGGACTGGGGTATCATTGTTTAGATGTGATGATCCAGTGAGTTTCAGTTCTTTGTTAATTCTTTTTTTTTTTTTTTTTTTTTGAGACTGGCGTCTCACTCTGTTACCCAGGCTGGAGTGCAGAGGCATGATCTTGGCTCACTGCAACCTCTGCCTCCTGGGTTCAAGCCTCCTCCTGCCTCAGCCACCCAGTAGCAGGGATTACAAGCACATACAACCACGCCCAGCTAGTCTTTTCACCATGTTGATTAGGTTGGTCTGGAATTCCTAACCTTGAGTAATCCACCCGTCTCAGCATCCCAAGGTGCTGGGATTAAAGGCGTAAGCCACTGTGCCTGGCCAAGTTTTAGTTCTTTAATACTTTTTGAGAGGCCTGGGAGTTCTTTCCTAAAAATAAAAAAATAAAAACTCACATAAAACCATAAGTTTCAAGCTTTAAGACAAGAAGAGCCCATTTCTAGTTTATCAAAAAAAAAGGCTGTCAATGAAACTATTGGGTCAGTTTCAGTCAGCGGTCCCTTAGCAGTGGAGAATTAAATAAATCAGCCTATTGTTCAATCAAAGCTGTAGTTATGGCTCTTGGAACAGAGAAGCTCGGTATCTAATGGTTGGTGAACCGCAACTGCTTCAACATTGCTTATCTCGAGGCCAGTGCTTGTTTAGCTGCTAGAGATAAAGAAAACCCTTGTGGCAGTTAGAGCACAGTTTATTCTTTTTTTTTTTTTTTTTTTTTTTTTTTTTTGAGACAAGAGTCTTGCTCTGTTGCCCAGGCTGGAGTACAGTGGTGCAATCTCAGTTCACTGCAACCTCCGCCTCCTGGGTTCAAGCAATTCTCCTGCCTCAGCCTCCTGAGTAGCTGGGATTACAGGCACACGCCACAGTGCCTGGCTAATTTTTTTGTATTTTTAGTAGAGACGGGGTGTTTCACCATGTTGACCAGGCTGGTCTTGAACTCCTGACCTCAAGGGATCCTCCTGCCTCTTCCTCCCAAAGTGCTGGGATTACAGGCGTGAGCCACCATGCCCAGCGCATAGTTTATTCTTTAAGTAAAAGACTGCGTGAAACTTAATCCATGCCTCACAGTGCCTTAGGTCCTGTTTACTAATTTGGTTTTATTGCCACCAAGAGTTCATTTTGTCAGTCTCATGATCTCCATTTAAATATTAATGCTGGTCAGCTGTGTCTAAACCACAAAAGTGAGAAATATAATGAGGTATGTCTGACATCCCATCTCATCACGGCTGGGAACTCAGTTTTTGGGGGTTTTTTTGCTTTTTTTTTGAGACAGAGTCTTGCTCTGTCACCCAGGCTGGAGTGCAGTGGCGTGATCTCAGCACACTGCAACCTCCGCCTCCCAGGTTCAAGCGATTATCCTGCCTCATCCTCCCGAGTAGCTGGGATTACAGGCATCCACCATCACGCCCAGCTAATTTTTGAACTTTTTGTGGAGACGGGGTTTCGCCATGTTGGCCAGGGTGGTCTCCAACTCCTGACCTCAGGTGACCCCCCACCTCAGCCTCCCAAAGTGCTGGGATTACAGGTGTGAGCTACCACGCCCTGCCAGAACTCAGTTTTTAAGGTTTCTCTGAGGTCCCTTTGACTAAAGGGGTCAGTCCATTGAGTTGTTTGGGGGACTTGGAATTTTATTTTTAGTTCTCACAAGAGTGTACAGAATCGCTGTTATATAGAATAAGTGTGTGGTGACAGGCATGGAATCAGCTGTCAGACGGCCAGGGTCGGAGAGCTGACCCTGGGCTCTGAACCATTCTACACCAAAGGTTCTTACCTGTAAAATGAGGATGAAAATGTGATATTAAAGAATTAAAGAAGAAAATTAATCTCAATGAATAGAAGATAGGATTTGAAAAGGTGGGTTCTGTAAATAAATCAAAAAAGCATGACTAGGGTGGAGGCGTGATTAGGGTGGGCACCTCTGAGTATATTTAAAGTAATTCAGCTTTACAATTCATTATTTTTTCAGTTGGAAAGGCCCTGGACTGGAGTTTCGACATGTCTTCCCAAGGTGAGTGCCTTTGGTAGAGAACTCAATGTGTTTTGTTGTGAGAAGACTGTTTCCATGAAAATGAGGGTTTTGTAGGGTTTCAACTTTTACCTTATAATAGTGAAGATTGTGGGCAGTCAGTTTGATATTATTCACTGGGGGTACAACAGGACACTGCAGCTTTTAGATAGGACTAGGCATTTAAAAATTAAACCCAATTATGATTCTTGTTTATAAAATTCTTTAGTTTTTAGACAGACAAAAATACCTACAGATCAAATTTTATTAAAAGGTAAAAAATCTTGGGGGGAAGTTTGAATGGATGGGTTCTAGATCAGACAAAGACTGGCTGTGTATTAATAATTATTAAAGCAGAGAGCAATTGAGGCTGGAAGCAGTGGCTCATGCCTGTAATCCCAACACTTTGGGAGGCAGAGGTGGGAGGATAGCTTGAGTCCAGAAGTTTGAGACAAGCCTAGGCAACATAGCAAGACCCTATTTCTACAAAAGAAATAAAAATTGGCCAGGTGTGGTGCATGCCTGTAGTTCCAGCTACTTGGGAGCCTGAGGCAGGAGGGATCATCTGAGCCCAAGAGTTAGAAACTGCCATAAGCTATGATCATGCCACTGCACTCCAGCCTGGGTGACAGAGTGAGGCCTTGTCTCTTAAAAAACAAAAATGTCCCAGGTATTTTTTTTTCCTAGCTCACAAATATGGCAGTTTTTTATTCTGTGATTTTGTTCAGAAATATTGTGAGAACTTCCATATGTAAAGTATGGAAGAAGCTTTGTCACTCTTTCTTTGAAAACAGTTGAAGCATGCTGGGTTAGGCTTAGGTTTATTGTTATTGATGACCCCTGGATGGAGCGAGAAGGTCACGTGTAACGTAAGCTCACTGTGTGTTTTGTATTTTTCTTTTTTTTTTTGGAGACGGAGTTTTGCTCTTGTCACCCAGGCTGGAGTGCAATGGCGCGATCTCGGCTCACTGCAACCTCCATCTCCCAGGTTCAAGCGATTCTCCTGCCTCAGCCTCCCAAGTAGCTGGGATTACAGACGCCCACCACCACACCCAGCTAATTTTAGTATTTTTAGTAGAGACGGGGTTTCACCACATTGCTCTGGCTGGTCTCAAACTCCTGACCTCAGGTGATCCACCCACCTCGGTCTCCCAAAGTGCTGGGATTACAGGTGTGAGCCACCATGCCTGGCCTGTTTTGTATTTTTCAAATCTTGCCCCACCACTGTATTTGTCCTGGAGGCAAAATCTACAGCAAAGAGCACCCAGAGTAACAATGGCCCAACCATAAAAACTTTGGGATGAAAGGTTCACCACAAAGCTTTGATAGGAATGAGCTCTATCTCAGGGACCTGGGAGTAGCCCCAGAACTTGGAGTGTGGCGTGAAGGTAGCCTCAGTGGCTCACCACTGTTTGATGCTCTAGGACAAGACTTCCAAACATTTTTTCTTCGGTGAATTTTTGTTCCCTCCTCTTTCTCTGAAAACCCAGTTTCCCACCACCATTTGTTGAAAAGATGATTATTTCCCCACAATGATTATTTTGACACCTTTGTTGAAAATAAGTTGTCTGGAAATGTGAGGGCTTATTTCTAAACTCTCAATGCAATACCATTGATATTATATATAATATTATAATATTGCATATACATAATTAAATATAATATCAATGTACTGGGCACGGTGGCTCACACCTGTAATCCCAGCACTTTGGGAGGCCAAGTCGGGCAGATCACGAGGTCAAAAGTTCAAGACCAGCCTGACCAATATGGTGAAACCCCATCTCTTTTTTTTTTTTTTCTTTTGAGACAGTCTCACTCTGTCACCCAGCCTGGAGTGCAGTGGCACGATCTCGGCTCACTGCAACCTCTGCCTGCTGGGTTCAAGCGATTCTCCTGCCTAAGCCTCCTGAGTAGCTGTGACTACAGGTGCCCACCACCATGACTGGTTAATTTTTGTATTTTTAGTAGAGACGGGGTTTCACCATATTGGCCAGGCTGGTCTCGAACTCCTGACCTTGTGATCTGCCCGCCTCAGCCTCCCGAAGTGCTGAGATTACAGGCGTGAGCCACCGCACCCGGTGGTGAAACCCCATCTCTATTAAAAATACAAAAATTAGTCAGGCATGGTGGCGTGCGCCAGTACTCCCAGCTATTCAGGAATCTGAGGCAGGAGAATCGCTTGAACCCAGGAGGCAGAGGTTGCAGTGAGCCGAGATCGTGCCACTGCACTCCAGCCTGGGAGACAGAGCGAGACTCTGTCTCAAATAATAATATCAATGGTATTGCATATATATATAGTAAGTTTTAAAATCAGGAAGTATGTATCCATCTTTGTTCTTTTTCAAGATTATTTTGGCTATTTGGGGCCTCTTAAATTTTCATATGAATTTTAAGATCAGCTTATCAATTTCTCCAAAGCAGTTAGCTGGGATTTTGATAGGGATTTTTACTTTGTATTGTATCTGTGGATCAACTTGAACATAATTATATTAGCAATATTAAGTTTTCTGAATCTTGTACATAAACTATCCATTTATTTAGGTCTACTTTAATTTTATTCAACAATTTTTTTTCAAAGTACAGATTTTGCACTTCTTTTTTTTTTTTTTTTTTTTTTGAGACGGAGTCTCGCTCTGTCACCCAGGCTGGAGTGCAGTGGTGCGATCTCGGCTCACTGCAAGCTCCGCCTCCCGGGTTCACACCATTGTCCTGCCTCAGCCTCCCGAGTAGCTGGGACTACAGGTGCCTGCCACCACACCCGGCTAATTTTTTGTATTTTTAGTAGAGATGGGGTTTCACTGTGTTAGCTAGGATGGTCTCAATCTCCTGACCTCTTGATCCACCCCCCTTGGCCTCCCAAAGTGCTGGGATTACAGGTGTGAGCCACCACCCCCAGCCAAAGTACAGATTTTGCACTTCTTTTGTTAAAGTTATTCATAAGTATTTTCGTCTTTTTGATGGAATTTTTTCTTTTCTTTTATCTTTTTTTTTTATCTTTTTTTTTTTTTTTAAGACGAGATCTCTCTCTGTCACCCAGGCTGGAGTGCAGTGGCACAATCTCAACTCACTGCAACCTCCGCCTCCCAGGCTCAAGTGATCCTCCAACCTCAGCCTCCCAAGTATCTGGGACCACAGGCACACACCACTGCATCCAGCTAATTTTTTGTATTTTTGGTAGAGACAGGGTTTTGCCATGTTGCCCAGGCTGATCTCAAACTCCTGAGCTCAAGCCATTCGCCCCCGCTTGGCCTCCCAAATTGCTGGGATTACAGTTGTGAGCCACAGGTAGGATGTTCTAATCTTGCTTTGTGCCTTTCTGCCCCAGACCTAGAATCAGCCATTTACTAAGAAAACTCCGGTTTCTTTTAATAGGAATTGGTATTATCAAACTATAGTTTAGGCCCTAGGTGTGCTGGTTACTAAGGGGGTTTAATGGCTTCTGGACCTTTCAGGTAGACAGACCTAGGAAATTATTTTTAAGTGATGAAATTAAACTGATATCTCCAAGTCAGACTTTTTTTTTAATTTTTTTTTTTGAGACAGGATTACATGCCTGTAATCCTAGCACTCACTCTCTCCTAGGCTACAGTGCAGTGGCAGTATCACCATTCACTGCAGCCTCCAAATCCCAGGCTAAAGGAAACTTCCCACCTCAGCCTCCCAAGTAGCTGGGACCACAGGCATGTGCCTCCATGCCCAGCTAATTTTTATATTTTTCGTAGAGAAGAGGTTTCAACATGATGCCCAGGCTGGTCTCAAACTCCTGAGCTCAAGTGATCTGCCCGCCTGGTCCTCCCAAAGTGCTGGGATTACAGGCATGCGCCACCACACCTGGCCTCCAAATCAGAATTGACTACACAAGGTCACAAGGTTCCCTTTTTCTTTTTTTTGTCTTTTTTTTTTTTTTTTTTTTTGAGACAAGGTCTTACTCCGTCATCCCCAGCTGGAGTGCAGTGGCACGTGCACGGCTCACTGCAGCCTCAGCTTCCTGGGCTCAAGCAAACACCTCAGCCTCAGGAGTAGCTAGGAATACAGGCACGTGCCACCACACATGCTAATTTGTTTTTTGCTTTTTTGTTTTTTGTTTTTGTTTTTGTTTTTTAAAACTGAGGTCTCATTTTGTTGCCCAGGCTGGTCTGGAACTCCAGGCATCAAGCAATCAAGCAGTCTGCCCACATCAGCCTCCCAAAGTGCTGGGATTAGCTGGGTGTGGTGGCTCACGCCTGTATCCCAACACTTTGGGTGGCCAAGGCAGGAGGATTGCTTGATCCTACAAGTGGAGTTCAAAACCAGCCTGGTCAACATGGTGAAGGCCTGTCTCTACTAAAAATTCAAAAATTATCCGGGCGTATTGCAAGCCTGTAGTCCTACTTGGGAGGCTGAGTTGATAAGATCACTTGAGCCCAGGAGGTCAAGGCTGCAGTGACCCATGACTGCACCATTGCACTACAGCTTGGGTGGACAGAGTGAGTCTCTATCTCAAAAACAAAACAAAACAAAAAATTATAAATGCTGGCATTACAGGTGTGAGCCACTCCACCCGGCATACACAAGATTCTTTCTTAACTTTCCTACTGTACATTTGTGGCCCCTTCTCTTACAGTGAATGCCCTGGTTCAATTTATATTCACTTGCTCTGTCCTACAATACGTGCGAAATTATTTTGAAATTGTAAACCAATGCCAATCAAGGAAATTTTTTTTTTTTTTTTGAGATGGAGTCTCACTCTGTAGCCCAGGCAGGAGTGCAGTGGTGCAATCTAGGCTCACTAAAATCTCCGCCTCCCAGTTTCAAGCGATTCTCCTGCCTCAGCCACCTGAGTAGCTGGGATTACAGGCACCCGCCACCATGACCAGCTGATTTTTTTTTTTCTTTTTTTTTTAGTAGAGACGGTTTCACCATGTTGGCCAAGCTGGTTTCGAACTCTTGACCTCAAGTCATCCGCCCACCTCAGGCTCCCAAAGTGCTGGGATTACAGGTGTGAGCCATCGCACCCGTTAGATTAATGAGTTTTTTAGCATGTCCCAGGTGACAGCATGGCTCGCCCCATTCTAGCCACATCTTTGCCCTTTATTAGCATGCAAAAGCCATCCTTACATGGCTGCAAGCCCCCCTGATTTGGATTCCATTTACTGTCTCACCTTGCCTCCTCTCTCTTTTTCAGTCACACTTTGTACTCCATTCGTAGTGTCTTCCTTGCTATTTCTAGAACATTCTAGTCTTTCTCAGGGCTCGGGGCTTTTGCATCAGTGTTTAACACCAGTTACTTCATTCATAAATATTTGTTTTAATTCACCCATTTAAAAAATATTTATTGTGTTTCTATTTGGGGTTTTTTGTTTTCAATCAGCCTATGTTGTGCTTTAAAGTGTCTATTTTTATAAGGCACTACTTTAGGCTTTCAAAAAATAGTAAATAAGATAGACTAAAAGCCATGCTCTCTGGGGCTTCCAGTCTAGTATGTTTGTAGAGAAGTGAAGGGAAGACAGATGGTGTCATCAACACGTGAATTATTTGGTAATTTTGAGTCACGATAGTGTTACAGAGAAAGGAACTAAAAACAGTAGGATAAAAGAAATTGAGAATTCTGATCTGGAAAGGTATTTCAATTTTTTTTTTTTTTTTTTTGATACAGAGTCTTACTCTATCACTCAGGCTGGAGTAGAGTGTAGCGATCTCTCCTCACTGCAGCCCCTGCCTTCCCCAGGCTCAAGCGATGCTCCCACCTCAACCTCCCGAATAGCTGGGATTGTAGGTGCACACCACCACGCCTGGCTAATTTTTGTTTCATGTTGGCCAGGCTATCCTCGAACTCCTGACCTCAAGTTATCTGCTGGCTTCGGCCTTCCAGAATGCTGGGATTATAGGCGTGAGCCGGCGCACACAGCCTGTTTTTCCATTTTTAATAGGGTGGTTAGGGTAGGACTCCCTGGGAAAGTGAGTTTTGAACAAAGGCATGGAGGGAGGTGAGGGAGTGAATCAAGGGGATCAGAAGAGGAAGAAGTGGAGACCTTCCCAGGAAGAGAGAATAGCCCGAGTGGAGATTCCTCCAGGTGTTCAAAGGACAAGCAAAGAGACTGACATAGCTGCGGGGCACTGAGTGAGGGGGAAAAGAAGAAGCGATGTCAGGAATAAATTTACAGAAGGGTACAGATTGAGTAAGGCTTGAAGGCTATTAAAAAATAAAATTTTACGCCTGGCGTGGTGGCTCATGCCTGTAATCCTAGCACTTTGGGAGGCTGAGAAAGGTGGATCACTTGAGCTCAAGAGTTGGAGATCAGCCTTGGCCAACATGGGGAAACCTCATTTCTGCTAAAAATACAAAAATTAGCTGAGGGTGGTAGTCCCAGCTACTCAGGAGGCTGAGGCGCAAGAATCGCTTGAACCCAGGAGGTGGACGTTGCAGTAAATAGAGATAGCATCACTGGTCTCCAGCCTCGGCGACAGTGAGACTCCATCTCAAAAATAAACAAATCAATAAACTTTTAACTGAAATATACTGTGCATGCCAAAAATAGCAAATATTTACACATGTTTAATTTAACAAATGTTCACAAACCAGCTACACTCATGGAACTCAGAGAGCACTCAGATAGAGAGAACTTAGTGGCACCCAGAGGCCTCTGTTCTCTCCCTTTCAGGCTCCGATTCCGTTCCCTCAGTAGCCCATATCCTGCCTTCCAATCAGTATAGATCAGTTTTTCCTGTTGTATATTACAGTGATGAAATAATAAAATATTCTTCTGCAATTAGTTCTAATTTTAAAGATAAATTCTCAGCCGGCGCGGTGGCTCACCCCTGTAATCCCAGCACTTTGGGAAGCCAAGGCAGGCAAATCACAAGGTCAGGAGTTCAAGACCAGCCTGGCCAACATGGTGAAATCCCGTCTCTACTAAAAATACAAACAATTAGCTGGGCGTAGTGGCAGGTGCCTGTAATCCCAGCTACTTGGGAGGCTGAGGCAGGAGAATTGCTTGAACCCAGGAGGCAGAGGTTGCAGTGAGCCAAGATCGCACCACTGCACTCCAGCCGGGATGACAAAATAAATAAATAAATAAAAGATAAATTCTCAAATCCAGATAGTAAATATGTTAGGCTGTGTGGACCCTGGACACATCTGAGCCTCAACTACCGATTCCGCTATTGTGGCTTGAAAACGGCCATAGACAAGACATAAGTAAAAGAATGTGGCTGGTGACTGGTGTTTCAAAAAAACTCTATTTACAAAAACGCAACTGGCTGGATCTGGCCCATAGGCCTAGAGTTAGCCAATTCCTGCTTTCATGTGTAATTTTATTATTGTGAGTAGCTATGAGGTCACGCCTGGATTTCAACTTGGGAAGGGGAGGGAATCAATGGTGCTAACACTCTTCTTTGGTCTGGTTATTACCAATATTCTCCAATGCTCTTCTCGCTACTTATACTTTTGTCAGCTTTCCCAGCTGAAGAGGATCATCATAATGAAGAAAGACAAACAAAGAAAAAAAGAAAAACAAAACACCGACATAAATTTTCTGAAGAATTATTGCAGGAACTTAAGGAAATATTTGGAGAGAACGGTTATCCTGATTTCACCACTAGGAAAACACTGGCCAACAAATTTGATTGTCCGGTTAACGTGATAAACGTAAGTTCAACCTCGTATGCATGTTTCTTAGATTTTTTTTTTTTTTTAGGAAAGGTCTCACTCCAGTCGCCCAGTCTGGAGTGCAATGGAGCGATCACGGCTCACTGCAGCCTCAACTTCCTGGGCTCAGGTGACTCCCCAACCTCAGCGCTCCCCATTTAGTAGCAAGGACTACAAGCTCCCACCACCACACTGGGCTTTGTATTTTTTGTAAAGATGGGAGTCTTGCCATGTTGCCCGGGCTGGTGTCGAACTCCTGGGGTCAAGCAATGCACCCATCTCGGCCTCCCAAAGTGCTGGGATTACAGGCGTTAGCCACCATCTCCAGCCATTTCCTAGAAAATTAAAGGGCAATAAGTATAGATGGAGGTAGAAGCCAGAAGATTAGATAAAAAGGTACAGAATTCAAAGAAATGGGAGAGAGTAATCAAAATATATACATCTATACAATTAATCCTCCACATCCACTGGTTCCACATGCACGGATTTAACTAACCACAAATGGAAAATATTTGGAAAATTTAAAAAAAGAAAATAGGCTGGGCCCAGTGGCACACACCTGTAATCCCAGCCTTCATCCCACCACTGCACAATTAAAAAAAAATACAAATTTTAAAACAATACAGAATAAGAACTACTTATGTAGCATTTGTGTTATATTAGGTATTAGGTCTTGTAAGTAATCTAGAGATGGTTTTAAGGACATGAGAGGACATGCCCAGCATATATGCAAATTCTACACAGTTTTATGTAAAGGACAGAAACATCCTCAGATCTTGGTATCCAGAACCAATTTGAGAGAAAATTGTACACACACACACAATATGAAAAATATAGGCCTGTTGCGGTGGCTTACGCCTGTAATCCTAGCACTTTGGGAGGCCACAGTGGGCGAATCACGAGGTCAGGAGTTTGAGACCAGCCTGACCAACATGGTGAAACCCCTTCTCTACTAAAAATACAAAAATTAGCCGGGAGTGGTGGTGCGTGCCTGTAATCTCAGCTACCTGGGAGGCTGAGACAGGAGAATCGCTGGAACCCAGGAGGCAGAGGCTGCAGCGAGCAGAGATCCCGCCACTGCACTCCAGCCTGGGTGACAGAGCGAGGCTCTGTCTCAAAAAAAAAAAAAAATATATATGTATATATATAGAGAGAGAGAGAGAGAATTAAGCAGTATATAGCATTTCATCACATAGGAAAACGGTATTATTATCTATGTATGTTTGTGAAAATACAGTGGGTATGTATTGTGAAAACTAGACTGCAGTGAGGCAAATTTGGAAGCAGTGGATGAGTTGATGCTGCTGTAGTTAGTGGTGGTGACGGTGGTTTGGGCCAGCTTGCTAGCTGTGCAGGTGGATGGGACTAATGAGACTGTAGATGTTTGAGATGGAGCTGACAAAGTTTACTATGTGTGGGATATGCTGTGAAAGGTAAGGTGGACTCAAAGGTTACTTGGATGCTTGACTTAAGTCTATGGAAGATAGGAATTGCCTTTTACTAAGGAGGGGACCTAGGTAGGGGCAGGTGTGTCAGAGAAATCAAAGTTTACATTTTGGACACATGTTTCACATGTCAGATAAATATACAAGTGGAAATACTAAGAGAACATTTGAATATGCAAGTCTGAAATTCAGGGGAGGGCACTTAGTAGAAGATACAAATTTGAAAATTGCCTGTTTATGAATAATGCCCTGGGATCTGGCACAAGCCCTAGCAGAGTGGTAAGGGCTTTACAATTATCTGCTGCATGAACCAATATTTGTGGACATTTTTCTGATATCATAGAATCAGTTGAGAAAATGCCTGTTAATCACTATAAAAATTGATTGAACTAGAGTTATATTTTATAAGAGAATGGCAAAGATTTCCCTTGCTCTCTGTGTTCTGTAATAGTGCAGATTTATTGGTTGCTTGAAACTTGGAAGAAAGTGCCCATTAATATAAACTAGAATAAGAATACAGATCAGGTTTTATATGAAAAAAATACAAAAATATTGTGTAAGTAATTTCATTACTAATTTTTTTCTAATTTTTTTTTTTTTTTTTTGGAAATGGAGTCTCCCTCTGTCGCCCAGGCTGGAGTACAGTGGCATGACCTCAGCTCACTGCAACCTCCACCTCCCGGGTTCAAGCAATTCTTCTGCCTCAGTCTCCTGACTAACTGTGACTACAGGCACACGCTACCACACCTGGCTAATTTTTGTATTATTAGTAGAGGCAGGGTTTCACCATATTGGCCAGGCTGGTCTCGAACTCCTGACCTCAGGTGATCTGCCCGCCTCAGCCTCCCAAAGTGCTGGGATTACAGGTGTGAGCCACCACACCTGGCCAGTTTGAAGAATTTTTTAACTTCCATCTTGATTTCACTGTTGACCCAATGATCATTCACGAACAGGTTATTTAATTTCCATATATTTGCATGGTTTTGAAGGTTCCTTTTGGAGTTGATTCCCAGTTTTATTCCACTGTGGTCTGAGAGAGTCCTTTATATAATTTCAGTTTTCTTAAATTTATTGAGACTTGTTTTGTGACCTATCATATGGTCTATCTTGGAGAAAATTCCATGTGCTGATTAATAGAATGTACATTCTGCACTTGCTAGGTAGAATGTTCTGCAAATATCTGTGAAGTCCATTTGTTCCAGAGTATAGCTTAAATCCATTGTTTTTTGTTGACTTTGTCTTGATGACCTGTCTAGCGCTGTCAGTGAAGTATTGATGTCCTCCATTTTTTTTTTTTTTTTTTTTTTTTGAGATAGAGTTTCACTCTTGTTGCCCAGGCTGGAGTGCAATGGCACTATCTCAGCTCACTGCAACCTCCATCTCCCAGGTTCAAGCAATTCTCCTGCCTCAGCCTCCCACGTAGCTGGAATTATAGGCATGTACCACCACACCAGGCTAATTTTGTGTTTTCAGTAGAGACTTATTGGCCAGGCTGGTCCTGAACTCCTGACCTCAGGTGATCTGACTGCCTCAGCCTCTAAAGTGCTGGGATTACAGTGTGAGCCACCACGCCCAGCCATCCTCCACTATTATTGTATTGCTGTCTATCCCATTTCTTAGGTCTGGTAGTAATTGTTTTATAAATTTGGGAACTCCAGCTTTAGGTGCATATATATTTAGGATTGTGATATTTTCCTGTTGTACAAGGCCTTTTACCATTATATAATGTCCCTCTTTGTCTTTTCTAACTGCTGTTGCTTTAAAGTTTGTGTTGTCTGATAAAAAATAGCTACTCCTGCTTGCTTTTGGTATCCATTGCCATGGATGTCCTTTTTCACCCCTTTACCTTAAGTTTATGTGAGTTCTTACATGTTAGGTGAGTCTCTTGAAGGCAGCAGATATGTGATTGGTGAGTTCTTATCCATTCTGCAATTCCATATGTTTTAAGTGGAGCACTTAGGCCATTTACATTCAATGTTAGTATTGAGATGTGAGGTACTATTCCATTCATTGTGCTATTTGTTGCCTGTATACCTTGGTTGGTTGGTTTGTTGGGACAGAGTCTTGCTCTGTTGCCCAGGCTGGAGTGCAGTGGTGCAGTCTTGGCTCACTGCAACCTCTTCCTCCCCGGTTCCAGTGATTATCTCCTGTCTCATCCTCCCAAGTAGCTGGGATTACAGACGCCTGCCACCATGTCCAGATAATTTTTGTATTTTTAGTAGAATTGGGGTTTCGCCATGTTGGCCAGGCTAGTCTCAAACTCTTGACCTCAAGTGATCCACCCGCCTCAGCCTCCCAAAGTGCTGGGATTACAAGCATGTGCCACTGCACCTGGCTATACCTTGGTGTTTTTTTGTTGTATAGGTCCTGTGAGATTTATGCTTTAAAAGGCTATGTTTTGATGCATTTCCAGGATTTATTTCAAGATTTCAGAGCTCCTTTTAGCAGTTCTCGTAGTGTGGCTTGGTAGTGGCAGATTATCTCAGCATTTGTTTGTCTGAAAGACTATATCTTTTCTTCATTTATGATGCTTACTTTCACTGGATACAAAATTCTTGGCTGATAATTGTTTTGTTTAAGGAGGATAAAGATAGGGCCCCAATCCCTTCTAGCTTGTAGAGTTTCTGGTGAGAAATCTGCTGTTAATCTGATAGGTTTTCCTTTATAGGTTTTCTGGTGCTTTTGTCTCATGGCTCTTAAGATTCTTTCCTTCATCTTAATTTTAGACGAACTTGATGACAATGTGCCTAGGCAATTATTTTTTGGGATGAATTTCCCAGATGTTCTTTGAGCTTGTGATATATGAAAGCAGGCACTTGCTTTTTTTGGTTAGACTCTCATGAGCGCTGCCTCCCACTGGCTCTATAATCTCTGACAAATTCTTGACTCTCCTAGTGCCTTTTCTGTTGCTTAGAACAGAATATCTGAAATTGAGTGATTTATAAAGAAAACATTTATTTCTTATAGTTAGGGAGGCTGAGAAGTCCAAGGTCAAAGGGCTGCATCTGGTGAGAGTTTTCTTGCTGGTGGGGACCAAGGTGGTACAGGGTATCACATGGCAAGGTGGCTGAGGGTACTAGCTCAGGGGTCTCTTACTCTTGTAAAGCCACCAGTACCACTCCCATGATAACCCATTAATCCATTAATCCATGAATGTGTTAATCCATTCATGAGGGCAAAGTCCTTGTGATCCAATCACCTTTTAAGGCCTCACCTCTCAGTGCTGCCATGTTGAAGATTAAGATTTTGGGGTTTTGTTTGTTTTTCTTTCTTTCTTTTTTTTTTTTTTTTTGAGATGGAGTTTTGCTCTTGTTGCCCAGGCTGGAGTGCAATGGCACGATCTCACCTCACTGCAACCTCTGCCTCCCCAGTTCAAGCAATTCTCCTGCCTTAGCCTCCCAAGTAGCTGGGATTACAGGCACGTGCCGCCATGCCTAGCTAATTTTGTACTTTTAGTAAATACGGGGTTTCTCCATGTTGGTCAGGCTGGTCTCAAACTCCCGACCTCAGGTGATCTGCCCACCTCGGCCTCCAAAAGTGCTGGGATTACAGGCATGAGCCACTGCACCCGGCTGAAGATACAGTTTTATAAAACAAAAGTATCTGAGACAGATCTTAATCAATTTAGAAAGTTTTGTCAAGGTTAAGAACATGCCTGTGACACAGCTTCAGGAGGTCCTGATGATATGTGCCCAAGGTGGTCAGGCCACAACTTGGTTTTATACATTTTAGGCAGACATAAGGCATCAGTCGATACATGTAAGATGTACATTGCTTGGGTCTGGAAAGGCAGGACAAGTGGAAGCAGGGGCTTCCAAGTCATAGGCAGATTCAGAGATTTTCTGATTGGTAGTTAGTTGAAAGAGTTTTTATCACTAGAAAGGAATGTCTGGGTTACCATAAGGAATTGTGGAGACCAAAGTGTTGTCATGCTGATGAAGCCACCAGGTACCAGATTTCAGAATAGACTGTAAATGTTTCTTATCAGACTTGAAGAGTATGTTTTATGTTTCTTTTTTTTTTTTTTTTTTTGAGACAGAGTCTTGCTCTGTCGCCCAGGCTGGAGTGCAGTGGCACGATCTCAGCTCACTGTAAGCTCCGCCTCCCAGGTTCATGCCATTCTCCTGCCTCAGCCTCCTGAGTAACTGGGACTACAGGTGCCCGCCACCATGCCCGGCTAATTTTTTGTATTTTTTTTAGTAGAGACAGGGTTTCACCATGTTAGCCAGTATGGTCTCAATCTCCTGACCTCGTGATCCACCTGCCTCGGCCTCCCAAAGTGCTGGGATTACAGGCGTGAGCCACCGCGCCAACCTTGTTCTATGTTTCTTATCATACTTGAGGAGACTGTTTTATCAGTAATCCCAAAAGAAAGGAGGGTATAATGAGGCAGGTGTGGCTCCCCTTTGCTATCAAGGTCTGAACTAGTTTTTCAGTTAACTTTGGACAGCCCTTGGCTGAGAGGAGGGGTCCGTTAAGATGGTTAGGGGGCCTTAGAATTGTATTTTTGGTTTACAGTTTCAAGATGAGTTTTGGTGCGGACATTTAAACCATAGCACTCCTGCACCTCAGTTTTCTCTAAAATATGTGTAATTTTCTCTGTCATAGGTGCTTGGTTCATTGTGCCTAGTCATGGTTTTGTTTTAAACAATTATCCTGTGTGTGGATCAAAGATCCTTGTAGCTTCAGTGCTCCTAATAGCCTAAAGCAATTCTGAATTTAGTAGCACAGGGCATGGAAATATAAAAATGAGAGGTTCCTGTTAGATTATGCAAGTAACTTACCCTGTAGCCTGAACTATAAGAATTACCTCCCACCGGGCGCAGTGAGTGGCTCACGCCTGTAATCCCCGCACTTTGGGAGGCCGAGGCGGGCGGATCATGAGGTCAGGAGATCGAGACTATCCTGGCTAACACGGTGAAACCCCGTCTCTACTAAAAATACAAAAAAAATTAGCCGGGCTTGGTGGCGGGCACCTGTAGTCCCAGCTACTCAGGAGGCTGAGGCAGAAGAATAGCATGAACCTGGGAGGCGGAGCTTGAAGTAAGCCGACACTGCGCCACTGCACTCCAGCCTGGACGACAGAGCGAGACTCCGTCTCAAAAAAAAAAAAAAAAAAAAGAATTATCTCCCTTATTCAAACCATAGCTTCTTGGGATACAAAAAGCATTTTCTCATCTCTGCCTCCCTCAAAGCCTGAATAATTTGGGTATTTGCATATTATCCTCTTTCTAGGGGAGAGAAAAATAAAGATTAGACAAATTGAATGAAATAACTAGGGTTATTCTAAATATATATATTTGGTCTTCTGCTGTTTCCTGGCATGCAATTCTCAAAATACTTAGAATCTCCAAAGCTATGTCTTTTTCTACACTAATGAGTTGACTGATGGTAGTAGACCCTAGTAGCTTCAGGATGAGAGCTGTAAAGATCCAAGCAGGATTAGAGGGTTGGGACTTTCAGCCCCACCCTCCAACTTCTGGGAAGGGGAAGGCGCTGATGGTTAAGTTGATCACCAGCAGTCGATGGTTTAATCAATCATGCCTGTGCAATGAAGCCTCCGTTAAAAAAAAAAAAAAAAAGAAAAGAAAGAAAAAGGGAAAAAAAAAAAGTGGGTTTGGGGAGCTTCCAGATAGCTGAACATGTGGAAGTTCCTGGAGGGTGGCTTGTCCAGGCAGGGCATGAAAGCTCTGCACCCCTTCCCCCATATCTCACTCTATGAATCTATATCCTTTGTAACAAACTGGCAAACATATGTGATTCCCTGAGTTCTGTGAGCTGCTCTGGCAAGTTAATCAAACCCAAAAAGGAGGTCACAGGAGCCCCAACCCAAAGCCAGTCAGTCAAAAGTTATAAAAGCCCAGACTTGCAACTGGCATCTGAAGGAGGGGCAGTCTTGCAGGACTGAGCCCTCGACCTGTGGGATCTGACAGTGTTTCCAGGTAGGCAGTGCTGGAATTGAATTGGAGGACACCCAGCTGGTGTGCACTGCAGAACTGATTGCTTGCCTTGTGTGTGGGGAAACACATTTGCTCACAGTAGTCTTTCTGTGACTGTTGTGGTATGAGAGCAGAGGAAAAATGGTTTGTTTCTTCTCCTCACAGAGTCATACAACAAATATATGGTCAATAAATAATTGAAACAATTGCACTCTTTACTTGTGAAACTTGAACCCAATGTATGTAAGAATTATGTGCATATATGCAACAGAAATGGTATCAGAAAATACATTATTAATTCTTCCTGGTGGAAGAGCATGAGTAAAGTAGCAGGGTTGTAGGAACAATCCACGTCTAGGTGGGACAGCTGGGAGCCTCTTCTGTAGCACAGAGTGGGTCTCAGTGAGCAAGCAGGAGAAGATTGCATATAGGTCACAAGTAGGTTGGAGATAGATTCCAGACAGCCTAGGTTTACACGTAAACCATGGTGTCACTGTCTCCAGTGAAGGAGGTTATGGTTCTAGAAATGCATGATGCATGACCTCCGGTATCATATGTGCAGTTCTAGGGAGATTGTCTTATTTTTTATAAGCCTTAATGTCTGAAGGCAAGTCAGGGACTCTGCTTTTAAAAGGCTTAAAAAGAAAAAGCCTCCTACATTAAGGAATGCATAGAGGCATATAATCAGAGAAGTAGATTTGATAATACAATATTATCTTTTCCCTTTAGAACTGGTTCCAGAACAATAGAGCCAGACTTCCACCGGAAGAAAGACAAAGAATATTTCTTACTTGGAAAAAACACGATTTCCCAGTCCAAGCCTGTCCATTTTTAAGCCTCCAGGAAACCCAGGCTGCAGCTTCCAACTATGCCACAGAGCAGAGTTTTTCCTGTGCCAAGAGGGCTCTGATGAGAAGACCTGGTTGCTCCCTTCTGGAGAAACAGAGGATTGCCTGTCAACAGATGGGCTACAATTGCTTCTCTTTGGAGAACCAAGAGACTCCCAGTCAACAGGTGGGCTCCATGTGCTCTTCTCTGGAGAAACAAGGGATTCCCAGTCAACAGGTGGGTTCCCAGTGCTCCTATCTGGTCGCAGGTACTGAAAAGCATCCAGGCTATGCTTTGGAGTATGGAGGTGACACAGGAAGTGAGCATTCTACTGCCTATCGTTTTCTCAGCTACAACTCTGCAGAATGCCTTCATCCTCCCCCATCTTCTGTGCCATATTTTCATGGAGAAAGGACTGAAACCAGGGAAAGCCAGCATGCAAGTCCCTTCCTTTTGGATTACGCTCAAGGTGCTTACGGGGTGAAGAAAGACCATTGTCTTTGCTCATTCTGTCTCTCACTGCTGCAAGAACAGCAGCAGAATGATTGGCAGTATCACCCACAGCAGCACCAACAGCCTCAGAATTACTCAGAGGGGATGATGTTGCAGGAACAGCTGCCAATGGACTCGGGTCCTTGGGATCTAGAGAAGCAGTGGCCCTCGGCTCAGTCACAGCTGCAGAGTCAACTGCCTCAGAATAATGGAAAGCCGTTGTGCTCTCAACTGCAGCACGTGCCTCCCCAAATAGCTGCCAACTCACCCCTGCTGCCTCTGGGGCAAGATATGCAGGTAGGGGCTTCAAGCAACTCAGGACTCAAATGCAGCAGTTTTAGGTTGAGGGGTCTACACGGGCCTGCCACAGGAACCCAAGGATGCAGCTTTGCAAAGTATTGCTAAGTATCACAGAACCATAGCCACAGGTCAAGCCCACAGTAACCCACACAGCAGGCCAAAGCAAAGCCGTCTCCAGAAGCCTCCACATAAAAAATAAAAATAAAAATAAGTAAATAAATAAATAAAAATAAATTTTTTTAAAAAAGCCAGATGAGGTGAGGTTGTTTGAGCCTAAGGGTTCATGACGAGAGCCTGGGCAACGTGGTGAGACCCCATCTCTAAAAAAAAAAAAAAACTTTTAAAAAAAATTAGCTGTGTGTGATAGTGAGCTCCTGTGGTACCAGCTACTCAGGAAGCTGGTTCAGGAGGATCACTTGAGCCCAGGAGTTCAAGACCAGCCTGGGAAACATTTCTCAAAAAAAAAAAAAAAAAAACATTTAAGCCAGGCACAATGGCATGTGCCTGTAGTCCCATTTAACTGGGAGGCTGAGATGGAAGTATCACTTGAGCCCGGGAGGTGGAGGCTGCAGTGAGCTGTGATGGTTCCACTATATTCCGGCCTGAGTGACTGAGTGAGATCCTGTCTCAAAAAAAAAGTCTTCAGGAAAGCCCCATGAGCTGTTGGTTCCTTCTTGTAGAGAAGCAGTGTCCACATGCATTATAGCTCCTGAGCTCCTGACCATATACTTTATGGTGGCCTGCAGAAGCTTGACTCCACAGAGTATGGATTGAAAAACCAACAAATGCTGGGCGGGGTGGCTTAGCTGGGTGTGGTGGCTCACACCTGTAATCCTAGCACTTTGGGAGGCCAAGGCAGGTGGATCACATGAGATCAGGAGACTAACCTGGTCAACATGTCAAAACCTGGTCTCCACAAAAAATTCAAAAAATTAGCCAAGCATAGTGGTGTGCGTCTGTGGTCCCAGCTACTCGGAGGCTGAGGCACACAAATGGCTGAACCCAGGAGGAAGAGGCTGCAGTGAGCCAAGATCGCACCACTGCACTCCAGCCTAGGCAACAGAGTGAGACTCTGTCTTAAAAAAAAAAGAAAAAAATATATATATACATAACAAAATAATCATATATATGGAGGGAAAGAGCATGTAAAGGTAATTATGTCATTATAAAAAACACTATAAATGCACTTTTTTCTCAACTGATTTTTTGAAAACTGCATAAAAGTATGTGTATATAATGTATAAGTTGATCCTGTAACACAGAAGTTTAATGTATGTATTTTGACAATAACAGAAGGAGGTACATGATCACAGATGCTAATAAAAATGGTCATAGCTGCTGAAGTAATCCTTATAATAATGTATTGTTGGATTTGTAATATTAATAGATGTAATATATATACCCCAAAACCAGGAGAAAGAGAAATAGTCATATAGGAGTAACATCTATGTATATTTCACTGGACTTAAGCTAATATAAATCTGAAACTAATTCTGATCAGATGTGTATGGCAAACCCTAGAGATGTGTATGGCATGTGTATGGCCCTAGATGTGTATGGCAAAACTTCTAATCACTCAAAATATACAGCAAAAATTAAAGAAAATGTTGGCCAGGCATAGTGGCTTATGCCTGTCATCCCAGCACTTTGAGAGGCCAAGGCAGGGACAACACTTGAGCCCAGGAGTTTGAGGCTGCAGTGAGCTATGATAGTGCCACTGCATTCCAGCCTGGGTGACAGAGAGATACCCTGTCTCTAAAAAAGAAAAATAAAATGCTATTTAATATATTAGAAACTACTCATTAAATGCAAAAGAAATCAGTAAATATCATGCTGGCCATCTTTTCAAATACTCCACTTACAATGGTCCCAGCATAATTGGGGTGGCCCCCAAAGCTGAGGATTGGGTCTTCCCACAGTTCTGCAGGACCAGGTGACACGACAGTGAACAACCACACCATCAAGACTGTCTCAGCCTTCTGCACCAATCCTGAACCCCATTCCTGCAGACCCTGGGCCAGGACCTAAACCAAAGCTGCAGCTCGCTGGGGCAACATTGATTGCCCAAGGTGAGGACTAAGCACAGATAGCCTAGTGGCCCTGGTGCAGAACCAGGATTGGCTGCTGAATTCTGAAAACCAGGACTTGGTTCAACATTTACATTTGATAGATGCCTTGATTCCCATTTTGTGTTTGTGAAAAGTGTATGTGTTTACTTTTGCTGTAAAACATAATCACTAATAATATGCAATAAATATTTTCTTGAAGGAAAAAAAAAGAGGAGAACAAGCATTTGAGTACAAATGATGATTCCAGGATGCACTGTAGGGAAGTGGGAATGAGATAAGAGAAGGAAGCCTATGCAGGATGCATTCATAAGTAGATTCCCACTGTGGGCAACTATGTTTACTACTACTGGGGACCTCTAAAAGATGGCATGGAAACCATTATCCCACTCGAAGGATAACTTTCAAATATCCAGTTGTATAACTTCTCTGGTCCGCAGGGAAGCTGGGTAGGCACCCTCGAATTCCCATACAGGGGCATTAACTCCATAGCACTTCAAGCAGAGAGCCTCAAGCAGGTGCTTATTGCAGGATTCCTGATAGTGGCACATGCTAGAGAATGATGTGTGCCCAGGGAATATGGATGAGGTCCTGACACCTTCTGCTACCCACCTGCTGGTCCCTGATTGGTTTCTCTCCCCTTTGGCTTTCAGCAGTTCAGCTTATTTTGCCACTTCTCACAGTCCTTGATGCAGTTCTTCTCTTTGCTCCATCCAGAAGAACTAGTATCTTTCCAATGGCCTATTCATTCTAAAATGGAACCACTTTATTGGTTGTAATTAACAACAACTGTTAGTTCCTTTGTGGTTTTTATACCTAAAAAGTTTTGCATATACAATCAAAACACTTATTGACGAGACTCGAATACAAAGTTATATTTATTTTCAACAATGAAAACAACACAACAAAGTGGAGTCAATCCACTAATTTTTTAAATCTAACACAATGCTTAGCACAAACAATACTCAATAAATAACACATTAACCAAGTAACATTATTCTTAACACTCTCTAGAGTTGTGTGCGCGTTTTAAGGAAAACTGAGGGGTAGGTAAAGAAAGACATCCGGCAGACTTGACTGAGAAGGGCTCCAAAAAAAGAACAGCCAAAGAGCAGGGTACCCAAATACTAAGTTAGCAAAATGAATACAGCATTTTCAAAGCAGTCTAGAAATCAGAGCTCACTGGGGGAAATGACAAGGGTTTGGGGATAATCCGTGTTCAAGGCCTCATAATTAAATCTTCTCCTATTTCTAGATTCTTTATTTGGAATCTATCCCAATCTAAAGGAGCTTCTGCCAAAGGACAGGAGATTACTTATGCTGCCTGAAATGGCCTATGCCTCCTAAATTTCCTTTCACTTTGTCACTACTATAGCAAGGGTTCCATTCCAACAATGGATTACTACTATGTAGACCAACTCCTGTCTGATTTAGATCTTCCTTTCATAAACACATTGATACTTGTTCAAGGACAGCTGTAAATACATCCAATTTCTTTTCTTTTTATCCCCCTCTACAACTCTGCTTGGCTACAAAAATCTAGGACTCACAGAGCAACAGCAGCGATGGTCAGAAAATAAGTGCCAGTTCCAATGCAAGAACTCTCTAAAGTTCATTGGTCACAATTTTTTTTAACCACCTCACCTACCATGACTTTTTTCTTTTCTCATTATCTTGCCAATTATTTCTTTCGAAATTCAATCCTCCGAGCTACATTCTGAGCACCAAATTTTTTGACCAATGCCTCTCTGGTATCCTCATCATCTTTTTGCAAATCTATGTCATCTTGTCGGGACCAAATGGGATATCCATCAGCTCTCTGACCAGACGCTAAGAAGGCGGAAGTAGCCTCCAGCTCACCACTATTTTTTAGGAAGGCCTGTGTAACTGTTGATAGATCCAAGTTAAACTTCTCCATTAACTGCCGAATGATCTTAATGGCAGCTCCCACCTCTGGTTGAGAAACTTTTTCTTCTTCTTCTTCTTCCTCCTCATCAGGCTGTGTTTCTGAGTCTTCCTCAGGTGTGGGTGGATCATCATCACACATAGTTATATGTATTTCAAAATCAGGAGGGCTCTCATCCACCTAGACAGAATGATGAGTAAAACCAGCTCCTAATCACCAAGTCTTGATTTCTTACAATATCTGGTCTCTTCCAACTATCACCCCCTTGCCCTCTGCATTCCAATCACACTGGACTTCCTTCAGTTCCTCTTAATATGCTGTGTTCCTTCTTACATTTATTCATGTCAGATGTGTATGTATATGTACACGCGTGTGTGTGTGCGCGTGTGTGTGTGCACGTGTGTGTGAGGGGTAGGGGGAGTATATGTGTATATGTGTGTATAATTGACTATAGTATTCCAATAGAATATTAGAAGCTACATTGAATATGAAAAATATATGTATATATAAAGAGAGAGACACATATATGTGCACACATGTTCATTAGATTTGTTAAATGTTTGACTTCACTCTCAAGACTGTAAGCTCCTAAGGGCAGGAATTGTATGTTTTGTTCATCACCACATCTCCAATACCCACCAATGCCTATACATAGTAAGTACTCAAAAAGCACTGCTGTATGAATGTATTAGGGCTTCCAAGCTATACTGGTTAGACAGATTACAAAGCATGCTATATGAGAAGAGGCCTAGGTAGGTCATGTTTGAGAGCTGAGTGTTTGAAGTTTATGAAAAATGAACCAAATATCAAATAATAAAACAGACTACAAAAGGCAACAATCCCTAAATCCTGCCAATTCCTGTGCATCCCTTCAATTCCTGTGCATCCCTTCACTCACCAATTACAGAAGCTTTAAATTATTTCCCTTGTTTGGACTGAAGCCTAACCATTTTTCTTTGTTAATATGAATTTTCTTTGTTAGTTCACAAGACGCTTTATCATGGAAAAATATATACATATAATTTGGACCTTTAAAAAACTTATCATTATTGTATGGCTCCTGTCTTTCTCTGTAGCTATTATTAAATATCAGATTCTAACAGAGTAATATAAGCTAGACTGAATATGGAAGAGCTAAAACATTTTTAAAAAGCTCAAAGTACACAAAAAGCTAAATTTGCTTGATAAAAAAAATTACTATAAGTAGCTGGGCATGATGGCACATGCCTGTAATCCCAGTTACCCAGGAGGCTGAGGCAGAAGAATTGCTGGAACCTGGGAGGTGGAGGCTACAGTGAGCTGAGATGGCACCACTGCACTCCAGCCTGGGTGACAGAGTGAGACTCCACCTCAAAAAAATACAAAAAGCGGTGGCTCACGCCTGTAATCCCAGCACTTTGGGAGGCCAAGGCGGG
Organism: Homo sapiens; assembly: GCF_000001405.40. NCBI lineage: Eukaryota > Metazoa > Chordata > Mammalia > Primates > Hominidae > Homo > Homo sapiens. Next base: position 75,654,971 of record NC_000016.10, on the reverse strand, counting down.
CGGATCACGAGGTCAGGAGATCGAGGCCATCCTGGCTAACACAGTGAAACCCCGTCTCTACTAAAAATACAAATAATTAGCCAGGCATGGTGGTGGGCGCCTGTAGTCCCAGCTACTCGGGAGGCTGAGGCAGGAGAATGGTGTGAACCCAGGAGGCGGAGCTTGCAGTGAGCCAAGATCGCACCACTGCACTCCAGCCTGGGCGACAGAGCCAGACTCTGGCTCAAAAAAATAGAAAAAACAATTACTATAAACTTTTTGAAAAATATATTGACATTAAAGTACTCAAAGTGGGATGCTTTATACTGTTTATACAACTGTCCCTATTCTACCCAATTTTTCTCCCTTTCCCCCTCAACTTGTCCTGCCAAAAACTAAAAGCTTTGTGAAGCAAAAGCTTCAGGGCAACATGTCTGAAGCCCAGATCAGTCCCATTTTCCATTTTCCCTTTCCATCTTGAACTCCTCTCTCACTTTCCTGAGCCCCAGGTAGATGAAAAAGGTGTACAGGATAACCAGTTTCAAAGAAGAATGAAGGTAGGGAAAAAAATAATGAGTAAATCTAGTTAACATACCACAACCTCCTCAAACTCCCGGGTGGCTTCCACAAGCATCTTTTTGACTGCTTCTTCATTCTCCTGGATTTCTTCCTTCACATACTCTTCTTCAGGCAAATCTGGAGTTCTCTTATTCTGTGGTTCTGTTAAAGAGAAGAACAGCACAGATTAGCAATAGCCTCTTTTACATAAACCAAAAATATATTTGCTGTGTGAGCTCTGGGCCAGGAGTGAGCCTGCACTTTTTTTTTTTTTTTTTTTTTTTTTACTATCAGAAGACATCTGTTCTTGATTCAGAAGGGTAAAAAAAGCCTAGGACGTGCTCATTCACCCATTTCTATGCTTGCTTCTGAAAAGATGTACTATCCAAACAATGATACATTCTTAAACTCTGACATATAAAAATGCTCAAGTTTAATTCATTTTTTGCTTTGTAGTTACAGACTTTGCAAATTAATAAAAATGTGTCATAAATTGGGTTCCTTGGGAAGCAAATTCTGAGATGGAGATGGAAATTTAAAGAATTGGGAAGTGATTTTGGGAAAACCTTTGTGGAAGAGCAGGAGTGGGCAGAGAGAGAAGCTGACTTATCAAAGAGTTTCAACAAGACCTCAGCCAAAACCATGGGCAACTCTGGAGCTAGGAAGGCCCTTCAGAACTGACCAAGCTGGGGCCAAGGAGCAGACTTTGTAACTCTGCAAATATCAGTCACTGGATGGTGGCAGCCCTAAGAAGACAGGAGTTTGGGCAAGGCAGCTCTCCTAGCAGCCAAAGGCAGATCTGGGCCACGTACCACAATCCACCAATATACCATCTACAAAAAGGAGGGCCTCCTAAATTTAAACATCCTGTTCCTTTCCTTTACATTTTGTTCTCTGAAGATTTAACTCTGCTCCTTTTCTACTTACTAAAACATACTACAAAGGGGCAGCAAGAGGGAGTTTTTCGTGATGGAATTGTTCTAAATCCCAATGTGGGTGCTGGTTACAAAAATTTACCTATGTTAAAACACATATAACTGGAAAAGAGTACAGCAGTTCCTCAAAAAATTCAATATAATTTCATGATGACAACCCACAAGGAAAAAGAAAAAATTAAACATAAAATTACCATATGATCCAGCAATTGCATTTCTAGGCATATACCTAAAATAATGGAAAGCAGGGTCTCAAACAGATACTAGTTATACCCATGTTCACAGCAGCATTATTCAAAATAAACAAAAGATGGAAATAAGCCAAATGTCAATTGATACATTAATGGAAAAACAAAATGTAGTATATACATACAATGGAATATTATTCACCTTTAAAAAGGAATCAAATTCTGACACATGCTACAATATGGATGAACTTTGAAGATATTATGTAAAGTGAAATAAGCCAGACACAAAAGGGCAAATATTACATGATTCTACTTGTATGAGGTATCTAGAAATATTGAATTCATAGAAACAGAAGGCGGAATGGTTGTTTCCAGGGGCTAAGAGGAGGGAGAAATGGGGAATTAGTGTTTAATAGGCATGTTTCTGACCCCTAGAAGCAGAAAATAATAAAAGGCATGGAGTTTCAGTTTTAGAAAATGAGTAAGTTCTAGATACAGATGGTGGTGACAGTTGCCCAACAATGTGAATGCACTTAATAATGCCACTGAACAGAACACTTAAAAAACTATCTGAACTGTAAATTTTACGGTATATACATTTTACCACAATAAAAAATAAAGTTTTTAAAATGCATATAATTTTACACCATAAAAAGTTAATTTTACTGTATGTATTTAATAAAATTCTTAAATAGTAACTAAAAGAGGCTTATCTTTGAGAGATACATGCTAAAATAGATAAAATGATATGATGTCTGGCATTTGCTTCAAAACAGTCCAGGAAGTTGGGATGAAAAGTATAGATTTAAAAAATGCCATGAACTAAAATCAGGTGAAGGTGGGTGATGGGTATATGCAGTATAGTTCATTATACTATTCTGTATTTGTAAATGCTTGGAATTCTCCATAATAAAAAGTAAATTACTGTTCATTCACATAATGAAATACAGTGCAATCAATTAGAAAAGAATGAGGAAAAGCTTTGTGCAGACACACAAACACTTCAAGATAAATAATTAAGTTTAAAAAAAGTAAACCACAGATTAAGTTGATGTCTAGTGTGCTAGTATTACTATGAGCAAAGGGGACATGCAACAGACAAGAGACGGTAATAGAGGCTGCCCCTAGGAAAGGACCCAGGGAAAAGGGTATGTAAATAGGGAGACTGCCTTTTCAGTATGTACCCATTTGTACTCTGAGTATATCTACGGGATAAATTCCTAGAACAAAACTGCCATGTTTAAGGGAATATACGTTATAAATGTCATCAGATATTGTCAAAATGCCCCCCAAAGAAATTGTATCAATTTCTATTAACAACGTAGGAGTATACTTGTTTTCCCATACACTAACTTTGGATATTACCCATTGTATTGACTTTTGCCAATCTTATAGATAAAGTATAACATCTCCTTGCTCTGATTTAGTTAAAAAAAATAAATAACTTGGGGAGCTTTTGTTCTATTTTGTATAATGGAAGCTATCTCAATTCATCAAATAAATACAAAACAATTCCAACACACATATTTATTATCTCACAGGTCTCATGGGTCAAAGTATAGCTTATACTGACCCTAGGCTCAGGGTCTGATTTACTTTCTTTCTTCTTCTTTTTTTCTTTCCGAGATGGAGTCTGGTTCTGTCACCCAGGCTGGAGTGCAGGGGCTTGATCTCAGCTCATTGCAACCTACACCTCCCTGGTTCAAGCAATTTTCATGCCTCAGCTGCCTGAGTAGCTGCGATTACAGGCGCATGCCACCATGCCTGGATAGTTTTTGTAGTTTTTAGTAGAGACGGAGTTTCATCATGTTGGCCAGGCTGGTCTCGAACTCCTGACCTCAAGTGGTCTGCCACCTTGGCCTCCCAAAGTGCTAGGATTACAGGCATGAGCCACCGCACTCGGTCTGATTTACTTTCATTTAATAACAGACTATTTCTTCATTTGTTTATCGGCCGCTTATTTATTTCCTTTTCTGGGAACTTCCTGTTCCATTTCCTTTTCTCATTTTTCTATTAGTTTTCTTTTTACTTAATGACTTCTTACTTAATGACAAAGAGCTCTTTAGACATTAAAGAAACTAAGTCTATTGCAGTGTATTGGGAATGTTTTTCCAGCATGCCCTCTGACTTTATTTATCATGAGAAGTTCTTAATTTTCAGGTAATCAAATATATAAAACTTTTTCTTTGTCTTTTTGGCTTCATAACTTATCACCATGCTAATATTTTTACTTTTTTTCTTCTGGCAAATCAGGCAGCATCCTGAACCACAAATGGTTCAGAGCAACTCCCACCATACTGATATATTCATTCATATCTTCTCTTACTCATTTTAGAATTTTTTAATTTTTACATTTAAATATCTGATTATCAAAAGATTACTTAGATGGGTAGGATGAATACAGCTTAATTTTGTCCCAAGTTCCAAATGGCTTGCCAATAGCCCCAACATCACGGATTTAAAAGCAAGTCCCAGACACAGCATGGTGGCTCACACCTGGAATCCTAGCACTTTTGGGAGGCCAAGTCGGGCAGATCCCTTGAGCCCAGGAGTTCGAGACCAGCCTGGGCAACACGGCCAAATCCTGTCTCTACAAAAAAATACAAAAATTAGCTAGGTATGGTGACGAGTGCCTGTAGTCCCAGCTACTTGGAAAGCTGAGGTGGGAGGATCCACTGAGCCTGGGAAGTCAAGGCTGCAGTGAGCCGTGATCGCACTACCGCACTCCAGCCTGTGTGACAGAGCAAGACCCCATCTCAAGATATATAATAAAATTAAAATAAAATAAAAATAAAAGCAAGGCCATACATGATGACATACTTCACCCATACACATAGCCCTAACCTCATCTGCTATAATTAATTCTCCCTCCTACTCCATTAACAGCCACTCTGTTCTCTTTGTGGCTCCAAACACACCAGCCATACTCCCACCTAAGGGCGATTGCCCTGGCTTCTTCCTCTGCCTGAACACTCTTCCCCAGATATCCACCTGGGTTGCTCTTTCACTTCCTTCGGTCTCTGCTTAAACATCAGCTTATGAGAATGACCTTCTCTTATCATCCTATAGGAAAAACCTCCTCCCCAACCCTTACACTCTGAATTATTTTTCTCTATAGCCCTTACCACTCCCCAGCTAGCATGTTATAAGCTCCAGGACCACAGGGACTTTTATTTATTGTTATATTCCAGCAGGACCACAATGTCTGGCACTCAAATTTCTGCTGAATGAATGAAGCTGAAATGTCACTTTTACCAAAACAAAATTCCTACTAAGCATACTGAACAGGAGAAAAAGATTTTACTCCCCAGACTTCAAGTGTTAAATGGAGTAGTCATACAGGCAAAGAAAAGGTGGGAGGATTACGGAGGGGGAGGAGAAGCAGCATGCCTCTTTAAACAAAAGGGTCTATCGGTTTAAGTTATCAATGCCAGGTACGTCACCAAGTACATCTTAACAGACTCGTTCTGTATCCTAGACATACTGAACCCCAATTTTCAATTCAACTGCATTAAAAACTCACTTCACCTAAGCAAGACCAGGAAGAGACCTTCCAACTGCCGAGAACCTTCTTAAGTCCATAGGCATTCAGTTACGCCAGAGCATTAAAGTAAGTCTGGTACGCCTTTATACTGAATCTACCTGAACATAACAGCAATCTTTTTTAAAAAGGAGTCTGTGGAATATCTCTTAAAAGAAACACAAGAAGCCAGTTAGCCCGTGGGTAGCTGGTGGACAGGAAGGACGAGATAATTTTTTTTTTTTTTTGAGATGGAGTCTTGCTCTGTCACCCACGCTGGAGAGCAGTGGCGCAGTCTCGGCTCACTGCAACCTCCGCCCCCCGGGTTCAAGCAATTCTCCTGCCTCAGCCTCCTGAGTAGCTGGGACTACAGGAACTCTCCGCCACGGCCGGCTAATTTTTGTATTTTTAGTAGGGGCGGCATTTCGCCATGTTGGTCAGGCTCGTCTCGATCTCCTTACCTCAGGTGATCCGCCCGCCTCGGCCTCCCAAAGTGCTGGGATTACAAGCTTGAGCCGCCGCGCCCGGCCAAGAGAGAATTTTCTATATACTTTTTGTAACTTTTGAATATAGAACCATGTCAATATTCTAGTCAATGGTAAAGTAAATTAAAACTAGACCAAGAAGCTGGGTGTGATGGCTCACGCCTGTAATCCCAACACTTTGGGACACCGAGACGGGAGGATCGCTTGAGCCCAAGAGTTCGAGACCTGTCAGGGCAACACAACGAGACCCCCATCTCTACAACAATTTTTTTTTTAATTTAGCGGGACGTGGTGGCGCGGGAGTGTAGTTCCAGCTACTTGGGAGGCTGAAGCCGGAGATTCGCTTGAGCCCAGGAGGTCCAGGATGCAGTAGGTCGTGATCGCGCGGCTGCATCACAGCCTGGGCGACGGAGCGAGCCCCCACTCAAAAATTAAAAAATAAAAACGACGAGAGGCCAGACGTGGTGGCTCACTCCTGTAATCCCAACACTTTGGGTGGCCGAGGCAGGAGGATCGCTTGAGCTCAGGAGTTCAGACCAGCTTAGGTAACAGAGACCCATCGCAAAAAAAGAACAATAATAAACAACAAGGGAGCGAGAAGGCAAGAAAATGGTGCAAATTTACCCGGATGTCAACAGGGGGCGGGGCCAAGCGCTGCTACCGAAGATGCCAAGATGGACGCCAGGCAGCCAGGAGAAAGATCCCAACCCCACCCGCGCAGATATCCGCGAGGCCCCGCGCTCAGCCTCCTCACCCCCGCTATCCGCGGCCTCCGGGTCCTCCTCCGCCTTCCGCTTGAGCTTCTGGGAGGAGGGGCTCACCGGCGCGTCCCCCAGCAGGTACTTATGCTCCTGGCCCCGCAGGTGCTTGAGGTAGCGGTCCTTCAGGGACTGCCACGAGTGCTGCGTGAGCGAGCTCTTCTCCATCGCTTTCCACAAGGCGTTACCGGTGACGGAGCTGGGCGAGCGGGCATTTTCCTTCACGTAGGTAAGGATGGCTACGTCGTCCGCATCCGTGAAGGCGATCCGCCCGGCGTGCCGCTGCGGCTCCGGCTCCGCGGCGCCCTCGGCCAGGGCCCCGGGCTTTGCTTCCGAGCCGGTGTCCGCCGCCGAGGCGGGGCCCAGCCGATAGGCCTCCAGCTCCAGCCTCTCGTTGCGCTCCACGCAGTCCAGGATGTACTGCGTGGAGATGAAATCACCCGAGGCCTCGGCCAGCGCCTCCCCGGGCTGGGCCAGCAGCACGGCCCCGGGCTCCTGCACTCGGCACACGGTGCCGCCGCCGTGCAGGATGAGCGTCGACAGCCGACGCTTGGCCGGGCTGGGCCGCACGTAGAAGGACATGGAGCTGCCGTCGTCCCTCACGAACAGAGTCGAGGAATGGGTGGGCCCGTTGGGGTCTTTGCCCAAATCCATCGCCTCCGCCATGTCTGACGCCGAGCACTACTAGAAGAGCTACCCCCTCGCGAGCGCCTGGCACACAGAGCTCAACTGACTGAGCTGTCACCGCAGACGCCTCTGCCGCGAAGCGCAGCACTGGGCCTGCGCAGCAGCAGCCGCGGCGCATCGAGAGTGCCCGCCCCCTCTCCCCCGGAAGAGGTGGGGCTTCGCACCTTGACCTGGAAATTAACGTACTATCCTCCTTACTTTTGGGTCGGGCCCTCCGGGAAGATGGCGGCCGTGCAGGCGGCCGAGGTGAAAGTGGATGGCAGCGAGCCGAAACTGAGCAAGAAGTGAGTGTCGCTGCGAGTCTTTAAAGCCTTTGCGGTAGGAGAGTCTGGGCTGGGAAGCGCCGCGAGGTTCCCACCAAGGCTGCTGTGCCGGGGCCTTCTTGCCGGCTCTCGTGGGTACGCACATGCTGAGACGTGGTGGCTGCGCCCTGCAGACCACGTACCCCGGGATACCCCGGGCACGCCGGCTCCCCGTTCCCAGCTGGCACCGGCGGGATGCTCCCTATCATACTCCTAGAGTTAAGAGACTGTGGAGGAGGAACTAGGACGAGAACTAAGAGTTATCAGAAAAGAAAAGCGAAACTTCCTGCTTAGCTTCATCCTCCTTTCTGAGAAATGCATTCTTTTGTTGAGCCACTCAGTAAACGTGGAAGTTGGAGAAATGTTAAATACCCTAGCTTTTCAGAAAGACCTTCAAAATTTTCTGGGCCTCACTAAGGTCATTCTGAACGTTATGTATTAAAAGGGATCAGTTCTAAAACTGTCATGCATCTACCCGTATGGGTTATTCAGTAGATACCTGTGAGTATTAAGTGATCAACGTCTAACAGTAGAGACCATCTTAATTCAGCCTGATATCTTTGTTAACCACTCCCAAATCCCTGGAGTATGTAGGTTAACATAGATAAGTCAGGATTAGCCACCCTTTAACTGGCTGTCTTATATTCTCATTAGCGTTCCCCATTTGAACCACAGAACACAGGTAATTGAGTGTTTTATCATTGCTAGGAAGATGGTACATAGTACCATTCCAGAGGCATACGAGAGGGCTTAATCCCCGTGGCGCGCACTTGTTATCCCAGCTACTCGGGAGACTGAGGCAGGAGAATCGCTTTAACCCAGGAGGCGGAGGTTGCAGTGTGCTGAAGTCGTGCCACTGCACTCCAGCCTGGGAGACTTGAGGTAGTGGTCCTTCAGGGACTGCCAGAAGTGCTGCGTGAGCGAGCCCTTCTCCATCGCTTTCCCCAAGGAGTTACTGAGACGGAGCCAGACCCTGAATGAAAAAGAAAAGAGAAATGATGTTTCTTTTTTTTTTTTTTTAAGATGGAGTCTCGCTCTGTCGCCAGGCTGGAGTGCAGTGGCGCGATCTCAGCTCACTGCAACCTTCGCTGCCAGGGTTCAAGCGATTCTCCTGCCTCAGCCTCCCGAGTAGCTGGGATTACAGGCGTGTGCCACCATGGCTGGCCAATTTTTGTATTTTTAGTAGAGACAGGGTTTCACCATGTTGGGCAGGATGGTCTCAATCTCGTTACCTTGTGATCCGCCCACCTTGGCCTCCCAAAGTGCTGGGATGACAGGCGTGAGCCTGAGCCACCACCCCTGGCCTGATGTTTCCTTTTGTGTCCCTGGCTTTGTGCTTCAAATATCTTAGAAAAAGTATAAGAGAAATTGTCGAAGTTTATAGTTGGGTAGGACCTTAATATATTGTCCTTTATTAGAGCAATCCGATGGACTTCCATAAAAGTTTGGAACCTGGTCTTTGGACTGCTACCTTAGAGAAAATTGACTTGACTTTATTAAGTCAAATTTAATTGAATGTGGTATATCTGTGATATACGATCCTAAAGTTTAGTTCATTCTTTCAAACCACCTATGATAATCAATTACATTGAATTGAACTTTAGGACTGTATATCACAGGTGAAAGCACGGTTTCCAGTTCAGAGTGTGTTTTTAGGTAAACGGAAAAAACTGGTTAATTCCTCTTTACTGACTTTTTTTTTTTTTTTTTTTTTTTGGAGGCAGAGTCGTTGTTGCCCCGGCTGGATTGCAGCGGTGCGATTTCAGCCCACGGCAACTTGCAACTCCCGGGTTCAAGCAATTCTGGTGCTTCAGCCTCCCAAGTACCTGGGACTACAGGTGCATGCCACAACACCCGGTTAAATTTTTGTGTTTTAGTAGAGACGGGATTTGACCTTGTTGCCCAGGCTGGCGTCAAACTGCTGAGCTCAGGTGATCCGTCCGCCTCAACCCCACAAAGCGCTAGGATTATAGGCGTGAGCCACCACTCCCTGCTTCACTGACTTTTCTAAAATTAAATACAGCTACTACTTTTTTGACCAGCTTTTCTGTGCCAGGCACAATGCTAGATCTCTACAAGCTTTCTGTCTAGTGTCAGTAATAACCTTGCAAGAGGAGTTATTGTCCATTTTTCAAATTAATAAACTGAGGTCCTAGTAATTAAATGCACTATTAAAGTGTGCATTCCTAAAATATAGTCTAGCAGTGATCCAGAGCACTGGAGCACGGATCTGAACTCAGGCCTGTGACTCCACAGTCCATGCTCTGTATCCTGACTGCACAGCACTACTCACGTTGTCTTACCTGTCATTGATGTCTATTCCTCTCGTTACCATGAGCTAAAATAATTTTTTTCTGATTAACATTTCCTTCCGTTTATTGTTCTGGGGAATTCCTTGGTCTGAAATTTTTAGTAAGCACCATTTTGTGCCAGGTATTGACTCCAAGTTTAAAAGCAGATGTGCTCCCTGCCCGAGTGAAATAGCCTCCTCAAATTTATTTGAACACGGTAAAGAAGGTGATCTCTGTAATTCTGTTGCCTTCCAGTGTTGATAATGTATAAACATAACGCAGTCTAAGGACCTTCCTGAAATTCTCCTTTCCCCTTGTTCCTAGAGTTCCAAACAAGTCTTCTCTTTGACACGTATTTTTGTGTGGCTTGCATTTATCTTTGTCTAGAGTTTGCAATTGATAGTGACAGTTTCCTCTTATTTTATATGCTTCCTATTGCCATCTTGTGGCCAGGTATTTCCTCTCCAGGTGAGAAACCACACTTCAGGGCTTCAGAAAGTGCCTCACATCCTGTTCCCATATTCTAGGATGTTGTGAGCAATTTTACCTGTAAGCTATCCATTAACTTGCTGTTGGCTTTACCCCAGATATGCATGTTTTTTCCATAGTCAGGACTAAGAACATTGTCAGTTACAGTTGTAGCACAGAGAGTGTTACAGGGTTGCTATCAGTTAAGACAGTCTTAAGTTAAATGGGACTAAAAGGTAGTAGAAGCATGGTCCCCCTCCCCAACCCATAAGAGAGTTGGTTGGGTATATGTATACTGTCTGTCCCATCTGACACCACATCTCTGTGTTTCCCGCTAGGTGGTGGTAATCATTAGTTCCAGGGTGCTCTGCCATGTTGACGCAAGCTGCTGTAAGGCTTGTTAGGGGGTCCCTGCGCAAAACCTCCTGGGCAGAGTGGGGTCACAGGGAACTGCGACTGGGTCAACTTGCTCCTTTCACAGCGCCTCACAAGGACAAGTCATTTTCTGATCAAAGAAGGTTGGTGCCCATTACCTTCTTTATTGCTCTGGAAGCAAAAATTATTTCCTTACTTGGTTCATTTTCCGTTAAGCCTCTGGCTAAGTCTTTGGACTTGTTGCTAAGGAAACAAGGAGCCCTAATACCAAAACCAATAGTCCTTTCTCATTTTCTCTTTAATAAATTCAAATCGTCTCTCCTTAGAGTCTTGAGATGACATGTGGATCTTATTCTAGAAGAGTGCTAAGAACAAAACCTTTGTTTGAACAAATAATTTCTAATGCCAGCTATTTCCCTTTTCTGTCTTTCTGGAGTTTTGTGTGCTCTTGAGATTAATTTGGTTTCTAGTCTTAGTGCTATCCCTAGGACCTTTTTGGATTATCCTTAAGATTGATTTGATTTAAGAGGAGCACCTGGTTGAGTGGAAAACAGATTTATCTTAATTCTAGAAGAACTAGACAGCCTAATCTTAGCAGTCCACTGACTGAATTATAGCATGATAACACCAGCACAGTGTTTTGGAAAGGTTGTCTTTACAAATGTTATAAGACATTATATGTAGAAAAAGCTGTCAACTTTGAAACCATTCAGAATCTGTTTTTCTTTTTTACAAGATGAAAGATTCGGCCAGGCGTGGTGGCTCACGCCTGTAATCCCAGCACTTTGGGAGGCCAAGACAGGCAGATCACGAGGTCAGGAGATCAAGACCATCCTGGCTAACACGGTGAAACCCCATCTTCACTAAAAATACCAAAAAAATTAGCCGGGCATGGTGGCGGGCACCTGTAGTCCCAGCTACTCCGGAGGCTGAGGCAGGAAAATGGTGTGAACCCGGGAGGCAGAGCTTACAGTGATCTGAGATCGCACCACTGCACTCCAGCCTGGGCAACACAGCGAGACTCTGTCTCAAAAAAAAAAAAAAAAGGTGAAAGATTCAAAACCTCAATTCATTTTTTAAAGTTATTCTAAATTCATATCGAAAATGAAGGATGTGTCCTGAAGCCAGAATGTTTGCGGGCATGACTTGGGATCTTCTGCTGTGGTTCACTATTGCAGAATATTTGATTATGTTCAGCGGTTTGAAAGAATGATCCATAAATTGTCTTTGAATAGTAAAGATATCCCTCCCTACACCAATCTGTTTAGTTTCTGGTTTCAGATAGCAAATTCAGACTATAAGAGACATGAACATATCATACAGAACAGCTCAGAGTTGTCCGCATTACTTTGGTTTTTCAGGTTCAAGTGATAAGTATCAAGAGTTTGGATACCAAGTGATTTAACCAGAAATGTATTTAAATCTATATGAGGCACAGAGAGTAAAGGGTTAAGATACTAAAAGATACCTAGAAAGCTCACATTTGGTTAGCTGAATGCCAGGGTCAGGGTAATCCCTTTATACAAACATTATCTCATTACACACCATAACAACTGGTGGGGGTTGTCTATTATTATTTTCGTTTCACAGGTGAGAAGTTAATTCACTCGTCCAAGTCACATAATTGACAAGTGTGTTGGAATTTAGTCCCAGGCAGCCTGACTACAAAGATGGTATATTACCCCCTGTACTATACTGCTTTGCACACCGTTCTATTTTGTTGTCTAAGTCAGGCTCCAGTGGGCAAAGTGAGACTAATGCTGACAGCCATTCTTGGAGAGACTGTTGGTAGGGGAGGTCTCCTTGAGTGCTAAAGAGCCGGCTCTTCCTTACTATCATCCTAACTCACTCTTAGGGGAGGGATAGAGAGAGGGGGTAGCAGAGGGCTGGAGATGTTGCCTTATCATGTATTAGATCTGGCATTGGAGGGGTCAGGTGGCTCACACCTGTAATCCTAGCACTTTGGGAGGCCAAGGTGGGCAGATCACTTGAGGAAAGGAGTTTGAGACCAGTCTGGCCAACGTGGTGAAACCTCGTCTCACTAAAAATACATAAATTAGTTGACTGTGGTGGTACACACCTGTAATCCCAGCTACTCAGGAGGCTGAGGCACGAGAATCTCTTGAAACCCGGGAGGCAGAGATTGCAGTAAGCTGAGATTGTGACTGCACTCCAGCCTGGGCCACAGAGCAAAACTCTGTCTCATAAAAAAAAAAAAAAAAAAAAAAAAAAAAAAAAAAGACCTGGCACTGTTGGAACTTCACCTTCTAGGGGGATACTAAACAACTAAGATTCAGTCACTGTCCTCAAGGAGCTCCCTAACCTAATTAGCTCAAGAAAAGCCTATTCTAATTTTCTAGAAAACCTTTTCTCCTATTCAAAACTAATGCATAGGATTTTCTTTGTCTTGGTACATCTTGGTTTTAGTTGGGACCTAATGCCAAGGACCTGAGACTGGCAAGCAGAGACTGAGAGTGATTTTTCACATCTTTGTTCTAAGCTTATTTTTCCCTTTGTGTCTTTCACATAAAGAGTTTAGTGACAAGCTACTTGAGCTGAGCTGTGGGTGTGGAATTGAGGGGTATAGAACTGAGCAAGAGCGTTTCTCCTGGGCGATTCATGTTTTTGATAAGTTGCTAGGGGCAGAACATAGAGGACTCTTCAGGCAGCTAACACATTGAACGCTTTCATCTTTCCAACAGTGAGCTGAAGAGACGCCTGAAAGCTGAGAAGAAAGTAGCAGAGAAGGAGGCCAAACAGAAAGAGCTCAGTGAGAAACAGCTAAGCCAAGCCACTGCTGCTGCCACCAACCACACCACTGATAATGGTGTGGGTCCTGAGGAAGAGAGCGTGGACCCAAATGTGAGTTCCCTGGGCCACCAGCATGGTTGGGCACAGGAAAGCTTCTGATGAGGCTTCTGGCAGATTCTTTGGGACTGGACAGTAGGAGGGACCAGTACGCCTGAGGTCACTGCCAGGGATAAGGGAGGGTCTCCCACTGCATCTGGTTAAAGGCACAGACCCTGAGTGTTTTTTATGTCAACCCCCAAAAGGCATTTGAGAGAGTCCAGCATTCAAGTGAATTAACCTTCCTTGGAATTAGCTTGACCTTGAGGCCCCAGGGAAAGTGTCTCTCTAAAGATTGCCTGAGGTTTACTTTAGACCAGGGGCTGGCCAACTACAGTCCACCAGCCAAACCCACTCTCCATGCCCCCACTTTATCCTTCCCTCCCTGGTTTTTTGTTTTTGTTTTTGTTTTTTTGAGGCAAAGTCTCATTCTGTCACCCAGGCTGGAGTGCAGTGGTGTGATCTCACTGCAACCTCCGCCTCCCCGGTTCAAGTGATTCTCCTTCCTCAGCCTCCCAAGTAACTGGTATTAGAGGCGCACACCACTACACCCTGTTAATGTTGGCCAGGCTGGTCTTGAACTCCTGGCCTCAAGTGATCCACCCGCCTCGGGCTCCCAGAGTACTAGGATTACAGGCATGAGCCACCACACCTTGCCCCTCCTTGGTTTTACTAGTAAAATTGTATTGGAACACAGCTGTGCTCATTTGTTTACGTATTTCTGAGGCTGCTTTCCCCCTGAAACAGCAGAGTTGAGAAGTTGCATCAGAAAAGCTTTGTGAGAAAGGCTGCTGTAGAGTATTCCTTGTTTACATTCTCCAGGCCCCATGCCTTGGGGAAAAGTCTGATGTGTCGCCAGAGGTAGGAGAGTAGTTAAGAACATAAGCAGTTAAGAACGTAAGTGACTCGACTCACCATGCAAATGTGGTCTACAAAAGTGACAACAAGGCCACCTGTACCAATTAAAAATTAAACTTTTATGATTTTAGGCAGAACTCAGGTTTTTCTTTTTGTTGACTCTTGCATTTTGAAATGCTGGCCTCTGGCCGCCCTGCATATTTTAAGTGCAAATCTCACTCCATATTCAATCCTGTAATGCAGAGGTCTTGGTTAAAGAAAACAATGTATTGGGGTCACTCGGGGGCAGAATACTGCCCTCTGCTAGGTGGGCCCCACTGGTCTGACCAGGTTCAACTTCTGAAGGGCTTTTTTTTTTTTTTTTTTAACAGCAATACTACAAAATCCGCAGTCAAGCAATTCATCAGCTGAAGGTCAATGGGGAAGACCCATACCCACACAAGTTCCATGTAGACATCTCACTCACTGACTTCATCCAAAAATATAGTCACCTGCAGCCTGGGGATCACCTGACTGACATCACCTTAAAGGTGGCAGGTAGGAACTCTCCCTGGCAAATCACTGAACTCCCACAGCAGGTAGGCCTGCGGCTTCAGTAGCACAAGGGAAGGTCTGGGTTGGTCTTGTTCTCAAGTAGCCTGTGTCTGAAGCTACTTTACTAAGGACAGTGCCATTATATCTATACAGAAAGAAGCAGAGCAGCCCTGAGACATGGAATCATATTCCAGATGAGGTAGTGCTACAAAGAGAGGGGCTTTCTCTATAAGGATTCCCTTCATCAGCAAGAATCAGCGGTAGAAGTCTCAGGCTTCTAAGAATTCCAGTCTTTGGCCTAAGAATGCTTTGCACTGAGACAGTATTTCTAGAACATTGCTCTTTTGGAGTTGTAGTATCTTGGGTGAGATCTTCTTTTCCTAAATTTAAAAAACAAAAAAAAAAAATCACATCTTTTCCTTGCCCTCTCCCACCAAATAGTAAAACTATCAGTTGTAGAAAATTTAGAATAGTCAAAGAAGCACAGAGAGAAGGTTTTGATTACGCATAATCCTACCACCCAGAGAGAATTTCTGGCAGGACCTAAATGCCCAAAAGATTTCTTCTTTAAAGTGCAGTGATTTTACTAAAATCTTTTTTTTTTTTTTTTTTTTTGAGATATAGTCTCACTCTGTCTCCCAGGCTGGAATGCAGTGGTGCCATCTCAGCTTACTGCAACCTCTGCCCCCCAGGTTCAAGCAATTCTCTTGCCTCAGCCTCCCGAGTACCTGGGATTACAGGCACCTGCCACCACGCCCGGCTAAGTTTTGTATTTTTAGTAGAGATGGGGCTTCGCCATATTGACCAGGCTGGTCTCGAACTCCTGACCTCAGGTGATCCACCTGCCTCGGCTTCCCAAAGTGCTGGGATTACAGGCGTGAGCCGCCACACCCTGCCACTAAAATATTTATTGATGTTAGTTATTCTAGTTCAGTATTCTCAGATACACAGTGTGCTCTGAGATCTTTTCACATCTGTGTATTCAGATTTTTTTTTATTTTTTTATTTTTATTTTTTTGAGGCGAAGTCTTGCTCTTGTCCCCCAGGCTGTAGTGCAATGGCGCAATCTCGGCTCACTGCAACCTCCGCCTTCCGGGTTCAAGCGATTCTCCTGCCTCAGCCTCCCCAGTAGCTGGGATTACAGGCGCCTGCCACCACGCCCAGCTAATTTTTGTATCTTTAGTAGAGACGGAGTTTCACCATGTTGGCCAGGCTGGTCTTGAACTCCTGACCTCAGGTGATCCACCTGCCACGGCCTTCCAAAGTGCTGGGATTACAGGCATGAGCCGCTGCTCCCAGCAGATCTTTTTTATTTTAATTGTTTGTTTTTATTCTGTTTCTTGCTTTACATTTCCTTTGGGACTTTTATCTGCATACTGGATCATCTTGATTCTTTTCGATAATTGTCACTTTATCTCAAATCCTTTTTATCTTTCTTTATACTTTGATTTTTAAATTTTATCCTCCTTTTCACTTTCTGTTTCTCTTAAGGCATTATTTGTTGTATTTAGTCACTATTATTTCCTTATAGCTTAGTCTGCATTTTCTGAAAGATTTTTTACTTTATTTCTAATTCTTTCATGTGTTATCACCTCATTTCTTAGTTTTTCTAGTTCTAATTTGTGTTCTTTCATGTTTTGCGTCTTTTTCTTCATGTCTTTCAGCTCATTTTTGAATAGTAAGTTAGAATTTTTTGCTTTTCACGGCACGTACTCACTCATAAGTGAGAGTTGAACAATAAGAACACATGGACACAGGGAGGGGAACATCACACACTGGGGCCTGTCAAGGGGCGGGGGGACCGGGGAGGGACAGGGTTAGGACAAATACCTAATGCATGCAGAGCTTAAAACCTAGATGACAGGTTGATAGGTACAGCAAACCACCATGGCACATGTATACCTATATGACAAATCTGCGTGTTCTGCACATGTGTCCCAGAACTTAAAGTAAAATAAAAAAAAAAAAAGGAACTTTTTGTTTTTCTAAGCATGTCTGTCTTGAGTGCTTTTATTTTGTCTAGAGGGGTGTTATTCTCCTTCTATCTCTCCATTTTTAGTTTTTTAAGTAACTTTATATGGTATGTGAGCCCAGTGCTTTTATGTTGCTTACATTTACATGAAATCAGTTTTCCTGAATGTTCAAAGGAAGCACGGTTTCGTTTTTCCAGTGAGCTCCCTCTTGTTTTTGTGGCATGTTCAGAAATACTGCAGCTTGTTTTTTGAGATTTCCTGGTTCTCTTCTTCTTCCTCACTTTTTTTGGGTCTTCTTTTTTTTTTTTTTTTTGGTCTCTTTTTTCCTTGTCCTGTTAGTTTTTACGGTCTTGTCCTAGAAGGGAGCCTGGCTGTTGAGAGGGTTTCTGTGGGCTCTACTCCTCATTCCCTTTAGATTTTTTTTTTTTTTTTTTGAGACTGAGTTTTGCTCTTATTGCCCAGGCTGGAGTGCAATGCCGTGATCTCAGCTCACTGCAACCTCCGCCTCCCAGGTTCAAGCGATTCTCCTGCCTCAGCCTCCCAAGTAGCTGGGATTACAGGCATGCGCCACCACGCCTGGCTAATTCTGTATTTTTTTTTAGTAGAGACAGGGTTTCTCCATGTTGGTCAGGCTGGTCTTGAACTCCCAGCCTTACGTGATCTGCCTGCCTCGGCCTCCCAAAGTCCTGGGATTACAAGCGTGAGCCACAGCACCTGGCCTCCTTTAGATCTTCTTAATGCAACCCTCACCTGTATGGAAACGGACACATCCCCTCCCTGTTTCAGCTGCTCTCCCCCAGTGAGCCTGGAGGAAAAGGTTCACATTTTCCAGAGGATACCTTTGGCCATTTGGGGGCTTTCCAGTTCTCAGATCCCTCCCATACCCCATTTCTCCCCACTGCTTTTTCCCCGTATAGAGGTCTTATGGCTCTTGGTGGTTTGCCTCCTTGCTTATATTTGGGGGTCCTTGGCAACGTCTTCCCACAGCATTTTGTTGTAAATTTTGTCCATGGATTTTTCGCTTCGCCTCTCTAGCTGTGCTTTCTATTTTTATGTGAGGATTCAGGGAAATCCAAAAACTATGCTGCTACCAGCACCACCATCTTCTAGGCATCCAGTGACTTAATCTTGAAAGCTAGATCCTGAAAGCATGTCTTTAACTGGTTTGAATGGACATTGTTGGTTTGAGGGAAAAGATGGGGATTAAACCTCAAGCTAAAATCAGATTGTACTGCTTTGCATTGTGCCCTGACCAAAAAAAAAAAAAAAATGCAGGCCGGGTGTGGGGGCTCACACCTGTAATCCCAGCACTTTGGGAGGCTGAGGTGGGTGGATCACTTCAGCCCAGGAGTTCAAGACCAGCCTGGGCAACATGGTGAAACCCCCTCTCTACTTTAAAAAAAAAAAGAAAAATTAGCCGAGTGTGGTGGTGTGCACCTGTAATCCCAGCTACTCAGGAGGCTGAAACAGGAGAGTCACTTGAACCTGGGAGGCGGAGGTTGCATTGAGCTGAGATCGTGCCACTGCACTCCAGCCTGGGCAACAGAGCAAGACTCTGTCCCAAAAAAAACAAAAAAAAAAATGCAGAGGGAGTTTTTTTTTGACACTGATACCATAAAATGACTTCTGGTTCTGTCAGTCAGTATTTTTGCTCTTCTTTTTCTAGGTAGGATCCATGCCAAAAGAGCTTCTGGGGGAAAGCTCATCTTCTATGATCTTCGAGGAGAGGGGGTGAAGTTGCAAGTCATGGCCAATTCCAGGTATCTCGAAATACCCAGTTATAGACCTTTCTTGGTTGGCCTAGAGCAACACAGCAATAGGCTGATGTGGTCTTACTGGTATTTGAAGTTAGAGTAAGAAGGAGTGGGACATGGTTGGGGAAGGCTGAGAAGAGGATAATGTGGCCACCTGGTCACCTGTAAAGTAATGACTACTCTCAAGTTATATGACAGTAAAGTAAAGGATAGTCCTTTTTTAATAGTGGCCCCTGAATCTGACGTCCTTCTTGGGCTCACATTAACTAGGTATTAACAGTTGAGTGAGGGTTCCAGAGGAGACCAGTGGTCAGTGTTCATTTGAATTGTTGTTACTGAATTACATTTCTTTTTCACTCAGAAATTATAAATCAGAAGAAGAATTTATTCATATTAATAACAAACTGCGTCGGGGAGACATAATTGGAGTTCAGGGGAATCCTGGTAAAACCAAGAAGGGTGAGCTGAGCATCATTCCGTATGAGATCACACTGCTGTCTCCCTGTTTGCATATGTTACCTCATCTTCACTTTGGCCTCAAAGACAAGGTAAGCGTTCTTGGCCTCCTAGCTGTGGCCTCCTAGCTTTCTGTTTGTTTTATCATACCTTTGGATCAGACATACCAGTGATTTCTAACTGCTGCTTTTGGTTTAGGAAACAAGGTATCGCCAGAGATACTTGGACTTGATCCTGAATGACTTTGTGAGGCAGAAATTTATCATCCGCTCTAAGATCATCACATATATAAGAAGTTTCTTAGATGAGCTGGGATTCCTAGAGGTAAGGAGAGTTCCTTGCCTGACGTGATGAGCTGCCTTGCAATGCTTGCCTCCTCCTCTCCCTTGCCTTCCTTTTCCAAAGCGTATCCTGTGTCAGGATCCTTCATGCCTAATGAGAATGTCCCCTTTTCTTGCCATCGTCTCTGTTCTACCTTGTCCTGATTAGGAAGGCAGGACCTGACTTCCAAGATAATGGACAAGGTATAGGGCCATCCACATGCTAATGATGTCACATTCAATATGTATTCACGTCATTTTGCTTTTTTGTAGCATTAAGAAATATTTTTTGATTATATGAGAAAGGCAAACACACGTACCATAAAACAAATTCAAACAATAAATTAAATAGAAGCAAAACTGAAAGTGCTCTTTCACTCCTTCTGACTAACTTCCCTACCCAAACTTGAGTTTGATATGTATCCTTCCACACCATTTACTGGGCATATATACGTATGTACATATGCATGTTGCAGATGGAGTGCACATATGTAAACATTTTGGAGGAGTTTTATTTTTGGTTTAAATATGAATGAAGTCACACTATGTGTATTGTGATGGACCTGCTTTTATTTCACTTAAGATATTCTGGATCTCTTTGTATGAGATAGATAGATACTCTTTCTTAATGCTGCATTATTTGTTCCAACAAGCATCTTTATACACATGTTCAAATGTTTCTGTAGGATGGATTTCTAGAAGTAGAATAAGTCAAACAATATAAGCAGTTAAAATTTTTTTTAAACAATCAGTTGAGATAACTCACTACCTTCAGACCAGCCTAAATTTTTAATAAATACTGGGAATTGGGCCGGGCGCAGTGGCTCACACCTGTAATCCCAGCACTTTGGGAGGCCGAGGTGAGCAGATCACAAGGTCAGGAGATCGAGACCATCCTGGCTAACACAGTGAAACCCTGTCTCTACTAAAAACACAAAAAATTAGCCAGGCGTGGTGGCAGGCACCTGTAGTCCCAGCTACTTTGGAGTCTGAGTCAGGAGAATGGTGTGAACCCAGGAGGCGGAGCTTGCCATGAGCCGAGATCGCGCTGCTGCACTCCAGCCTGGGCAACAGAGCAAGACTCCGTCTTAAAAAAAATTAAATAAATACTGCAAATTGAACTCAAGAAAGGCTATATCCATTTAGATTCTAATTTACAGCTTGTGAAAGTTCGTGGTACTATATTAATGATATTAGGTATTAATAGAAATTGAGACACTGTCGTAGAAAATCATAGTGTCCTTTTTTGTCAAGCACTTGCACATTACTGTTGAACTTATTAACATTTAGTTTGGGGTATAACAGGCTTAGACTATATTACATGCAAAGCATGGTCTGTCCCCAAGGCCTCTGGTTATCTAAGGACTGATGTTTCTCCCTGCCTTTTTTAGATTGAAACTCCCATGATGAACATCATCCCAGGGGGAGCCGTGGCCAAGCCTTTCATCACTTATCACAACGAGCTGGACATGAACTTATATATGAGAATTGCTCCAGAACTCTATCATAAGGTAGTCAGTAATAGTACACCCTTTTCCCTTAAAGAAGCAGAAAGCTGGAATACCACTGGCTAGATGGGTATAGTCAGAAATAAGAGGAACAGAGAGAGTAAAGCAGCCAAGAAAGTGTTCTGATGGGTCAGGTGTGTGGATGTGAGTAACACTTCCAGAATTTCTCTACAAGATTAATAGAGCATTGTAGGGCAGAGACCAAAGGGGTTGTCTTTCCCATGTATACAGGCACTCCTTACCTACTTTGGTTCCCCTAAAACTTTTAAGATAAAGTCTTACGTGGATTAGATCTGATTTAAGTCTTTCACAGAAGAAAGAGCCTAATCTGTCTGTGGAAGTTGGAAATAAGCATCTTCAGGCCTGGCGCGGGCCTCACACCTGTAATCCCAGCGCTTTGGGAGGCCAAGGCGGATGGATCACTTGAGGTCAAGAGTTTGAAACCAACCTGGCCAACATGGTGAAACCCAGTGTCTACAAAAATACAAAAATTAGCTGGGCGTGGTGGCATGTGCCTGTAATCCCAGCTACTTGGGAGACTGAGGCAGGAGGATTGCTTGAACCCGGGAGGCGGAGGTTGCAGTGAGCCGAGATCCTGCAACTGCACTCCAGCCTGGGTGACAGAATGAGACTTCGTCTCAAAAAAAAAAAAAAAAAAAAGTATCTTCAAATCACTATAAAGATGTCTTGTCAAATTCCCAGGTAAATATTGAAGATTATTATTCAGGATTCTTAGTTGCAGACAACAGAAACTGTTATAACTAGTTTAAGCAAAATAAAAATTTATTCAGCTCTATAGGTGAGGTATTGCTCCTCACAAGAGGGCATTAGCTGCGGGGGTCTGCCTGCAGACCCTGACCTAAACGATGGATGAATAAAACGTACACTGAAACACAGATACTCTGTTTTGCCAGTCCTGCTGAGTGTCCGATCACCTGCACACCAAGAGAGGTGTATTTGTCATTGCGGCCGACCCTGAGCAGCTCTCACTCCAGGCATTTATTTAGTATAGAATTAACAACAGAAGCTTTGAGTAAACACACTTGTGGATAATTAACATCGTAAGAGAGGAGTTCTAGGAATTATTAAAGTCCAGGTACCATGGTCTAAAGTAAATACCATTAGGGAGCAGTATCTTTGGTCAACCTCCCCCCAAGAGGGCCATCTGGCTGAAAGGTTAGTTAATGGAGGTAGGGTAAACAGACTTAACTGGGGAAGCCTCTATTTTCCGTAGTATTTACCCTATGACCTAATGCTGTACGGTAAGAACTGGCTGCCTTCAGCCTGTTCAGTTATTACAAGCTACGTAACCTTTCGGCCTTCCAAAAGGTTTGTGACTATTCCTTATAACTTTCCCCAATATTTCCCTTTAATATTTCTGCCACCATCCTGAGTGAATCCCAACATAGAGGAAGCTCACAGTCCCCAGGAGGATCAGAGAATCAGGCTTGGAAACTATACAACTAGGAATGATTCTGAGTCATATTAGAATGGGCTGTTCTCATGGAGAACCCAGTGTATTTTCCTAGTAGGCACAGTTACTACAGCTCATAATCCTGGCACTAGGCACAAGTCATTGCCGCTAGGACCTCTGCAATCTAAAAGCTACGTGTGACTGGCCCCCTTCACCAGAATGAATTCTATGCAATACCCACATCTTTTGTTAGTAGTTTCCATGCTGAAGTCTCACAAGTGTATCTGACTGGTG
Organism: Homo sapiens; assembly: GCF_000001405.40. Taxonomy (NCBI): domain Eukaryota; kingdom Metazoa; phylum Chordata; class Mammalia; order Primates; family Hominidae; genus Homo; species Homo sapiens. The sequence continues at coordinate 75,632,467 of NC_000016.10, read as the reverse complement.
GAGCTTGGGTCACACGCCTGCAGCCTAACCCCAAGAGAGGCTGCTTCCTTGGGGAGGTTCAGACTCAATGATGGGGGATGCCCAAGACAGGAAGAGTATCGAGAAGTCCTAGGCAGCCAAAAAAGGGGTAACTATCCACACTACAAGGGTATAAAGAGAGCAGGGTGCTTGGCAATTTGACCAGAGACCTGAGAGTATACCTAACCTGTGAAAACCAAGTTACGGCTTTTGGAGACTGAAACTTCCCAGAGCTGTTAATACAAGATTAGCTGTCATGGGGCCGGGCGCGGTGGCTCATGCCTGTAATCCCAGCACTTTGGGAGGCGGAGGCAGGCAGATCACCTGAGGTCGGGAGTTCGAGACCAGCCTGACCAATACAGAGAAACCCTGTCTCTACTAAAAATACAAAAAAATTAGCCAGGCGTGGTGGCACATGCCTGTAATCCCAGCTACTAGGGAGGCTGGGGCAGGAGAATTGCTTGAACCTAGGAGGCGGAGGTTGCGGTGAGCTGAGATCTTGCCATTGCACTCCAGCCTAGGCAACAAGAGCAAAACTCCATCTCAAAAAAAAAAAGATTAGCTGTCATGACCGTGGCCATGTGTTGTTGTTAGATGCTTGTGGTTGGTGGCATCGACCGGGTTTATGAAATTGGACGCCAGTTCCGGAATGAGGGGATTGATTTGACGCACAATCCTGAGTTCACCACCTGTGAGTTCTACATGGCCTATGCAGACTATCACGATCTCATGGAAATCACGGAGAAGATGGTTTCAGGTGACTCCTGCTCTCTCTCATACTCATCGGGTGGTTGGTATGCTGCTTTCAGAGGAGGGCTGCCTGGATTTCATTCCCGCTAAATAACAGGTTTCTCTCCCAGGGATGGTGAAGCATATTACAGGCAGTTACAAGGTCACCTACCACCCAGATGGCCCAGAGGGCCAAGCCTACGATGTTGACTTCACCCCACCCTTCCGGCGAATCAACATGGTAGAAGAGCTTGAGAAAGCCCTGGGGATGAAGCTGCCAGAAACGAACCTCTTTGAAACTGAAGGTAAAGTGACAACACTCACTCCTCCGTTGTAAGGCCCTCCTTCCTGTTCAGCTCTGAATTTGATTGGGTCAGAGCTAGAATTTCCCACACTATTCTCTTTATGTACATTTTTACTTGGCTAGTGTGATGTCTCCTGCCCTAACTTTTGCATTTGTGTCCCAGAAACTCGCAAAATTCTTGATGATATCTGTGTGGCAAAAGCTGTTGAATGCCCTCCACCTCGGACCACAGCCAGGCTCCTTGACAAGGTGAGAAGGCCCTGCCTTCTTGTACATGTCCTCATCTGGTGCTGAATGGTTCCCTCTTCCCTGGGAAAATGAACCCCACTGGGGAGAGTTCATTTCTGCAGCTTCACAGGAAAACCCTAGAGAGAGAACAAGAGAATTAACAGACTTTTAACTGTCATACTAAGCTCTGTGCCAAATAATTTATGTGTGTGATCTCAGTTAATCCCGTCCAGCTTTTAAAAAGCTATAGGGTAGGGTGGGCATGGTGGCTCACACCTGTAATCCCAGCACTTCAGGAGGCCGAGGCAGATGAATCACCTGAGGTCAGGAGTTCGAAACCAGCCTGGCCAACATGGTGAAACCCTGTCTCTACAAAAAATCCAAAAATGAGCTGGGTATGGTGGCGGGCACCTGTAATCCCCGCTATTCAGGAGGCTGAGGCACGAGAATCACTGGAACCAGGATGCGGAGGTTGCAGCAAGCCGAGATCATGCCACTGCACTCCAGCCTGGGCGACAGAGCGAGACTCCATCTCAATAATAATAATAATAATAATAATAAATAAATAAAAAGCTATAGGATAAACCCATCTGGATGGGAGCTGAGATCTTCTGTCTGGGCTGGGACGATCAAATACTATTCAGAAATGGTGACTGACTCTGCTTTGCTTTCTCATTAAGCTTGTTGGGGAGTTCCTGGAAGTGACTTGCATCAATCCTACATTCATCTGTGATCACCCACAGATAATGAGCCCTTTGGCTAAATGGTAAGATTCCAGTTACCTATTGCTGCATAACAGCCCCAAAACTTAGTGGTGTTAACAATTTATTGTCAAGATTTTGTGGTTTGACTGGTGGTCTTTCTGCTGGGTGGTGTTGACCAGGGTAACCCAAGTGGCTTTTTTTCAACTGGGGATTCTGCCAGGGCACTTTGGTTCTCCTCCACGTGGTCACTCCACATACGATCTTATCCTCCAGGGCCTCTTCATGTGGCCTGTCTGGCAGCACAGCCTGGGCTTCCCTTCAGCATGGTGGTTGGGCTCTAAGGGGAAGCTTCCAAAAGAACAGACCTCATTGTGCAAACACGTATCAAGCCTCTGGTGATAACCCATTGGCCAAACCAAGACATGTTGCCAGCGCAGAGTCCAGGTGAAGGAGACTACACATGGGCATGAATGCAAGAGGTGTGGTCCATTTTAACAGTCTGCCCGCTGGCCTGTTAGGAAGATCATTAAACCTTCCTGGTCTCTCTCACCCTCCTCACCGTTGTACCAAATGATTTGTTGCTGAGACTGCATGCAGGCTTCTGACTGCAATCAGTAACACTTTTGAGTCCACTAGAATTCAATTATTGTATTAGATGTTTGATCGTTAGACCAACCTGGCCAATATGGCGAAACCCTGTCTCTACTAAAAATACAAAAATTAGCCAGGCATAGTGGCATGGGCCTGTGATCCCGGCTACTCAAGGCTGAGGCAGGAGAAGTGCTTGAACCCAGGAGACAGAGGTTGCAGTGAGCCGAGATCACACCACTGCACTCCAGCCTGCGTGACAGAGCGAGACTCCGTCTCAAAAAAAAAGAAAAAACAAAATTTAGCTCATTAGGGGCCTCTATATTCAGCCTCCTCTTTGGTCTCCTGTCCCTAGGCACCGCTCTAAAGAGGGTCTGACTGAGCGCTTTGAGCTGTTTGTCATGAAGAAAGAGATATGCAATGCGTATACTGAGCTGAATGATCCCATGCGGCAGCGGCAGCTTTTTGAAGAACAGGCCAAGGTGAGAAAGGGGACTGTGAGCAGAAGCTGTGCCAACTCACCAGGAAATACCAGCCTTAACCCTGATCTGTGTCAGCGTATACGTTCTTGGTGACTTCAGAAGTGAAAGATAAAGCCATAGGCTTGCTGGAGGAGTCACATTTCAAGATGGTGACTTCATCTGGTATTGAGTCTGTCGTACATAAGAGGAACTTCATTATTAATCTCCGTATGGAAAGCGTGACGCTTGCCTTGAAAATACACTTGCCAAGCAAGAACATTATTTTCTTAGATTGTACATGTATTAAGGTGGCTTAGGGCTGGGAGGTAGGTAGAGATGAATGGAGAAGACAGAACCCCCACAGGCTGCCTGCAGCAGGTGTTGACAGGGCTGTTTTCAGGAAATGGGAGAAAGACTCTTGTAATTGTCACAGTCTCTGAGAATTAACCTGTTTGGAGTCCCAGAGCCCCAAGCAGCAGAAGGGTTTTCTTTCAGAGAAATTTGTATGTGTTCTGAGGTCGATTTCATCAGTCCTGACCTCCAGGTCTTTGAAAGAAACGGCTGCATCTTGGAGTTACTAGGAAATGAATTCCCAGCAAGTCCTGAGTGTCAGGAGCATCTCTGGAATGATGGTACTCCCACCTCGGAGCCTGGTAACATGTTCACTCACACACTGAGATATCTTAGAAGAAGGTCACCTTTTGGTTCTCTTTCCTCTTCTAGGCCAAGGCTGCAGGTGATGATGAGGCCATGTTCATAGATGAAAACTTCTGTACTGCCCTGGAATATGGGCTGCCCCCCACAGCTGGCTGGGGCATGGGCATTGATCGAGTCGCCATGTTTCTCACGGACTCCAACAACATCAAGGTACGTAGCAACCCTCCACAGAGCACACTTCCTGAGGAAGCTGCATTGTGTTGGAGCCAGGGCATGGTGGGCCTGGAGGATAAAATTAAGGAAGGGCTTTGGGCTGGGAAGAGGAGCAGGCAGAGGAGTTCCATGCCACTCACAGGAGGGCCAGAGCCTCTGACCTTAAAGGATTTGGGTTTTTTCCTACCAGGGGCAGAAGGAATACTAATTGTTTGCATTTCTTGAGGATCCAGGGAAGTCTCCGTGCATTATTTCAGCTAATTAAGTCAGCCTTATGAGGTGTAGAAACTGTTGTTTCCCATTTTTATAGATGAGGAAATCAAATTTTCATAGAAATGCGTCTATTCATCCTTTTGACATAGTGCCCTAGGCAGTGCTATGCATTTGTTCTTTGTCATCTGTAACTTGAGAGGGTCTGAGTTGAAATAAAAGAACACATGAGCCTTTTCAGCTGGAATATACTAATCTCTGGATTTTGGTGGTAACAACAGAGGCAAGAGGAATGGGTAGATAGCTGTGAAAAAATGTTGAGAGTGCTTCTCAGCTTCAAGGTACATTCTTATCTCCCACAGGAAGTACTTCTGTTTCCTGCCATGAAACCCGAAGACAAGAAGGAGAATGTAGCAACCACTGATACACTGGAAAGCACAACAGTTGGCACTTCTGTCTAGAAAATAATAATTGCAAGTTGTATAACTCAGGCGTCTTTGCATTTCTGCGAAAGATCAAGGTCTGCAAGGGAATTCTTGTGTGCTGCTTTCCATTTGACACCGCAGTTCTGTTCAGCCATCAGAAGAGAGACAAGGAATTAAAAATTTCTTTTTAATCCTGTTACCAAATAAGCCATTTGTCTCTTCTCTTTACTTTTAGAATATCAACTTTTTTCCCCAGACTTCTGGCCTAATGAATGTTTAGGATTTTACCATCTTATTCATTTAACAAATTTGTATTAATGTCTGCCCTGTGCCAGGCATTATTCTAAGAGATTGGGGACACAGCAGGGAACAAAAGCCAAGTTCCTGCTTTTGTGGAAATTGTATTCTTTCTTTGGGGTAGGGAGAAGAAGTAGACAAACAAAAAAACAAGTAAATACATGTTCTTTCTGGTGGTGGTATATACTAAGAAGAAAAATGGAGCAGGGTAAGGGGACAGAGGTGCTATTTTAGAGGTGGAAGGAACAGTGCTACTTTATGGTGGTCAGGAAGACCTCTGCTGGGCATTTCAGTAGAGGTCTGGAGACTGAGCTGGGGAGGTCTGTGGGAAAAGGCCATTCAGACTAAAGGACCATGTTTTTGAGGAATGGCAGAGGGTCTGGTGTGACTGGACAGGGATGAGTGAAGGTCAGTGAGGGGCCAGATCACGCAGGCCCCTGGAAGCCACTCAGAAAAGTATGTGTTTTCTGAGGGAAATGAGATACCATGGAAGGATTTTGAGCAGAGGAGTGTTTTTCAAGGATTATTCTAGTTTCTGTGTGGAGGACAAGAGCAACGAAGGGAGACCAGCTGAGCATTCACCATGGGCTGAGGAGACAGTGGCTGCGACGTGCATGGACCAGTGGAAATGGTTACAAGTGGTTGTACTTTGCCTGTGTTCCTGAGGGCAGAAGAATTTGGTGATGGGAATGTGGGTTGTGAGAAAAAGAAGCCAAAAATGATTTCAAGGTTTTGGACCTGAACAGCTGGAAGAAAGTTGCCCTCTACTGAGATGGGAAAAACAGGAAGTTCAGGTTTCAGAGGGAAGGTTGGAAGTTTGGTTTTGGACATGTTAAATTTGACATGCCTGTTAGCCAGATGGAAATAGCAGAATGTTGAATAATGAATCTGAAGTTTTCTCATTATTTTCAGCTCCATTCAATAGAGCTAAGAACGTGACAAGGGTGTGGCTGAGAGCCTGCCATCAAAGTGGAGCCCCTCTTTCCTGACACGGAGACAGCTGGGAAGACCTTTTTTCACATGACGGAAGACTTTACCTTCTGCACCTCAGCAAAACCTCTGCAAGCATCCCAGTTTGGGAGCAGCCAGTCTCCTTTCACAGAGCAGGTTTCTGTTTCTGTAGCTGGTAAAACAACCTAAGCATTCAGAATTGCCTAAATGAACTACCTCAGGCAGTGAGGAACATCCCTACCCCTGCTGGTGTTTAAGCAGTACGTGACCAGGTGGCATTTCAGAAGAAACATTTTCAAATGGCACATCCTCAGAAAGGGAGTGGTAACTAAAACGGGAGATAATCATCTCACCAAGGGAGGTGGTGGAAGGTCAAGGACAGGTAAGGGACTAGGTTTCAGGTAATACTGTCAATGCAGACAATTGAAAAAGGCTACAAGGATTGATGATATGAGTGACTTTACAAAGTGGTTTAATGGAAGGATGGAGGCAGAATCCAGCTGTCTGGTCTTAAGGAGGCTAGGGATAGAAAGGAACTGAGGCAGCAGTAGACAACTTGTATGTGAGGGTTGGCAGGAAAAATGACCGAGTGTGAAAGCTAGAAGGGACAGAAGGGTCATAAAGTCCCCATTTCTCTTCAAACAGTTGCAGGCTCACAATTTGCTAACTGCTTTGCTGGGGTGAGCAGAAACAGGCGTGGTCTCAAACTTCATCAAGCATCTACACTTGTAAAGAAAATAGATAGTAATAAATCATCCTCCAAAATTGTATAAAATGGCAGCTCAGGTAAATGGTTTGAAGGAGAGGTCCACGGGGTGTTGAGAAGCTATAATGGACATGGACCTAGTTAGAGGAGGTTTCTCTGAGGACATGAGATCTGAAGGGAAGAAGGCTTTCCGTGGTATGGCAACAAGTGCAAAAGCCCTGTGGTAGGAAGGGACATGGAGACCAGTGAGAGTATAGAAGCCCAAAGAAATATGGCACCAGGTGAGGCAGGAAGGGGCTGGCCATGCAGGACTGTGAGCACTACTATGGGATTTTTGTCTGTATTTTAAGAGTACTGGGAAGCCAGTCGGGCATGGTGGCTCACGCCTGTAATCCCAGCACTTTGGGAGGTCAAGGCAGGCGGATCACTTGAGGTCTGGAGTTTGAGACCAGACTGACCAACAGGGTGAAACCCCGTCTCTACTAAAAATACAAAAATCAGCCGGGTGTTGTGGCATGTGCCTGTAATCCCAGCTACTGGGGAGGCTGAGGTAGAATTGCTTGCCCCTGGGAGGCGGAGGTTGCAGTGAGCCGAGATTGTGCCACTGCGTTACAGCCTGGGTAGGAGAGTGAGACTCCATCTCAAAAAAAAAAAAAGTACCGAGAAGGCATTCACTGAAGTATTATTTAAGCAGTAAATGTGTAGTAGTCACAAATCTGACACCAGATTTGCAGTTTGAAAAGATTAGTCTTGCTGCTCTGTGGAAAATGAATTGGAGTTAAGCAAGAAAAGGTGGAAATTCAGAGATGAGTGTAGCAATCCAAGAGGAATACGATAGTGGCTTTTACTAGCGTATTGGCATGCAAGTGGAGAGAAATGGATGGATTCAAGAGATAGGAAGTAAGATCAACAGGACTTGGTAATGGATTGCACTAAGGGGATTAAGGGAAGGGAGATAACAAGGAACATGACTCACTTTTTAGTTACGCAACTAGATTGCTAGTAATACCAATCCCTGAGATAAAGAACCCTAGAAGAAGGTCTTTGATACCCCTTACCCCCACTGGAATATTTCTTAAAAGACAGAAGAGGCAGTCACTTGCAGATTAAAGATATTGGAGAGGAATGAGGAGCAAAGTCTTTGGCCTTGGAGGAGGGCCATGTCCCATTTCCTTTGAACTAGAGAGAAGGATGGGGTTGAGCAAGTTGCATAAATTTTTGAGGGGTAACAAAGAAAAATGAATTCTTTCATTTTTAGTAATAGAGCATTCAGTTACTGGGTGACAAAGGCCCCTGAAGTATCCAGGCAGCTATATTACTTATTCCCGGCAATCCAAAGGTTTTTAGACCTGTTCTGCCCACTACACTGTAGTAGTACTGTACTACAGTAGCCAGTAGCCACATGTGACTATCCAGCATCTGAAATGTGGCTGATCCAAATTGGGATGTATTCTAAGTGTAACACACACCAGATTTCTTAAACTTCGCATTAAAAACAGAACAGAACATAAGTATTTTTTAAAATATTGAGACTCGGCAGCCAGGTGCGGTGGCTCACGCCTGTAATCCAGCACTTTGGGAGGCCGAGGCGGGCAGATCACGAGGTCAGGAGATCGAGACCATCCTGGCTAACATGGTGAAACCCCGTATCTACTAAAAATACAAAAATTAGCCTGACGTGGTGGCAGGCACCTGTAGTCCCAGCTACTCGCGAGGCTGAGGCAGGAGAATGGCGTGAACCTGGGAGGCGGAGCTTGCAGTGAGCAGAGATTGCGCCACTGCACTCCAGCCTGGGTGACAGAGCGAGACTCCGTCTCAAAAAAAAAAAAAAAAAAAAAAAAAATATATATATATATATATATGAGACAGACAGACCGACCCCGGGCATCGTGACTCACGCCTGTAATCCCAGCACTCTGGGAGGTTGAGGCGGGCGGATCACTTGAGGTCAGGAGTTCGAGACCAGCCTGGTAACATGGCGAAACCCCGTCTCTACTAAAAATAACAAAAATGAGCCGGGTGTGATGGCGGGCGCCTGTAATCCCAGCTACTTGGGAGGCTGAGGCAGGAGAATCGCTTGAAGCCAGGAGACGGAGGTTGCAGTGCGCCGAAATTGCGCCGCTTCCAGCCTGGGCGACAAAGCGAGACTCCATCTCAAAAAATTTTTTGATTATATGTTGAAATAATACTATTTGGGATGTATGGGTTAAATAAAATATATATGATTGTTTCTATTTTGACTTTTAATGAGGCTACTGGAAATTTTTAAATTACGTATATGGTTCGAATTATATATCTATTGGACAGTGATGTTACAGATAGAAATACAGCATAGTCAGGAGAATCGCTTGAACCGGGAGGCGAAGGTTGCAGTGAGCCGAGATCGCGCCTCTACACTCCAGCCTGAGCAACAGAGCAAGACTCCGTCTCAAAAAAAAAAAAGAAAAAGAAAAAAATTCAGCCGAGTGCTGCAAGATACGTCATTCTAGTTGAAGGAATATCTAAGCCAACAAGCGGCTCCCATCATCCGGTTTCACGCCTCTCTAAGACGCAGCCAGGGCTGCGGGACTTGAAGCGCGGGAATCTCGGCCCTGGCACCGACTCCCCGGAAAAACTACAGGGCCCGGCATGCACTGCGCGCCTCTGGGAGCGGGAGCCGAAAGGAACCGGCGCTTTGTGACGTCACGTCCGCCTTACCGGCGGATTAAGCTCGCTTTCTTCTAGGCGCGTTTCCTGAAGGTGGGAGGGGAGCGTCCGCGAGGCGCTGGGGCGACGGGGCAGGTTTATCCGGGCTAACTTTGCCGAGTCTGTTTTTGAGGGAAGAGGTTGTGAGGATCGTATCTTCCGGGACGCGTTTCACGTGGGAAGGCGCTCCACGCCTGGAACTGTCAGCAGCCGGCGCCTGAAGAGCTCCTGGCGCGGGGCCTCTGGCCTGGCAGCCGCAGGACCCAATGGATCAGGCGCTCACGCTGTTCTCACTGCATGGCTTCAGTGCCTTGCCTGGCACCTCCTATCCTGTAACTGGCCGACTCGGGGTCCCACCCAGGCTTCTCCAGCGGCCGGGAAGGGGCTCTGCTTCCGGAAGTGTTTAGGAAGGGAGCCAGCGTAAACCAGAGTCCCTTCCTCCAAGCATCGCTGAAGCCTTTTCTCCCCTGGCAGCCGACTTCCTTTTCTTTGGAAAGGACGTCAGTTTTTTTAGCTTGTTGAAACTGTTCAGAGATGCGGTCTTGTGGGCAAATAAATGCCTGTTTAGCTGAGCTGTTATTTTCAGCTAAGAAGTTCTTCAAGTTTTCAAGATCTAGGAGGGGGTGTAGGCTCGAATTATAATGGACCCAGTGTAGCAAAACATTTATTCATTTAAACAATTGTGCATGCTCATTCAGACGCACTACCTGAGTGAGATGATGCCGTTCTGGGCTGCTTCATCTTAAAGAGAGTCACTGTTTCTTCTGGCAACTTCTACCTGCCTTGCCTATCGAGGTTTGTGAATTGCACCTCTGGTTTAATTTCAGGTCGATGGCCAGGTGGTCTTCATAAACTATACTGCCTTGTGATGCCTCCCTAGAAATGAGAGGTGAGTCCCTTCCAAACGAGGATTCTAGGATCTCATGCTTTCTTTTCTTGACAAGGCTTGCCCTGGCCCTCTGACTTTCAAGTCACAGGGTCTCACTTCCTGCAGATTTTTGTTTTAAATCACTGTGGTCTGATTTACCAGTAGCATTCACTACAGTAGCGAGCCTGCACGTTGCGCTGCAGGGGATTCATAACAATACCATCTTTCAAAAGCTGCATGCACTGGAGCTCAGGAAAGCCTTTTTTGTTTTTTTGAGAGGGAGTCTCGCTCTGTCACCCAGCCTGGAGTGCAGTGGCACAATCTCGGCTCATTGCGACCTCCGCCTCCCGGGTTCAAGCGATTCTCCTGCCTCAGCCTCCCGAGTAGCTGGGACTACAGGCACGCGCCATCACGCCCGGCTAATTTTTTTGTATTTTCAGTAGAGACAGGGTTTCACCACGTTGGCCAGGCTGGCCTCGAACTCCTGACCTCAGGTGAGCCACCGCGCCCGGCCTTCAGTTTGGTTTTACAGTGCTTAGCTATGTCTATCACAAGCTCATCTTCTACTGGGAAGCTTTTTGTATAATTGAGTCCAAATGAGATCAGGATGTGCCTAGTGAGCATTGATAGGGCCAAGAGTGAGAGATTTCCCTGCAAAGTATCCTAGGGATCTGCTTGATGGTTTTTTAATTCATGGCTTTCTATGCCCATTACAGCCCTCCCCCTTTCACCCCCACCACCAGGTAGCTCAAGGCAAATTAACCAGGAAAATCATCAAATGTTATTTTTTGTAATAGTAATCACAGTTGACCTTAATTATGCTCAACATAGTAGCAATTGCTTTTTATAAGTATTACTTATTTAACCCTCACAGTAACCCTAAGTATTATTTAATCTTCACAATAATCTAAATAGGTTAGATACTATTGTTATCACTATTTTGACAGATGAGGAAACAGACCCAGCAAGGTTAAGTAGTCTATTCAGCATCACAGTTAATTTGTGGCAAAGCCAAAATTAGAACCCAGAAAGGGTGAATCCAAAGTCCACACCCTTAAGTAGAGCTCTATGAGAACACGTAACTGCTGAGAAACATTTCAGTGGGGATTTACTAGAGGGCGGTAGAGAAACACTCTGCTGTAGGGGAAAGGAGAAAAATAAAATGCCTGGAAAAAGAAGACAGATAAGAACATCTGTCCAGAAAGATAAACCTTATACAGTGAGGGTCTGCCCAAAGCAAGTGAGTCTGCAACCCTTTACATGCCGTTTCCAGTGAAAACTGGAGTAGTGAGGACATTTCCTTCTCGTGTCCTTTAATGTTGAGTAGAGGATGCAGACTCCTTAGAAATGTATCAGATATATAACATTAAGAAAAACTTGAAACAATAATTTTGGGGATTGGTAGAATTTGGGGTTTCTTTGATCTTTCATTAAAGATGAAAAGGGGGCAGGGAGATAGTAGAAGAAAATGATCCATAGAGTTCCAGATAGGGAAACCTCGGTCTGCTCCATTTGAAAGACTCGAAGCATGGATATGAGAGGCTGTAGCATCGTGCACTGGTTCTCCTTTCCGTACTTCTGATGGTTGTGGTTTTTGATCAAGGTCTCAATACCAGCTCAGACCATGTGGACCGCGGATGAGATTGCTCAGCTATGCTATGAACACTATGGGATCAGGCTGCCCAAGAAGGGGAAGCCTGAGCCAAACCATGAGTGGACATTATTGGCAGCGGTGGTGAAGATACAATCTCCAGCTGACAAGGCCTGCGACACCCCTGATAAGCCGGTGCAAGGTGAGACTTTTTCTTCTTGGCATGCTCCTCACTGTGAGAGATGGTAAAATTATGCATTGCTGTACTGTGAGGGTACAGTCGTGGGTAGGGTGTGAACTACGATGTTAGGCATATGTGCTTGTCCTCTGCTAGGTGACGCAGTACCTCTGATGGCGGGAGACCGCCATGCTGGAACCGCAGACCTTGGTTGAGTGGGCCTCTGGGAATCCCCTAGAGGAGTGTGCAGGCTGATCACACCTGAACACCGGGGAACATTCCGTTTCTCAGAACTCACACGATTTGTTTTTTTCCCACAGTGACAAAGGAAGTTGTGTCAATGGGAACAGGAACAAAATGCATAGGACAGTCCAAAATGAGGAAGAACGGTAAGCACGGGTGGGAATCTAAACAAAGATTTAGCTTGAAACCAGTGTCCATGTTTTACTCTCCTTGTCAGGGAAGAGGGGCCATGTCAGTTGAGGTGCATGGCATTTGTTTCCTACTGACTATCAGTCCAGTTGGAAGGACCGTACTCACTTGGAGAATGGAAATCCACCATCAAAGCGGAGGCCTCTAGGAACATGCTTTCCGAATAACTGAAAGTTAACCAGTATTTTCATGCTCAAACCACAGAGTCCCTGGGTTTAGCTATTCCACATTAGGTCTGGAAGGCTTTGGGACTCTATAGCAGGTAGAGGATGCAGCTTGAGTGGCTTCTGAAGCCCAAGAAAGCAATCTTTTTTTTTTTTTTTTTTTTTGACTCGGAGTCTCGCTCTGTCACCCAGGCTGGAGTGCAATGGGGCAATCTCGATTCACTGCTCTGCAACCTCCCCTTCCTGGGTTTAAGCGATTCTCCTGCCTCAGCAGGCACCCACCATCACGCCCAGCTAATTTTTGTATTTTTTTAGAGACGGGGTTTCACCATGCTGGCCAAGCTAGTCTTGAACTCCTGACCTCAGGTGATCTGCCCACATTGGCCTCCCAAAGTGCTGGGATTAAAGGTGTGAGCCACCGCACCTGGTAAGCAATCTTGAATGACAGGAAGCTTTGGGCCTCAACAAGAATATGAAAATTCCTTAGAGATCTGGGGGTTTTTATTTGTCTGTTTCAGTGGTTTTTTTTTTTTTAAGAGACAGGGTCTCACTGAAGTACGGTGGTACTATCATAGCTCACTGCAGCCTTGAACTCCTGGGCTCAAGTGATCCTCCCACTTCAGCTTCCTGAGTAGCTGGACTATAGGTGTGCACAGCTATGCACACCTATGTGCAGCTAATTTTTTTCATTTTTATTTTGTAGAGATTTGGTCTCACTGTGTTAGCCAGGCTGGTCTCAAACTCCCAGCCTCAAGCTATCCTCCTGCCTTGGCCTCCCAAAGTGCTGGGATTACAGGCATGAGCTATTGCGTCCCTGGCCGAGATCTGGGGTCTTTACCTCTTCTAGCTAGCAGGTTCCTCTTTGAGTTGGCTTCTACCATTCTCCTTGCCTTAACCTCCTGTATATGAGGAACCTGTTCCAGGATCACTGTGGATTGGATTAGATGGAATTGTACCACCATGAGCACAAGTAGGATACTTCTGTACAAAAGATCTAGACCTTTGTTCTCCGAATGAGGTTTTTCTATAAATTAATGTTTCTCACCTGGGGGTGATTTGCATCCCAGAGGACATTTCGCAATGTCTAGAGACATTTTTAGTTGTCACAACTGAGGGAGGGGTGCTAGTGTCATCTCATGGGTAGAGGCCAGGAATACTACTAATAAACAGTCTACAGTGTATGGATGGAATAGATCCCCCACAACAAAAAATTTTCTGGCCCAAAATGTCTACAGTGCTGGGTTGAGAAACCCTGCACCTGATGCATTGTTATTCATGATTGTGGTACCTTCTGGCAAAGCTCTCCAGGAGCTACATGACCATCCTGGGTGCTGGTGGGACTGCTGTGTTCTGCTTCTAGGAACCAGACCCTCTCCAGCTTCCATATGTCTTCACCTGGTGTCCTATCTTTGCCGCAGGAGACATCCTCAATGATAGCCATGCTGAGGTCATAGCCAGAAGGAGTTTCCAAAGGTAAAGCCACATCTCCAGAGTATGGTTCAGCAGGACTGGGGTGGGAGTCCCGGAATTTACTTTTTTTTTTTTTTTTGGGGGGGACAGAGTCTTGCTCTGTTGCCCAGGCTGGAGTGCAGTGGCATGATCTCAGCTCACTGCAACCTCCGCCTGCTGGGTTCAAGCAATTCTCCTGCCTCAGCCTCCCAAGTAGCTGAGACTACAGGCCCGTGCCACCATGCTCAACTAATTTTTTGTGTTTTTAGTAGAGATGGGGTTTCACCATGCTGGCCAGGCTGGTTTTAAACTCCTGACCTCATTATCCACACGCCTCAGTCTCTCAAAGTGCTGGGATTACAGGTGTGAGCCACCGCGCCTCACCCAGAATTTACATTTCTAATAAGCTCCTAGGTAATACAGATGATATTAGTCTGTAAACTACACTTTTGAGTAGTAATGTGGTCTAGACTAGTGGTTCTCTCTTTTTTTTTTTTTTTTTTTTTTTTTTGGACACAGGGTCTTGCTCTGTTACCTAGGCTAGAGTGCAGTGATGTGATCTCAGCTCATTGCAGCCTTGGCCTCCTGGGACTCAAGCAAGCCTCCCACCTCAGCCTCCTGAATAGCTGGGGTTACAGGCGCATGCCACCACACCCAGCTAACTTTTCCTGGGTTTTTTTTTTTTTTTAAAGACAGGGTGTCACTATGCTACCCAGGCTGGTGTTGGATTCCTGGGGCTCAAGCGATCCTCCTGCCTCAGCCTCCTAAAGTGCCGGATTTACAGGCATGAGTCACAATCCTGGCCTGGACTAGTGGTACTCAAACTTGATTGTACATCAGAAGAACCTAGAAGGCTTGTTAAAACCCAGATTGCTGAGCCCACCACAGAGATTCTGATTCAGCATATCTAGGGTGGAACCTCAGAAATTGGGTTTCTTCTTTCTTTTTTATTTTTCTAAAAAAAAAAAAAGAAACAAAAATAGAGTCTCACTCTGTCACCCAAGCTGAAGTACAGTGGCAGAATCATAGCTCACTACAGCCTCAAACTCCTGGGCTTAAGCAGTCTTCCTGCCTCAGTCTCCCAAGTAGCTGGGGTTACAGATATGAGCCACCGAGGCCAGTTGAAATTGGAGGTCTAACAAATTCCCAGGTGATGCTGATGCTGCTGGTACAGGGACCACACTTTGAGAATCACTGGTCTAGAGCATTCTCATAATTCCCCATCACTACCAGTCCCATTAGTCTACAGTAAGCTGTCTTAGTAATCACCCAACCAGAGGCTTTCCCCTTACCACAGAGATCGGTTGTTCATCCTAATAACATCTTGCAACCCTTAGGTACCTTCTCCACCAACTCCAGTTGGCAGCCACCCTGAAAGAGGATAGCATCTTTGTCCCAGGAACTCAAAAAGGAGTGTGGAAACTTAGACGAGACCTCATTTTTGTGTTTTTCTCCAGCCATACACCCTGTAAGTATATTCAAGCCTTTGGATTAATGTTACATGAACTACTTCCTTATGTTTGTGTTATCCATAGGTAGGTTTTTTCCTAAAAAGCACTAATGGCTGAAGTAGCCACAGGTAGTCACAAGTAGCCACAAGTAGTGACAGTGCCTTTTTATGACAGGCTAGTGTACCTAATCACTTCTAAAGGTTTCATCTAAAGAGAAGACAGAGGCAAGGGGTGCAGAGTCTCACTCATACTATTAGTCAATTCTCAGAATCAGGATTAGGAGCGTAAGGCTGAAACCTCACAAGATGTGAAGCCAACATGGGGCTTGGAAATCCTATAGTGACTTATCCTAAAACTCATTTCGTTCATTTAGTCATTGAACAAATACTTTCTACTATTTGTCAGGCACGATATGACATACTGAGTATACAGAAATGAATAAGACTAGCATATTGCTTACCTTCATAGTCTTTTAGGAAATGTAGACAGTCATGGTTAGTTAGGGTAAATTTTGGTGGGTTATAAGGGTATGTTCAGGTGCTATGGTTGCATAAGACAGGAAGACCTAGCCTGGGGTGAAGGGGGTGTCATTTCCGTCTTTTGTTTTTCTTTCTTAAAAATTGAAAATAACTTCTACCTTTTGTGGATAACAACTCAGGATGGCAGCAAAATTTTCTCACCCTAAAACCTTTGAAATAAGGATATAAGATTAAACCTTAAAACTTTTAAGCTTTAAAGCTAACACATGCAATTAGAGCAGAGATAAGAAATCACTATGAAGAAATAGAATAGCTGTGTAGATTTGATCATAACTCAAATTGAAAATATAGATACAGCTTAAGAAAGAATGAGGCCAGGCACGGTGGCTCACACCTGTAATGCCAGGACTTTGGGAGTCCGAGGCGGGCAGATCACTTGAGGTCGAGAGTTCCAGACCAGCCTGACCAACATGGAGAAACCCCATTTCTACTAAATATACAAAATTAGCTGGGCATGGTGGTGCATGCCTGTAATCCCAGCTACTCGGGAGGCTGAGGCAGGAGAATCATTTGAACCCGGGAGGCAGAAGTTGCAGTGAGCCGAGATTGCGCCGTTGCACTCCAGCCTGGATGACCCGGCAAGACTCAGTCAAAAAGAAGGGAAAAAAAAAAAAAGAGAGAGAAGAAAGAAAGAGTATGAGAAAAGAGTTTTAAGAGTCAAAGCCCAGAAAAATGACAGGTAGGCAGCACTCATCCTTGCTCTTTTCTTAGCCGTAAGGGCCCTAGTCCAAGGCCCAAAGGTTGTTTCCTAATCAGCTCCTCTCAAGCTGTAATATGCACATGAATCTCCTGAAGAACATGCAGATTGAGATTCATTAGGTCTGGAGTGGGGCCTGAGGTTCTGCATTTCTAGCCAACTCCCAAGGCATGCCAGCAGTGTGGGTCCATAGACCACACATTGAGTAGCTAGGACCGGGGTGATCCCAGTGACAGCTATAGCCTTATTGTGGAGAAAGAAGCATCTGAGGATCACAGCCTGATGGCCTAATCCAAACTTGTCTAACCCACGGCCTGCCTGGCTACATGCAGCCCAGGACAGCTTTGAATGTGGCCCAAGACAAATTCTTAAACTTTCTTAAAACATTATGAGATTTTTCTTGCGATTTTTTTTTTTTTTTTTTTTTTTTTTTTTTTTTTTTAGCTCATCAACTATCGTTTGCGTTCGTGTATTTTGTGTGTGGCCCAAGACAATTTTTATTCTTCCAATGTGGCCCAGGGAAGCCAAAATACTGGACACTTATGTAGTTTGATTATGCCCTTATCAAACTCCTTAAGTCAGTGGTCAACAAACAGGTACTGATCTGTGAGAACAGTCCCTGAAAAAAACCAAGAAAGCTCAAGACTATGTAGTGAATTTTGCAAAACTAATTTCTTTCACTTTAAAGGAAATGAGAGTTTTTTTTTAAGTGATGGCGATTGAATTTTTTTTTTTTTTCTCGATCTCGGCTCATTGCAATCTCCACCTCCCGGGTCCAGGCGATTCTCCTGCCTTGGCCTCCCAAGTAGGTGGGAATATAGGCATGCGCCACCACGCCCGGCTAATTTTTTTGTATTTTTAGTAGAAACAGGGTTTCACCACATTGGCCAGGCTGGTCTCGAACTCCTGACCTCAAGTGATTCGCCCACCTCGGCCTCCCAAAGTGCTGAGATTACAGGCATGAACCACTGCGCCTGGCCGGTAATTGAGATTTTTAAAGATCTTCCTTGATGGAATAAAAAGTTGGCAACCCTCTGTTCATCTTAAAAATCTTCAGGAAATTTTGCTGGTAATCTTTTAAAATGTGATGTCCTCCCATGGTTTGTCTGCAGAGAGAGAGAACATTACCTAGAGAATGTGCCTCTCTGGCTCCCTTGGTATTTACATCCTATGAGTAATTAATAATTTGTTGGCTGGGTTAGCTACTTCAGGCTCTTATGAGTTTTATTAGCATGAGTCAGGCTCTTGCATTCAGGCATTCTGTCAAGATCCAATTTCCAAGCCTGCAGAGTGGGAGATGGACCCTGGTGAGTTCTCCAAAGTCACTGTGACCTTGTGAGGTCTCTGGAAGTCAGCCAGCCAACCTCTCCAGATGTATTCCCACTTCTGTATCTCTTGCCTTTCCCACTCTTGAGTTATAAAGATTACAGATGTATTATTTATACACTTTAGAAAAGCAACACTCATCAGGTTAGTGTTTGAAGAAATCTTTCGCTTCTCAAGGGAGAGCTGTGGTTCTTACTGACCTCTAGTTTTCTTCTGTTTCCTGTAAGGACAGAGGAGGTCAGAAATCTCTAAACCAGCAAGAGGAAACACTGGAAATTTTGGAAACATTGGTTTAGACTAGGTGTGTAATTTACTTTAGAGTCTTTACTGTGGGGCCATGCATCATAAAATCTCCAAGATGGGGAAATTCTGAGCAATGGTTGCCAAATTTCTTTTCCTTTTTTTTTGAGATGGAATCTCCCTCTGTCACCCAGGCTGGAGTGCAGTGGCGCATTCTTGGCTCACTGCAACCTCCACCTCCTGGATTCAAGCGATTGTTCTGCCTTAGCCTCCCGAGTAGCTGGGACTACAGGTGCGCGCCACCACACCCGGCTAATTTTTGTATTCTTAGTAGAGACAGGGTTTCACCATATTGGCCAGGCTGGTCTCGAACTCCTCACCTCGTGATCCGCCCACCTCGGCCTCCCAAAGTGCTGGGATTACAGGCATGAGCCACCGCACCCTGCCTGCCAAATTTCTTTATGAAATAAACCACCCACTTTTGTTTTCCAAAGCATCTTAGGGAATAGCATTTCACAAAATGCACTTGGGAAACCTTGTTCATTCTAAGCCAGTGGTTCTCAGTTTGGAAAGTTTTGCTCCCCAGGAGACTTTTGGCAACATCTGGAGACATTCTTTATTTTCATACTGGGACTGGTAGTCCTATTGGCATTTAGTAGGTAGAGACCAGGTATGCTGCTAAATATTCCGTAATGTACAGGACAGCCGCCACAGCAAACAGTGATACAGTCCAAAGTGTCATTAGTGGCCGGGCACGCTGGCTCACACCTGTAATCCCAGCACTTTGGGAGGCCAAGGTGGGCGGATCACTCGAGGTCAGGAGTCACTTGAGGTCAAGACCAGCCTGGCCAACATGGTGAAACCTCGTCTCTACTAAAAATACAAACATTAGCCAGTCGTGGTGATGTGTGCATGTAATTCCAGCTACTCGGGAGGCTGAAGCAGGAGAATGACTTGAACCCAGGAGGTAGAGATTGCAGTGAGCAGAGATCACCCCACTGCACTCCAGCCTGGGCAACAGAGCCAGACTGCATGTCAAAAAAATGTCATTAGTACCGTGGTTGAGAAACCCTGGTCTAAACCCATTTTTCCAAAAATTCCTAGTGATAAAAATTAGCTCAGATCTTTGTTAAAATATTCCATTTTGCATGCCCTTCTCCAGAAATTCCAACTCACTGGGTCCAGGATAGAGTCTTCAACAAGAGCCCTAGAGGATTCTTATTAGGGAATTGTGTGCATGTGCTCTTAACTCATCTCAGGTCAGCTGGGAGAATAGATGAAGTCAGTAGTTCTCAAACTTGAGCTTGCATCAGAATCACCTGGAGAGCTTGTTAAAAACACACTGCTGGGCTCTGCCTCCGGAGTTTCTGATTCAGCAGGTCTACTGTGGGTCCCAAGAGTTTGCATTTCTGATGAATTCCCAAGAGATCCCATTGTGGCTGGTCCAGGGACCTCACTTGAGAACCATTTGTTTAAGTGGGTTCATTCTCTGCAGGTGGGGATGCCTCCATCATTCCGATGCTTGAGTTTGAAGATCAGCCTTGCTGTCCTGTCTTCAGAAATTGGGCCCACAACTCATCAGTAGAAGCCAGTAGTAACCTGGAAGCTCCTGGAAATGAAAGAAAATGTGAAGACCCTGACAGTCCTGTAACCAAAAAGATGAGGCTTGAGCCTGGGACTGCAGCCAGGGAGGTCACCAACGGAGCAGCTCACCATCAGAGTTTTGGCAAGCAGAAAAGTGGCCCAATCTCACCAGGCATCCACAGCTGTGATCTCACTGTAGAGGGACTGGCTACTGTCACCAGAATAGCCCCTGGTAGTGCCAAAGTGATAGACGTTTATAGAACTGGAGCCAAGTGTGTACCTGGAGAAGCTGGAGACTCCGGAAAGCCGGGTGCTGCGTTTCACCAGGTGGGGCTGCTCCGAGTGAAGCCAGGCCGTGGAGACAGAACACGCTCCATGTCCTGTAGTGACAAGATGGCCCGATGGAACGTCCTCGGATGCCAAGGGGCACTGTTGATGCACTTGCTGGAAGAGCCCATCTACCTGTCAGCTGTGGTCATTGGGAAGTGCCCATACAGCCAGGAAGCCATGCAGAGAGCACTGATTGGAAGGTGAGAGGGTAGGGAGGGCTCAATTGGAACAGTCATTCCAAGAGGCAGTCTGAGGGTAAGGCCTAAGAGCATTAAGAATCTCCATACCTTTTGATCCAGCAGTTCCACTTCCAGGAATTTGTCTTAAGGAAATAATTAAAGTATTTGAACATTTAGCTTTGTATATAATTTTTTTTTGTTTTTTAGAGACGGAGTCTTGCTCTGTCACCCAGGCTGGGGTGCAATGGCGTGCTCTGGGCTCACTGCAGCCACCGCCTCCTGGGTTCAAGTGATTCTCCTGCCTCAGCTTCATGAGTAGCTGGGACTACAGGCATGCGCCACCACGCCTGGCTAATTTTTGTATTTTTAGTAGAGACGGGGTTTCACCATGTTGGTCAGGCTGGTCTCAAACTCCTGACCTCAGGTGATCCACCCACCTCGGTCTCCCAAAGTGCTGGGATTACAGGTGTGAGCCACCGCGCCCGGCTAATAATTTTTTTAAAGAAGAAAAGTAAACAACTGAAATGCCCAGTAATAGGAAATTAAGTGTTTTCTTTGTTGTTAAAAATAGTATTGATGAATGGCTGGGCATGGTGGCTCACGACTGTAATCCCAGCACTTTGGGAGGTCGAGGGGGGCGGATTGCTTGAGCACAGAAGTTCTAGACCAGCCTAGGTAACATGAGGAAACCCCGTCTTTACAAAAAATACAAAAACTAGCCAGATGTGGCACGCACCTGTAGTCCTAGAATAGGGCAGCTGAGGCAGGAGGATCACCTGACCCTGGGAAGATTGAGGCTGCAGTGAACCAAGGTCATTCCACTGCACTCCAGCCTGGGTGACAGACCCTGTCTCAAATAAAATAATAATATTTATGAATATTTAATATGGAAACATGTCTATACTGTTTAAAGAACAGTTTAGAAGATAAAAAGCCAATTTTGGTCTTAAAGTACATCCACACATAAGAAAAATTATAAGAGGATGAGCGCTAAGGTATTATTAATAATCTCTGAGTTGTATTATGGGTGGTTTTTTTCTTCTTTGTTTTTAATATATTTTCTGATTTTTCTACAGTGCACATACATTGCCATTATATATGTTTTTTAACCCTAAACATTAGTTTGGGGCTTTCAGAATGTTTTTGTAGTGACAAGGTTTCACTGGGTCTCACCCAGACTGGAGTGCAGTGGTACAATCATAGTTTACTACAGCCTCCAGTTCCTGAGCTCAAGTGATCCTCCTGCCTCAGCCTCCTGAATAGCTAAGATTACAGGCATAAGCCACCACACTTGGCTGATTTTTAAATTTTTTTTGTGGAGACGGGGTGTTATTGGGTTACCCAGGCTGGTCTTGAACTCCTGGCCTTAAGTAATTCTCCCACCTTGGCCTGCCACAGTGTTGGGATTATAGGTGTGAGCCACCTCACCCAGCCCTAAACATTAGTTTTAATTTTTTTAAAGTTAAAAGTCAAAAGATGACCACTCAAGTGTGGTCTCCCTAAAGGAGGCAGCCAAACTCAGTGCTATAGGAAATGAGGGCAGGGCAAAGCCATGGCCAGGGCAAGCCTCATAGGCCCATATCAAATGTGAAGCCTCAAGATATGGTCCAGCAATTCCACTCCTAGGTACAACCCAAAATAAATGAAAACATACATTCACACAAGTAGGCCAAGTACAGTAGCTCATGCCTGTAATCCTAGCATCTTGGGAGGCCATGTCACGCAGATTGCTTGAGTCCAGGAGTTCAAGACCAACCTGGTCAACATGAGGAAACCCTGTCTCTACAAAAAATACAAAACTCAGCCAGGTGTGGTGGCACACACTTGTAGTCCCATCTGCATGGGGAGCTGATGTGGGAGGATCACCAGAGCCACGGGATGTTGAGGCTGCAGTGAACCGTGATTTCACCACTGCACTCCATCCTAGACAACAGAGTGAAACCCTGTCTCCAAAAAAAAAAAAAAGTGTATATGTATATAACAAAAACCTGTACATAAATGTTCACAACAGCATTATTCATAATAAACAAAAAGACAAATGTCCATTAGTGGATGAATGGATAAATCAAATGTGATATATCCATACAATGGACTATGATTCAGCTATAAAAACGACTGAAGTACTATTACATGCTGCAGCATGGATGAACTTGAAAATATAATGCTAAGTGAAAGAAATCACATATTGTATAATTTTATTTGTGTAATATCTAGAACAGGCAAATCCATAAAGACAGATAATAGCTTAGTAGTTACCACAGGCTAGGTGCTGTGGCTCATGCCTGTAATGCCAGCACTTTGGGAGGCTGGAGTGGGAGGATCGCTTGAGCCAAGGAGTTCAAGACCAGCCTAGGCAATATGGCAAAATCCCATCTCTACAAAAAATTTAAAAATTAGTCGGACATGATGGTGCATGCCTGTAGTCTCAGCTACTTGGGAGGTGGAGGTGGGAGGATCGCTTGAGACCAGGGGGCAGAAGTTGCAGTGAGCCGAGATCATGTGACTGCACTCCAGTCTGAGCAACAGAGACCCTATCTCAAAAAAACAAAAAATTTAAGTGGTTACCAGGGAATAGAGAGTGAATGCTAATAGGTACGAGGTTTCTTTCTGGGGTGATGAAAATTCCTTAAATTACATTACCATGATAGTTGTACAGTTCTATGAATATACTAAAAACAATTGAATTATCCACTTTAAATGAGTACATTTTATGGTATGTGAACTATATCCCTATAAAGATGTTGGTTTTTTGTTTTTTTTTAAAAAAGCCAACCCTAGGCACTGTGCCTGGGATGTTTTCTGTTTTTCCTATTCTGGTACTTGCAGTTGCTATCTGCTTCATTCTAGACCAGCATCATGTTGGCATCTAGTTTGTTCAAAGATACAAGAGAAAAAAATGAAGCTTTTATATTATAGGATAATTTTGGGTTTTGGTGTGTTTGAAGGATTCCCTAGGAAGCAGGTGCCAACACATTAATGTTTCTGCTTAAACTTTTCAAGTTTCTCAAAGCCTATATCAGGAATGGAGTTTGGTGTTACATCCCTGAAGGGTGTTGACTTGATTCTTAGTTATCCCTGCAGATTGAGGGAGAAGGATCTTCTTCCAGCCATGAGGTGCTTACAATCTTGATTCTATTCTGAAACACTGTCTGCCCAAATAAATAAACAAATCCCCACACCTGCTAAGGCTCAGGGGTGATGATGTGAGCCACAATCCTAGATACTGTTTTCTCTAGGCATGCACCTAAACTGAATGCATTTTCCCTTGTATTTAGGTGTCAGAATGTGTCTGCTTTACCAAAAGGCTTCGGAGTTCAAGAATTAAAAATACTGCAGTCAGATTTACTATTTGAACAGAGCCGCAGTGCGGTGCAGGCAAAAAGGGCTGATAGCCCAGGTCGACTTGTTCCTTGTGGGGCAGGTAAGAGATCCAGGTTAGACCTGCCCTGGAGTAACTGCTCCCCTGACTGAGAGTGGCCCCAGAGGGTCGGCATCCTCCCAGCCTAGGAAGGTAGTTCACCACTCTAGTGGCCGGTAGTGTGGGCTTTAGAGACACCCATAGTGGGTCACGTTTATGCTCTTGTGACCCCCGGCATGTTATTTACCCTCCCTTGGCCTCAATTTCTTTGTCTTCAGATTAGAAGAATATCATTTATCAGGGTTATTGGGAAGATTCAGTGAGAAATTCTGTTTAATGCATTTACTCTGTGCCCAGCAAATAATAAATGCTCAGTGATTGTTAGCTATCATAATAATAATGAATTATGAACCACTTAGACTACTGTACCCTGGAGGCCAAGCATCCAATAGCAGTCATTGTCTGTGACATCATATCCAGCTCTCATGGGTCTGTAGAGTCAGAGAAATATTTTTATTAAAATACTTCTGACTTTCACAAGAAATTGAGCAGTTTTAACCCTAGAATCTTATCTTTTCATAGCCATCAGCTGGAGTGCAGTTCCTGAGCAGCCTTTGGATGTTACTGCCAATGGCTTTCCACAGGGAACAACAAAGAAAACAATTGGAAGCCTTCAGGCAAGGTACAGCATATTGGGGCAGGAGGAGATGGTGGCTGTGAACTCACACTCTACCACTATCTAATTCTAGAACATTTTTATTACCCCAAAAAGAACAACCATACCCATTAGCAGTCACTACCTATCCCTCCCTCTCCTCATCCCTTGGAAACCTCTAATTTACTTAATTTACTTCCTGTCTCCGTGGATTTGTCTAGTCTGGACATTTTCTATCATTGGAATCCTACAGTATATGACCTTTTGTATCTGGCTTCTTTCACTTAGCATAGTGTTTTGGAGGTACATCCTGAGGTAGCTGTATCAGTACTTCATTACTATTCATGACTTGAATAATATCCCATTGTGTGGATATACCACATTTTGTTTGCCATTCGTTCATGAATGGACGTTTGGGTTGTTTCACTCTTTGGCTATTGTGAATAGTGCTGCTGTGTAGAACTATGAACATTTCATGTACCACTTTTTGCATGGCCATATGTTTTCAATTTTCTTGGGTATACCTAGGAGTAGTGTTACTGGGTCATATGGTAATTGTTATGTTTAACTTTTTTGAGGAACTGCTAAACTGTTTTCCATAGCAGCTGTACCATTTTACGTTCTACCAACAATGTATTAGAGTTCCAATTATCCTGAATCCTTTACAACACTTGTTATTGTCTTTTTTATTGTAGTCATTCTAGTGGGTATGAAATGGTATCTCATTACAGTCTTTTTTTTTTTTTTTTGAGATAGAGTCTTGCTCTGTCACCTGGGCTGGAGTTCAGTGGCGTAATCTTGGCTCACTGCAACCTCCGCCCCTGGGGTTCAAGCGATTCTCCTGCCTCAGCCTTCCTAGTAGCTGGGACTGTAGGCATGTTCTACCACACCGGCTAATTCTTGTATTTTTAGTAGAGAGGGGTTTCGCCATGTTGGCCAGGCTGGTCTCAAACTCCTGACCTCAAGTGATCCACCCGCCTCAACCTCCCAAAATGCTGGGATTACAGGTGAGAGCCATCTCACCCGGCCTCATTACAGTTTTTATTTGCATTTACATTTCCCTAATGACAAACGGTGTTGAGCATCTTTTTATGTACTTATTAGCCATTTATCTCTCTACAGCCTCGCAAGTAGCTGGGACTACAGATGCCCGCCACCACGCCCAGCTAATTTTTTTTTGCATTTTTAGTAGAGACGGGGTTTCACTATGTTGGCCAGGCTGGTCTTGAATTCCTGACCTTGTGATCTGCCCACCTCAGCCTCCCAAAGTACTGGAATTACAGGCGTGAGCCACCATGTGCTGCCTATAACTGGTAGTTTTTGAGTGTTCACTTATTGAGGTCTTCTTACATATATTTCAGCAAGTTTTATAGCTTTATATAAATCTTTCACATCTTGTATTAGATTTATTCCTTAAATGTATGTTAGTTATCTGTTTCTATGTAACAGATTACCCCCAAAATAACAGCTTAAAACAACAATATACATTTATTATTTCACATAGTTATGTGGGTCTGGAATTGAGGAGCTTAGCTAAGTAATTAGCTTAGCTCAGCAATTTATGAAATTGCAGTC
The DNA here is from genome assembly GCF_000001405.40 of Homo sapiens. Lineage (NCBI taxonomy): Eukaryota > Metazoa > Chordata > Mammalia > Primates > Hominidae > Homo > Homo sapiens. Next base: position 75,606,675 of record NC_000016.10, on the reverse strand, counting down.
CATTATGGCAGCCAGGGCTGCAGTCATCTGAAGACTTGACGGGGGCTCAAGGATCCTGTTCCAAAATGGTTACCTTGCATGGCTGACAGATCAGTGTCAGCTGTTGGCAGGAGGCTTCAGTTCCTTATAACAAGGACCTCTCCACAAGGCTACCAGAGTATTCAGCTTCACGACTCAGTGGCTGGCTCCCCACAGAACAGGCAATCCAAGAAAGCAAAGCAGAAGCCACAGTGTCTTTTATGACCTAGCCTCAGAAGCCAGAGCCTATCTGTAATATCTTAATGGTTATTCAGATCAGCCCTATTACGTATGGGAGGGGATTGCTAAGGGGCATGAATACCAGGAGGCAAGAATCACTGGGGACCATTCTGGAGTTTGGCTATCACAGATGCTATTTTAGATAGCTTTTTATCCCGTTTTCTGGTTATTACTGTTGCAATTAAGCTTTTGTTCCTCTTTGTGGCAATTACTGTTGGTTGCTAGATAAAAACACTAACCTTACCATTATCACTAGAATAATAATTGTACTCCTATAATCCCAGCACTTCGGGAGGCTGAGGTGGAGGATTGCTTGAAGCCAGGAGTTCGAGACCAGCCTGGGCAACAAAATGAGACCCCCCCCCCAATCTCTAAAAAACAAACAACAGCAACAACAACAAAAACCCAAAAGAATGATAATTCTAATTAGTCTGGGAATGCTTTTGGGATTTGGGGATTTTTTTTTTTTTTTTTTTTTTTGAGACAGAGTTTCACCCTTACCGCCCAGGCTGGAGTACAGTAGCACGATCTTGGCTCACTGCAACCTCTGCCTCCCAGGTTCAAGCAGTTCTCCTGCCTCAGCCTCCCGAGTAGCTGGGATTACAGGCGCCTGCCATCTCACCCAGCTATTTTTTTGTATTTTTAGTAGAGACGGGATTTTGCCATGTTGGGCAGGCTGGTCTTGAACTCCTGACCTCAGGTGATCCACCCGCCTCAGCCTCCCAAAGTGCTGGGATTACAGATATAAGCCACCACACCCAGCCTTTTTCGGGATTTTTTAAATGTAGATCATCATATACAAATACAGCTGACTTTTCAACAATGTGGGTGTTAGTGGTGCCGACCCACCTTGCAGTCAAAAATCTGCATATAACTTTTGGCTCTGCAAAAACATCAAGCCTATTGTTGACCAGAAGCCTTGACATAAACAATTAACACGTATTATGTATGTTATGTGTATTATATACATATTCTTAAAATAAAGCAAACTAAAAAAAGAAAATGTTATTAAGAAAATCATAAGGAATAGGCCAGGTGCTGTGGCTCACGTCTGTAATCCCAGCACTTTGGGAGGCCGAGGCAGGCAGATAACCTGAGGTCAGGAGTTCAAGACCAGTGTGGCCAACATGGCGAAACCGTCTCTACTAAAAATACAAAAATTAGCTGGGCGTGATGGTACGTGCCTGTAATCCCAGCTACTTGGGAGGCCAAGGCAGGAGAATTGCTTGAACATAGGAGGCAGAGGTTGCAGTGAGCCGAGATCACGCCACTGCACTCCAGCCTGGGCCACAGAATGAGACTCCATTTCAAAAACAAAAAAGAGAAAAGAAAATCATAAGGAATAGAAAATACATTTATTCATTAAGTGGAAGTGGATCATCATAAAGGTCTTTATCCTCATGATCTTCATGTTGAGTAGGCTGAGGAGGAGGAGAAGAAGAAGAGGGTTTGGTCTTGCTAGTTGCAGAGGCAGAAGAAAATCTATGTGTAAGTGGACCCACACAGTTCAAACCTGTGTTGTCCAAGGGTTAACTGTAGTGTTTCTTTCCAGCCTTCTGTTCCTTTTATTTCTCTTACTGTGTTGACTAGAACTGACAATATCAAAATCATCTGCAGATGATGACTTGGTTTTTGTTTTTCACTTTTCTTTCTTTTCTGTCCTGCTGGCCAGAACCTTCTGTATAATGTTGAATAAAAGCGGTGATAGCAAGTCCCCCTTGTCCTATTCCTGATTTTAAGGACATATATTTGCTATAGGTTTTTTATAGTTGCGCTTTATAAATTTAAGTACTCTTCCCGAGTCCTAGTTTGCCAAAAGGTTTTTAATCAAAGGATGTTGAATTCTACCAAATGCTTTCTTTGCGTATATTTTCCCCATAATTATATATATGTATATATGTGTGTGTGTGTGTGTGTGTGTGTGTGTGTGTGTGTGTGTGTGTATATATATATATATATATTTTTTTTTTTTTTTTTTTTTTTTTGAGACAGAATCTCACTCTGTCACCCAGGCTGGAGGGCACTGGGACAGTCTTGGCTCACTGCAACCTCTGCCTCCTGGGTTCAAGTGATTCTCGTGCTTCAGCCTCCTGAGTAGCTGGGATTACAGGCATGCGCCACCACTCCCAGCTAGTTTTTGTATTTTTAGTAGAGATGGGGTTTCACCATGTTAGCCAGGCTGGTCTCGAACTCCTGACCTCAGGTGATCTGCTCATTCACCTCAGCCTCCCAAAGTGCTGGGATTACAGGCATGAGCCACTGTGTTTGGCCATCCCTAATTACATTGTTCTTCTTTAATTTGTTCATGAGAGTTCCATTAATTTTTGCTTTGTTTTCATGCTAAAGTGGCCTCATCTTCCTGAGTGCCAGCAGCCACTCCAGCTAAGGCCCTGGGAGAGCAGTGTCTGAGTGCTCAGGGTTCCCCTTTAAGCAGCAATTCCTGAAGTAGGCTAGGTTCCAGCCAGGTAAGGGAGATTTTGGACAGACTCCATAATTCCCTATTTTACATGTAGCAGTGATGGTCACTGTGTCCAAGCTGAGGGTGTGATCTGCTAGGATGATGCAGAGTGTGGTGTGTAAAAGTGAGACTGCACATTGTTGGTATACACAGCATTTCCCAATTTCTAGATGCAGCTCATGAATTGTATACATGAGGGAAAAGAAGGCAACCACGAAGGTCTGGGTGGGCTTATAAAGTAGTCAACACTCACCTCCTTAAGTATTCCAAACCATGACCTCCACCCAGAATTTTGTTGTTTAGGAGCAAACGCTTGTTCTCCAAAGGCCTGTGATGCCCATGGCAGGAGTCCAGGGATTCTGCCTCAGGTGGCTCGTCCAAGTGGATTTTATAATGACAGTTCACACAGGGAACAGCACTCAGATCTCTGAAACAAAGCTTTCCATTTCTTGTAAACCCATAGGGGCCAGCACCCTTGAAAGGATTTAGCCAGAAGTGTCTTACAGATATCCTGGGGCAAAATTTCGTAATTGCACCTCAGGGTACCCGTTTGGGCTTGTTACTTTAATGATCCCATGGCTGATGGCATTTCTTAAGGTTAGACTCGTTTTTATACCTCAACCTAATCAGACATCCAGGTCTGGATTTTCTCCTCACCAAGTACAGGTGAAAATGAGGGGCTCTGGCACCTTCAAACCTAAAAACCACATGAAGCCTGGCATCTTTGATAGGGGCTTAGAACATACTAAACACTTAATAAATCATCTTTGCCTTCTTTTTCCAAACAGATCCCAAATCAGCAAAGTGGAACTCTTCAGATCATTCCAGAAGCTGCTAAGCAGAATTGCAAGGGACAAGTGGCCACACTCCCTCAGGTGATGCTGTTGACCTATGTTTTCTCATATTTAGGTAGACAACTGTTTTGATTCTGGCTTCTGAGTAGCAAGAAGCTTTGGCAGGAGTGGTGGTTCAGCAAGCCAGTGGCACTTATTGTTGACCACAAGTTCTTCTTTCCCCATAGCCCTATTTGCAGATACGTGCATGATCTGAGATGCAGAGGATGGGTAGTTTGGTGGTATAGAGTTATAAAAAACTAAGGATAGAACTGGGGCTTGGCCATTCCAGGCCCTCCTTTGATTCCACCTCTAGATGGAGATCACTGTGGAAATGGGAGTGCTCTAAGAGCAATATATTCTGTTACAAGTGTTACTCCTCTTTTCCTTTTGAACTTGCAGCTCCATGACTTAAATTGCTCTTCAAACAAAAATTCAAAGAACTTTAAAACCACTCTTGGGAACAGGTAGATGGGTGCAGTGACATTCTGACAGTGACCACCTAGATTTAGGTGAAGTTTCACAGGTGAAGGACACAGTTCCCACTAAACTGTCTTCATTTCAAACAACTACCACAAGTTAAGGAAAGCCCCAAACCACCCATACTTCTGACCAACTGGCTACAAATTTGAGTGTCTCCACTCCCCTTCACGTTCAGTCATTCACTAGAACATCTCTCAGAACTCAGAAAAGCACTATAGTTGCCATTAAAGTTTTATTATGAAGGCTACAGATCAGTACTAGCCAAAAGGAGAGAGATATAGGGTAAGATATGGGAGGGTCGCAAAGGCAGAGCTTCCATGTCCTCAGGACATATCACCTTCCCAGCACATTGCTGCGCATCACCAACTAGGAATCTCACTCAGACATCAGTGTCCAAAGTTTTTGTTGGAGTTTCATTAACTATTATGACTGATTGAATTATTGGCCACATGATGTGATTGAACTTAATCTCCAACCTCCTCCTCTCCCAAGAGTTCAAACTGATATCACGTGTCTCAGAGCCCTAATTCTCTACATGGTTGGTCTTTCTGGCATGGCCGGTATCATCCTGAAACTATCTCGGGGGCCCACCATGAGTCACCTGGTTAAACAGAAACTCACGTGTGATCAGCGAGATCTACCATGCAGGACAAAGACACTTGCAGAAACTCCAAAGCTTAGAGGCTCCCGGGAACTGGTGACAAAGACCAAGTGAATCCTTCATTATATGACAGTGGGGAAACTAAGGAGTAGCTAGAAACTTCTATATGAAGAGGCATCGCCATCATGCATACTGAAGTGATGGATCTGTGGTCAGTTGGCTTCTTTCTTGGGTTTCCATATATTCTATATGTCAAATCTGAATTTAGGTGAGGAGATACTTCTAAGGCAGAGTTTTGCTCCTGTTAACCAGGCTGGAGTGCAGTGGCACAATTTCAGCTCACTGCAGCCTCCGCCTCCCAGGTTCAAGTGATTTTCCTGCCTCAGTCTCCAGAGTAGCTAGGATTACAGGCACCCGCCACCACGCCCGGCTAATTTTTGGTATAGTTAGTAGGGACGGGGTTTCACCATATTGACCAGGCTGGTCTTGAACTACTGACCTCGGGCGATCCACCTGCCTCAGCCTCCCAAAGTGCCAGGATTACAGGCGTGAGCCACCGCCTGGCATGTATGTATGTTTGTTTGTTTGTTTGTTTTTGAGACAGGGTAGCTGAGACAATTAAGGGAAGTGTTGCATGTGACCAAGAGCCTGGTTTGTAGTAGGGTTTTGATAACTAGTAGTTACTGTATTTTTTTTTTTTTGAGACAGTGTCTTGCTCTGTCGCCCAGTCTGTGTAGTACAGTGGCACAATCGTAGCTTACAGGAACCTCCGCTTCCTGGGTTCAAGTGATTCTCCTGCCTCAGCCTCCCAGGTAGCTGGGACTACAGGTGCCTGCCACCACGCCCGGCTAATTTTGTATTTTTAGTAGAGATGGGGTTTCACCATGTTGGCCAGGCTGGTCTCAAACTCCTGACCTCAGGTGATCCGCCTGCTTCGGCCTCCCAAAGTGCTGGGGTTACAGGTGTGAGCCACCATGCCTGGCCTAGAAAACTTTTAAACCAAAAAAGTAGACAGTTGTTTTTATTTTATCTGATTCCACTAGGACCATAGAAACCTAGAATTCTGTTCATTCTTAACTGTTTTAATTCATGTTGCTTTCTCGTGAATTCCCTACAAAGGAGACAGAGTTGCTCTAGGAAAGTGTCAAAAGTCAAAATAAAAATGTAAAGATAAATCTCTAAATTTAATATTTTATTTGGGATACAAGAAATTCAAGACATACAGACTGGGTGGTCTTCAATATGTCTGAAGAACAAAGGGAAGGTTAGAGGTTTTATTTTTCAAAAAAGAAATGTAACATATTGTTGAAGAAGGTTCATTGACATGAGTAAAGTGAGGAGCTGCCAAGTGATGGCACTGGGTAAAACTATTCTTAAAGTCTGCAGCAGGTTGGTTCAGTAGCTGTTAGATAAAACTGGCAGGCAGTTTTAGCAGCCAGGCTTGCAGAGAATGCATTCTTGGAGCAATGTTATGCGCCCTGAGTGTTTTTTACCCCTGGCTTCTCAACTCTGTTTCAGTTGAGTATGACAAGAATAACGTAGTTTGTATGATCAACTTTCACAAAAGCATACTGAACTCCTTCTCTACCTAAGTCTCATTACAAGTCTGTCCAGTTGCTTGCTCAGGTGTCTGGTGGCCCCTGGGGTGGGCTATTCAATGAGAACCTGTGTATTTGGTGGCCTGTGTGCATTAGGGTGCAGAAGCTGGATACCTACCAGGAGTACAAGGAGGCTGCGTCCTCTTACCAGGAAGCCTGGAGCACACTCCGGAAGCAGGTGTTTGGATCCTGGATCAGAAACCCACCGGATTATCACCAGTTCAAGTGAGAAGGAAATGTTTGCTCTGGTAGCAGGACCCTTCATCCTGAACTGCCTTCCTCCACGCAGGACAAGTCTTAGCTTTTTTGGTAGTTAAATCAGGGAACATTCTTTCTGAGCTTTGCATCTCTGTTGTGTAATACAGATGGAATCTGGAACTTAGAGCAAGCTATACTTGATTGAAGTAGCTCTCTGCTAAAATGGCATCTCACTAATGACCTCACTATCTGACTTCCATTGTGTTTTATTGCTTCTCTAAAATATGAAATCAGAGTTTGGAACATGATGCTTTGAAAGTACTCTGCAGCAGCTCTGTTTTATGGGTTCCTACATTGATTCAGCAAATATTTATTGAGCTGAAATGATGTTTGACGCTCTGCAAGTTTTACAGCTTTGCCTAGCATAGCGAATATATATTTTGTATTCCCAGCCTTTCTTTCTTCAGGGAGCCATTCTTTTCCCATTCTTCAGTGATCCTGCTCTGTGCCTCAGACTTGGCTGAAGCTAACCTTACTCCCTGGCTCTAGGAATAGCCTGTGAGCCAGCCCTGGACTGCCCTGGACTTGTTCTCAGAGGTATCAGGAAAGGCTTTCTGTTTTGATCTGGAGCTGTAAGGGTCACATAATCATGGGACTGCCGGTGGCCATCTTTTCCTACTACCTAGAGAAAGCCAGCAAAGAATGAAGGCAACAAAGGAAACAGCCAAGAGAATCAAAGATCTAGTAACACTGTTTAGATGTCTCAATTATGTGAGACAGATTCCTGTTGTTATTTTGATTAAGCCTGTTTGTGTTGGTTTTCTGACTTACAATTGAAAGAGTTCTGTCCAAAAAGCCAAAAGGTGGCCAGGCTTGGTGGCTCAGGCCTGTAATCCCAGCACTTTGGGAAGCCCAGGCAGGCAGATCACTTGAGGTCAGGAGTTCAAGACCAGCCTGGCCAACCTGGTGAAACCCTGTCTCTACTAAAAATGCAAAAACTAGCCGGGCATGGTGGCGCACACCTGTAATCCTAGCTACTCGGGAGGCTGAGGCAGGAGAATTGCTTGAACCCAGGAGGCGGAGGTAGTGGTGAGCAAAGATCGTACCGCTGCACTCCAGCCTGGGTGATAGAGCAAGACCCTATCTCAAAAAAAAAAAAAAAAAAAAAAAAAGAAGCCAAAAGGCCCTGCAGCAAATCAGCAATAGACCCAGCAGCCAATCCTGTTTTAACATCGAATGTTTAACACTCAACTTCAGACCTTGAATGATTGACTGAAAATGGAAGCTCCCATGTTGGGGTTACTCAAGGTCCTTATTGGTTCTTCAGCATTTTGTGGCTATAAATATTTTTAAATAACAGTTGTATTGAGATATAATTCACAGACCATAAAATTCACCCAACTAAAGTATACATTTTAAAAGTTTTTAGGCCGGGCACGGTGGCTTACGCCTGTAATTCCAACACTTTGGGAGGCTGAGGCAGGCAGATCACCTGAGGTCAGGAGTTCGAGACCAGTCTGGCCAACATGATGAAACCCCGTCTCTGCTAAAAATACAAAAATTAGCCGGGCATGGTGGTGCACGCCTGTAGTCCCAGCTACTTGGGAGGCTGAGGCAGGAGAATCACTTGAACCTGGGAGGCGGAGGTTGCAGTGAGTCAAGATCATGCCATTGCACTCCAGCCTGGGTGACAGAGTGAGATCCTGTCTCAAAAAAAAAAAAAAAAAATTTTTTTAGTATATCCACAGAGTTGTGCAACCATCAATTTTAGAACATTTTCATCACAAATTTTGTGCCTGTAATAGTTTCCTAGAGCTGTTTCTTAACGAAGTACCACAAGCTGGGTGGCTTAAGACAACAGAAATGTATTCCTGGCCGGGTGCAGTGGCTCACGCCTGTAATCCCAACACTTTAGGAGGCCGAGGTGGGCAGATCACGACGTCAGGAGATCAAGACCATCCTGGCCAACATGGTGAAGCCCCTTTCTACTAAAAATACAAAAATTAGCCAGGTGTATTGGCGCACGCCTATAGTCCCAACTACTCAGGAGGCTGAGGCAGAAGAATCTCTCAAACCCAGGAGGTGGAGGTTGCAGTGAGCCAGGATCGTGCCACTGCACTCTAGCCTGGGTGACAGAGCAAGACTCCATCTCAAAAAATAAGAAGAAAAGACTGTATCCCCTTTCAGTTCTGGAGGCTAGAAGTCCAAACAGGTTGTTGGTGGGGCTTCTGCTTCCTCTAAAAGCTTTAGGGCAGGGGCCCCCAGCCCCAGAGCCACAGACCATTACTTGTCTGTGGCCTGTCAGGAACAAGGTCACACAGCAGGAGATAAGTAACAGGTGAGCACTTGAAGTTTCATCTGTATTTATGGCTGCCCCCCATCGCTCACATTTCTGCCGTAGCTCCTCCTCCTGTCATACCAGCAGTGGCATTAGATTCTCATAGGAGCGTGAATCCTATTGTGAACTGTGCATGCAAGGGATCTAGGTTGCACACTCCTTATGAGAATATAATGCCTGATGATCTGTCAGTGTCTTCCATAACCCCCATATGGGACTGTCTAGTTGCAGGAAAACAAGCTCAGGGCTCCTACTGATTCTACCTTATGGTGAGTTGTATAATTATTTCATCATGTATTACGATGTAATAATAATAGAAATACAGTGCACAGTAAATGTAATTCACTTCAGTCATCCCGAAACTATCCCCCTATCCCCACCCCGGATCTGTGGAAAAATTATCTTCCATGAAACCAGTCCCTGGTGCCAAAAAGGTTGGGGACTGCTGCTCTAAGGAAGACTTTTTCGTGCCTTGGGGACTGCTGCTCTGAAGAAGACTCTTTCATGCTTCCTCCTTAGCTTCTGATGGCTCCTGGCAGTCCTTGGCTTGTGGCTGCATCACTTCAGTTTCTCCCTCCGTCTTCACATGGCCTTCTGTGTCTGTGTCTCGCATGGCCTTCTTCCCTGTGTCTGTGTCTTTCCATGGCCTACTTATAAGGACCCCAGTAATTGGATTTAGGGCCTGCCCTAATCCAGTCTGATTTCATCTTAACTAACTAGATCTGCAAAGACTCTATTTCCAACTAAAGTCACATTCTGAGGTTTCAGGTAGACATGAAGTTTTGGGGGACACCACTCAACCCATTGCAGAACCCATTAGCAGTCACTTCCCGTTCCTCAACGCCCCCTACCCCAGGGCAATCAGTAATCTACTTTCTGTCTGTTTGGATTTGTCTATTCTGAACATTTCATATAAATGGAATCATAGAATATGTGGTCTTTTGTGACTGGCTTCTTTCACTTAACATGTTTTCAAGATTTATGTTGTAGCATGAATCAGTACTTTATTACTATTTATGGAATAAAAATCAGTTGTATGGATATAAATGTTTTGTTTATCCAGTCATAAGTTGTTGGACATATGGGTTGTTTTCACTTTTTGGGTCTTGTACATAGGGTTTCTATGAACATTTGTGTACAAGTTTTTGTGTGAACATATATTCTTTTTTTTTTTTTTTTTTTTTTTTTTTTTTTTTAGATGGAGTCTTGCTCTGTTGCCCAGGCTGGAGTACAGTGGCACAATCTTGGCTCACTGCAAGCTCTGGATTCACGCCATTCTCCTGCCTCAGCCTCCCGAGTAGCTGGGACTACAGGTGCCCGCCACCACGCCCAGCTAATTTTTTGTATTTTTTGTAGAGACGGGGTTTCACCGTGTTAACCAGGATTGTCTCGATCTCCTGACCTTGTGATCCGCCTGCCTCAGCCTCCCAAAGTGCTGGGATTACAGGCGTGAGCCACCGCTGCCAGCCTGTGAGCATATATTCTTAAAATGTTTTTTTAATTACAGAAATAATACATGTATGTCATAAGAAGTTATCCTTGAATTTTTTTCCATAAGAAATCCTTTTAGATAGGAAAGAAAGAAGGCCAGGCATAGTGGCACCTGTAATCCTAACACTTTGGGAGGCCAAGGTGGGCGGATAGCTTGAGGCCAGGAGTTCGAGACCAGCCTGGCCAACATGGCGAAACCCCGTCTCTACTAAAAATACAAAAATTAGCTGGGCGTGGTGGCGCATGCCTGTAGTCCCAGCTACTTGGGGGACTGAGGCACGAGAATCGCTTGAACCTGGGAGGCGGAGGTTTCAGTGAGCTGAGATCGCACCACTGCACTCAAACCTGGGCAACAAAGTGAGACTCTGTCTCAAAGAAAAAAAAAAAAAAAAAGGCAATGACCAACATGGAGAAACCCCGTCTCTACTAAAAATACAAAATTAGCTGGGCGTGGTTGTACATGCCTGTAATCCCAGCTACTCGGGAGACTGAGGCAGGAAAATCGCTTGAACCCAGGAGGCGGAGGTTGTGGTGAGCCAAGATTGTGCCATTGCACTCCAGCCTGGGCAATAAGAGTGAAACTCCGTCTCAAAAAAAAAAAAAGCAAAAATATCACTACTTGAAGGCCAGGATCTCCAGTATTCTGCTTTAATCAGTTTCTTTTGCCTGGCCCCAAATCTTACATTATGACAGCAGCTGGGACACCTGGGCTGTCGGGAGCTTTTATCTAAAGGATGATGCGTCTCTCTCTTATGAGATCTTAGTTTAAAGGATAAAGACTTATATTAAAACGTAAAAGGATAATGTTTTTTATGCCTAAATTTTATGTTAAATTTTCACCCCCCAAAAAAACCAACAAATTTAGACTTCAGAATAGAGACTAGAAAAAAAACATGAAGGCTAGAGACTAAAGGCAGCTTCACTTTGGACTGTACCTGTTTTCTCAAGAGCTAAAAGTAGGTGCTTAAACCATCCTACATTTTATTTTAATCTCTAAAAACCCAGGTTTAAAATCTCATCTGTGCCTTACAATCACATCTCTGCAATCTTGGCAGGCTCTCAGATTTCATATATTTATAAAATGTGTTTTTACTGTTTTTTATTTTTAACGGCAAGTGAAAGGATTTTTATTTTACTAATGTTTCTTAACCTATATTTGGCTGATAACTGCTTCTAATTTTTAAATACATTTTCTTTTTTGAACTTGTTATGGAAATTTTTAGTCACAAATATAGACTAGCACAGTGGACTCCCTGAACCACCACTCAAACTTAGCAAACGTCAGCTTTATTGCTGCTCTTGTTTGATCTATTGCCTCGTCCCCGCCAATATTTTTTTCTTTGACCATTTAAAGCAAATCCTAACCATCGTATTTCACCCAACAGAATTAATATCCTTAATATCTAATATGTAGTCTGCTCAGTTTTCCCATGTTGTCTCAAAAATGTATTTTGACTGTTTATTTGTTCAAATTAAGATCTAAATAAGAGCCACACTGTGCATTTGATTGATGGGGTCTTTTGTCTCTTTAAATCTGTAACAGTTACCCTTTTTTCTGTGTTGAAAGGTGGGTTTTTTGTCCTGTAGAATTTCCCACATTTTGTATTTCACTGCTCATTTCCTCCCAGTGTTGTTTAAAGGTTCCTGTCTCCCCAGTATTTCCTAAAAATGTGCAGTTACACAAAGAGCCTTGATTAGATTCAGGTGCGGTTGATCTGACATAAGTACTTCCTGAGTGACTCTGCATCTTTGTTTTGCATCATATGGAGAGGAACGTGACATCTGGTGGTTCCACACGCTGTGACTGAGCAATGGGGTCTGTGGTGTCAGTCTGGTCTTTTCCATTATAAAGTACCCCACTAACCTTCCACCTGATGGTTCTAGCAGCCGTGTCAGGGGTCCCTGAGACCACCCTCATGCTTGATGATTCACAAGATAGATTCACAGAACTCTGAAAAGCTGCTATACACATCATTCCTGTTTATTTTAGTGAAAGGATACAGATTAAAATCAGCAAACGGAGAAGGTGCGTGAGCGAAGTCCAGCAGAAAACAAGCACAAGCTTCCAGTTGTACCCTCAATATGAACCGTGCGTGTTTGATTCTTTGACATGGGAGGGGCCTTGCTCACTCGGTGGAGAGATTGTTCCTCCCAAGGCTAGCCAATTCCTGGAGAGAGTAAATGACTCACCTATGACTGCTCCTTTCATATGTAAACCAACCAATCTGGAGCCCATACCCCAATCTCTCCTTTACAGGACGTCTCATACTCTGAGCCAATATCCCATACTCTGGGATATCCACCTGCCCTAATCACCGCAGGGCCAGGTACCAGAAAGCTAGGGACAGCCCCTAGGCCCCACAGCCTGCTGAAATTATTCGAACTCGCCAGTCTGTTTACTCGGCCTTGCCCCTTCCTTCCCATGGAGATCACAAGGCTCTTACTCCACTTGATCCCATCGTTCCCTCTACCTCCTCACTGACCCTGGGCTTCCAGTGTGGCTCCCTGTGGCGTGCCATGCCCCTTTTGGAATCTGTAAGTACAACAAGCTTTCTTGTCAATGGCAGTCACCTGATCTATTGCCCTCACCATACTTGAATAATAATAAAACCTATATTTTATATTTTTTTATCTTACTTTTTTGGAGACGGGTGTCTTGCTGTGTTGCCCAGGCTAGTCTCGAATGCTTGAGCTCAAATGATCTTCCCACCTTGGCCTTCCATAGTGCTGGGATTACAGGCATGAGCCACCACGTCGGGCCACCTAAAACCTATATTTTAAAACACTCCCCCAGTGGTGTCGCACAGACAGCACTTAATCCTCCCAGCAATGATGTATGGCAGTATGTGCCAGTTGTTGCCAATTATAGAAGCTCGCTGAGCCTTGGATGCTGCTAACGTCGCATGATGCACAGGACAACTGCCCTGTCCCCACCCCCACTCCCCACAAATAATTATCTGGCTCAAAATGTCAGTCATGCTGAGGTTAAGAAACCCTGCTTCTAACAATTGTCTTTTAAGTCACTTGAAATAGTTCCTCTCTAGTTATTGCTCCAAATCTGTACATAATTTTACTTTCAGTTTTTAGGGATACCTTTTAAAAAATTATGTAAAATGTTTGTATGATTCCAAAGTTGAAACTAGTTTTGTTTTGTTTTTTATTTTTTTATTTTATTTTATTTATTTATTTATTTTTTGAGACAGAGTCTTGCTCTGTCACCCAGGCTAGAGTGCAGTGGTGCGATCACGACTCACTGCAAGCTCCGTCTCCTGGGTTCACGCCATTCTCCTGCCTCAGCCTCCTGAGTAGCTGGGACTACAGGCGCCCACCACCATGCCCAGCTAATTTTTTGTATTTTTAGTAGAGACGGTGTTTCACCGTGTTAGCCAGGATGGTCTCGATCTCCTGACCTCATGATCCGCCCGCCTCGGCCTCCCAAAGTGCTGGGATTACAGGCGTGAGCCACTGCGCCCGGCCCCCTTGTTTGTTTTTTAAAAAATAGAGACGGGGTCTCACTATGATGGCCAGATTGGTCTTTAATTCCTGGCCTCAAACGATCCTCCCATCTTGGCCTCCCAGAGTGCTAGGATTACAGGCATGAGCTACCACACCTGGCTAGAACTAGTTTTCTTTGAAGAAAGGTACACTCAGAGAGGTCTTTCATCCTTGTCCCCTCCCTGGTTTTTTCTTCACTCTAGCAGTAGTCATAAATCCATATCATATATACAACAATTTGTATTTTTGCCACTGTATCTTTTGGATAGTCTTAGAAGTGGGATTGTTGGGTCAAAGATTAAATAAACATATAATTTTGCTTGATTTAAATATATCTTCTAAGTTCTGTTTCTAAATACAGTGAATCCAAAGAAAGCAAAGCACAGAACAGCATTACAACCATGCCATTTATATTAAAAAAGCATGAAAGAGGCCGGGCGCAGTGGCTCATGCCTGTAATCCCAGCACTTTGGGAGACTGAGGCAGGCGGATCACCTGAGGTTGGGAGTTCAGGAGCAGCCTGGCCAACATGGAGAAACCTCGTCTCTACTAAAAATTAAAAATTAGCCGGGCGTAGTGGTGCATGCCTATAATCCCAGCTACTCGGGAGGCTGTCAGGAGAATCGCTTGAACCCGAGAGGCGGAGGTTGTGGTGAGCCAAGATCAGGCCATTGCACTCCAGGCTGGGCAACAAGAGCAAAACTCCGTTTCAAAAAAAAAAAAGGCATGAAAGATATGTAACTGTTTAGCTTGTATATACTAAAGTATCTCTGAATCGACTTACAAGAAACCAGTCATCGAACAGGAAAAAGGATGGCTGGGGTCCAAGGAGTGGGAGGGAGACTTTTTACTGAATACCTTTTAAAAAAAATTTTTTTTTTAATTATTATACTTTAAGTTTTAGGGTACATGTGCACATTGTGCAGGTTAGTTACATATGTATACATGTGCCATGCTGGTGCGCTGCACCCACTAACTCGTCATCTAGCATTAGGTATATCTCCCAATGCTATCCCTCCCCCCTCCCCCCACCCCACAACAGGCCCCAGAGTGTGATGTTCCCCTTCCTGTGTCCATGTGTTCTCATTGTTCAGTTCCCACCTATGAGTGAGAATATGCTGTGTTTGGTTTTACCCTTTTAAAATTTTGAACCATGTTAATTATATTTTTTAAATAAATTTTTTAAATGAAATAAAAATTAGTGGAAAAAGATTTCTCTATCTTAAACTGCATTAACACCAGAAAACACGTAGAGGCAATGTTGCATAGGGAAGAGGAACCTCACAAGCTGCTTTAGGCAGCTGAATTCCGCAGAATTACTGTCTTCTGGAATTTGGCTCTTTCAGGGAAGTTTAAACTTTCAGCATTGCTGTTTATTCTGTGCCCATAAGTGGGTTCTAATGTTATGACTGTGTTGCATAATTTGTATTTTCTTCATAATTTTCAAAACTTGGCTTGATTTAAATAATTGTATAGGTTTCATGTAGTCATTTCTGCATAGGGTTAAACGCCTTGTTTTATGGAGTTGATCAGCGCCAAGCATGAGCTCACTGTCTGGGGAAACAAGGCTGCTATGGAGATAATGACCAACCCTGGCTGCCAGTGCCTCTGGTCGGAAGAAATGCAAGCCCTGTCTGATTTGGTAGTGTCTGTGGCTGGGGGAAAGCTGCCTCCACCTGGACCTTGGCAAGACTTTTTGGATTTAAGACAGTGTTCTGAGCAAGCCTTAGCCAAAATTTTCCAGCTCCTAAAACCCACTTCCCTTGCTGGCTAGTTAAATGGCTTAGGACAGTGTTATCTTTTCAACTGCCACTGCCTCCTGAGATGGTGTCTGGGAAAGCCAGAGGAGCTGTTAAAATGAGTCCCACCGCAGCAGAAAAGCTATTGAAACCAGGAGACAGCTTCCAACTGGAAAAATACTTAGTATCTAAGTGCTTACTTTCAAGAGCTCAAGCAGCTCTTCCCATAGGCGGCTATCCCGAAGGAATGGTTGAATACAGAAACAGCCAAGGAGGCAGATATTTTAGACAAAGTACATTTATTTTCCAGAAAGAGTAGTTTTTTTAATACCCCATATTGAAGAATTGTTGACCTTCACATCCTATAAATGTGAATCCTTTTAAACTTAAACGTGTCTGTACTGGGGCTGAGACTGACTTGCTGTAACACCATCCAGATGAATCCAAAACAAATCTTTATACCTATGGTCCAAAAGTGGTAGGAAAATTCTGTAAAGATTTAAGGGCTTCAGGCAAAGTTGTTTGAATTCAATTTTTATTTCTTAAAACTGGGGACCCAAAATGAATCAAAAGGGATAGATGTCAGATGAGTGGTTATTGCCTGATGTGGTGGGGGATGGGGAGCAGGCGGTTGAGTTAGAAAGAGGCACAGGAGCACCCTCTGGGAGATGGAAACATCCTGTGTTTTGATTGGAGCGTTGATTATATTGGTGTAAACATTTGTCGAAATTAAGTCTACACGTTAATGTTCGTGTACTTTACGTAATTATACCTCAAATTTAAAATGCAAAAAAACAAAAACATAGCCCTTATTACTTTGTGTAGTAGAATAAAACTGGGCCTAGATACTCAAGCAATTGTGTCCTAGTACCAGTTCTGCCACTAACTTCTATGTGTATGTGGGGAAAGTATGTAACCTCTACTTATAACTTCTCATCTGTCCTACCAAATTAGATCCTCGCATTTAGGATGCTCAGTTTTTTTCAACTGTTAGGTAGGATTCTCATAAAAATTATTAATTGGATAGATAATACAAAGAGAAATTTTCTCTAGGAAACTGCCCATTGTTGATGTGACTACATATGGCCTCAGTCATGTTGGTGACAAGGGAGGGATGAAAATAACTTTTTTGTTTTTTAGACAGAGTTTCACTCTTGTTGTCCAGGCTGGAGTACACCGGCGTGATCTGGGCTTACCACAACCTCCACCTCCTGGGTTCAAGCGATTCTCCTGCCTCAGCCTCCCGAGTACCTGGGATTACAGGCATGTGCCACCATGCCCGGCTAATTTTGTATTTTTAGTAGAGATGGGGTTTCTCCATGAAGGTCAGGCTGGTCTCGAACTCTCGACCTCAGGTGATCCTCCCGCCTCTGCCTGCCAAAGTGCTGGGATTACAGGCATGAGCCACCGCACCCGGCCTGAAAATAAATTTTGTCTCAATCGACTAACCTGGGCTCTGAATTTGGGTATGGATTTTTTGCCCCTCATTCATATGAGCCAGTAGGGTTAGGAATCAGCTTTTAGAACAAGCCTGTCCGGCACTGCTTTTCAGTGACCAAATGCAGGGAAATGTCTCTGTGGGAGGAAAGGGAGTGGCAGAAAGTCACTCCAAGTGGGACCCAGGCTGCCAAATGTTGGTCTCCAGCACATGTTCCCTGTACTTGGGCTCAGCTCCGGAAGGGGAAGAGCTCACAATGGAAACAGTGATGGCCATTTGCTCAGGCAGCCAAGAGAATGAAAAGCACATTGAAACTAAGCAGTGTCTCCACAGGAGAGGTACGGTGGGCCCCTTGCTGGTGAAACCAACCTGACAACAGGCAGGATCACAGAGCCATTCCCAACATTTTTCTTCAGTTCAACAACAAGACCTTTCTGTGCAACCTCTCAAGAAATCTCTGGCAAATGATACTGTGGGCAGTATTACTAAGCTTTACCCAACAATAGAGGCACACTCAGTCCAGTTCACCCGTTTGCTCTGAATTCGATTTTGTTAATTGAAAGAGCTTTTCTTAATGTAAGTTTCGGGACGTGCATCCCCCAACCCAAAGTTTCATCAACTTCCCTGTTTATTGCTGCCTCTTGTGAACCTTTTTGACCTCCAGTGAATGCCTTTTCAGCTGGCATTTTCATGCTGTACTTTTGTTCTTCAGCTTACCCAGTGCCACTGTGAATGTCCTTCTTTACTAACATGTCAGTAACTGCTGGGCTGTGAAGCCAGCTGACAGTGGGAGAAGGCAGTCGGGGTGATGGAGTGGCAAGTGCAGTTAAACCAGCTCTGATGACAGTGCTCACTCACCTGTGCTAAAGCAGGTAGGTGGTGCCGCCCGGCTCTGTGCCTCCTTCATGAAAGATGAGAGCTGCTATGGTCTGAATGTTTGTGTCCCCCCAGATTCCTATGTTGAAATCGTAACTCCCAGAATTATGGTATCAGAGGTGGGGTCTTTGGGAGGTGATTAGATCTTAAGAGCAGAGCCCGGCCAGGCATGGTGGCTCACGTCTGTAATCCCAACACTTTGGGAGGCGGAGGCAGGTGGATCACCTCAGGTCAGGAGTTTGAGACCAGCCTGGCCAACATGGTGAAACGCCATCTCTACTAAAAAAACAAAAATCAGCTGGGCGTGGTGGCGGGCGCCTGTAATCCCAGCTACTCGGTAGGTTGAGGCAGGAGAACCATTTGAACCCAGGAGAAGGAGGTTGCAGTGACCTGAGATCGCGCCATTGCACTCCAGCCTGGGCAACAAGAGCAAAACTCCGTCTCAAAAAAAGAAAAAACGCAGAGCCCTCATGAATGGGATTAGTGTCCTTATCAAAGAGACTCCAGAAATTCCTTACCTCTTCCGCCATGTGAGGACACAATGAGAAGATGGCTGTCTATAAACCAGGAATCTGGCTCTCACTAGACACCAAATCACACCTTGATCTTGGACTTCCCAGCCTCCAGAATGGTAAGAAATAGAGCTATATTGTTTATTAACTATTCAGTCTATGGTGTTTTGTTACAGCAGCCCAAACAACAAGGGCCCACGTGGCTTAGTATTTTGCTTGCATATACTTTGAGGGAATTATTTTGTAAAATAAATGGGCCGGGCATGGTGGCTCACACCTGTAATCCAAGCACTTTGGGAGGTCAAGGTGGGCAGATCACTTAAAGTCAGGAGTTAAGACCAGCCTGGCCAACATGGTGAAACCCCACCTCTATTAAAAATATAAAAATTAGCCGGGCATGGTGGCAGGCGCCTGTAATCCAAGCTACTGGGGAGGCTGAGGCAGGAGAATCTCTTGAACCTGGGAGGCAGAGGTGGCAGTGAGCCAAGATTGCGCCATCGCATTCCAGCCTGGGCAACAAGAGCGAAACTCTGTCTGAAAATAAAATAAAAACTAGGCCAGGCATGGTGGCTCATGCTTATAATTCCAGCACTTTGGGAGGCTGAGGTGGGTGGATCACCTGCGGTCAGCAGTTCCAGACCAGCCTGGCTAACATGGCAAAACCCCATCTCTACTAAAAATACAAAAATTAGCTGGGCATAGTGGTGCATGCCTGTAATGCTAGCTACTCGGGAGACTGAGGCACAAGAATCTCTTGAACCTGGGAGGCAGAGGTTGCAGTGAACCAAGATCGTGCCACTGCACTCCAGCCTAGATGACAGAGACTCTGTCTCCAAAAAACAAAACATATTAAAACTAGCTGGGCAAGTTAATCCTGTAATCCCAGCTATTCAGGAGGCTGAGACAGGAGAATCATTTGAACCCGGGAGGCGGAGGTTGCAGTTAGCCGAGGTTGCAGTGAGCCGAGATTGCACCACTGCACTCCAAGCTGAGTGACAGAGCGAGACTCTGTCTCAAAAATAAATAAATGACAGTGTGTAGACTATGGTGCGATGGTCACAAACCCAGTCTTTTCAGGAGCAGGAAACTTAAGGCAGGTGGAATGAACTGGAACCGTTTTTGTTGTTGTTCTAGCTGATTGTTGCTAGATCTTAAGAATTTTTTCAGGAGAAGCAAGAAAATTAGGTATTTATATACATGTCTGTGGGCCACATTTAAACACAGCCCTTTAATTCTCACTGTCTGGACTAGCAAAATAAAGATGGGTTTTGGCATTAGACCGAAGTGTGAATTTTGGCACCAGGATGTCCTAGTTGTGTGATGTTGGGTAGGTAACTTCATTCTCAAAGTGTCAGTGTCCTCTCCTTTGAAATGAGGGCAGCTCTGCCCACTTGGCAATGGGGTTGTGATAGGTATAGGAGGGCTGTCTACCACACATGCAGTGACTAGCACTTAGGAAACTCCAGCTGAGGTCGTCTGTCTGCCAGCTTCTAAGTGACTCCTTCCAATTTGCTAGTCCCATTTTCCAGAGCTTTTGCTAATAAACATGACTGTCCTCAGGAGAAGCCTATTGGGCAGATGTTTGTAGAGTGTCATGCTGCACACCAGGTGTCTGCACATGTGTTTGCACCGCTCCATCCCACATCTGGAAGCAACAGCTCCAGGTGAAGGAGCAAAGCTGTCGATCACAGAGGTGTATGTGGATCCTCCGACCAAACTGTGGCTTTGCTTCCTCAGTGTCAGCCACCAGGATTGGTTTTAGGTGTGTTAGGCCATTCTTGCATTGCTATAAATAAATAGCTGAGACTGGGTAATTTATAAGAAAAGACATTTGGCTAGGCAAGGTGGCTCACGCCTGTAATCCCAGCACTTTGAGAGCCCAAGGCCGGTGGATTACTTGAGGTCAGAAGTTCGAGACCAGCCTGACCAACATGGTGAAACCCCGTCTCTACTAAAAATACAAAAAAAAATTAGCCAGGCGTGGTGGTGGGCACCTGTAATCCCAGCTACTCAGGAGGCTGAGGCAGGAGAATCACTTGAACCTGGGAGGTGGAGGTTGCAGTGAGCAGAGATCTTGCCACTGCACTTCAGCCTGGGTGACAGAGTGAGACTCTGTCTCAAAAAAAAAAAAAAAAAAAAGAAAAGAAAAGACGTTTAATTGGCTCACAGTTCTGCAGGCTGTACAGGAAACAGTGCTAGCATCTGCTTCTGGGGAGGCCTCAGGAAGCTTTACTCATGATGGAAGGTGAAGCGGGAGCAGGCGTCTCACATGGTGAAAGCAGGAGCAAGAGAGAGAGTGGAGGCAGGTGCCACACACCTTGAAATGACCAGATATTGTGAAAACTATCACGAAGACAGTACCAATCATGAGGGATCTGCCCCATGATCCAAACACCTCCCACGAGGCCTCACCTCCAGCATTTAGGATTATAATTCAACTTGAGATTTGGGCAGGGACAAACATCCAAACTATAAGAAATAAGGATGAAAAAGGGAATCAGTTGTACATTTTAAGGCTTTCCTTTTTTCTGTTTAAGGAAGAATGAGTCTTTTGAGAATAAGAACATTTATATTGCCTCCTTCCAAATTCTCCTTGAAAGAGATCCTCTGGCCACCTTTGGGATTGCACAAGCCTGTCTCATGCCCTCTTTGGGGCCAGTGTGTTTCAGCTGCTGCTGCAAAAGTAAGATGTGTCAGTGCTTGTTAAGTAGGCTCTCAGTTCCAGGTAAGAGCAGTCATACACCTAGATGCCATCAATGTGCCAGGCATTTTGCTCTGCAGCCGGGGTACAAGGATAAGGGAGAGTCCTCATGTTGCTCCTGAGTAAAGGAGGATGGCAAGTGACTTCATAGTGAAAGAGTGCAGTGTGAGGATGACTGTGACAAAGGTCTAATACCCAACCTGGGAGAAGGGTGCAGGGTTCTTAGTAAACAACTGGTGAAGGGGAAATATTAGTGGCTAGCAAGCAAAAAGAATTGGGGGTACATTTGGCAACAGTTTAGAGGGAAGGGTATTTACAGTGGAGAGACATCATAATCAAAGGCTAGAGGTGAGAGCACAGCATGGCTGGGCTAGTGGAGTATGGGGGACGCTGGGGATGAGGCTGGAGGTCACAGCAGGGAGGACTCTGAGTGCCTTGCAAAGGAGAATAGTTTTATCCTGACCGCTCTGCACTTCAGTGATTTTGAGAGATGGGTGCTAAGATGAAGTTACATTTTACAAAGATAACTCTTTGCTGTAGCAAGGAGAACAGACTGCAGGAGCAGGGATGGTGGTGAGGTGACCATAGTTGGGGGATTACTGTAGTAACTTCAAGAGAAATGATGAGGCCCAGGCAATAGAGGCTTGAGGAACCACAGTGAGGGGCTGACTTCAGAAACAGGCAGAGGGCGAGGTGAGTGCAGGGAGTGGAAGAGGGAGTGGTTGAAGATGACTCCCAGGTTGTCGTGTTGGTGACAGAATGGAACGCTGTGCCATGGATCGTGAAATGGGACCCAGGAAGAGAAGCTGGTGTTGGGGGGCCAGGAGATGTAGGCAGGGGATGTGCCCAGTTTCAGAGGTTAAGATTTTGGCAGGATAAGGGCCCATAGTGGGCATTTACACGGACTGGTTTAGTGCTCAGGAGAGAGATGACATTGAGATAAAAATTTTGGAGTCATCATTAAAGACATGGGTTAGATGAAATCATCTACAGAGAATGTGCAGATAGAGAAGAGGAGACACTGGTGAGGAGGGAACCCTGGGGAAATGGAGACTTCAGGAGCGGGTAGAAAAGCATAGAAACGAGAGTGACTGAGAGACCAGAGGAAAATCAGGAGAAAGCCAATTAGGAGCTTCCAGGAGAGAGTAACGTAAAGTATAGGGGAGGATCCCTTGAGGCCAGGAGTTTGAGACCAACCTGGCAACATAGTGACACCCCATTGCTACAAAAAAAAAAAATGAAAATTAGCTGGGTGTGGTGGCAAGTATCCACGGGCGGGGGACAAGGTTATTTTGGTAAGCCTAGCAAACTCTGGGGCAGAGAAGTGGAGGGGTAGAAGCTTGCCTATCTTGAGCTGAGGAGGGAGGAGGAAGTGAGAAATGGAGGCAGCCAGATGCTCTCCTTTGAGAAGGACCTAATTCCTATTCTCATTGGTGTAACTTAAAAACAAAACAAAAGTGATTAAATATTTCAAACATAAAAGTAAAATGAAGCTGGGCATGGTGATATGTGCCTGTAATCCAAGTTACAGGAAGCCAAGGTGCAAGGGTCGTTTGAGCCCAGGAATTCAAGACCAGCCTGGGCAACCCAGTGAGACCCTGTGTCTTTAAAAAAAAAGAAAAGAAAAGAAAAGAAACACTCATGACCCAATTAACAGTAAACATTTTGCTGTCTTTGCGTCAGGTTTTTACTTTTTGGACAAAACATGACTAGTGTTTGAAACCCCACATTTACCCTTTCCTGATCCCATTTCCCTCCCTCCATGAGGTAACCACCATCCTGAATTTGATGTTTCATTCCCTTGCGTGGTTTATACTTTTATTACATAAGTTTATATCTATAAGCAATAAATATAATTGTTTTGCAAATTTTTAAAGTTTATTATAGAGATGGATCATGCTGAATATACTGCCTCTTGCTTTTTTCATTATCAGTACTGTTTTGGAGATTTATTTATGTTGGCACATGTGGCTCTAGTTATTTCAACTGCTATATAGTATTCCTTTGTATAAATATACCACATTATCTCTCCATTCTCCTGTGGTGGACATTTAGTTGGTTTCCAATTTTTTGTTCAAACAAGGTTGCAATGATCATTCTTCTACATGTCTCTTGTACACATGTAGGGATATTTCTGGAATATATAACTAAAAGTGGAACTTGCTAAGCCATGGATTACAGGCACCTTCAACTTCACTAGATACAGTGTCAAACTTTTTCCCAAAGTGATGGTACCAGTTTACATACAAAATAGCCATTTATGACAATTCTAGATGCTTCACGTCCTCACC
Organism: Homo sapiens; assembly: GCF_000001405.40. Lineage (NCBI taxonomy): Eukaryota > Metazoa > Chordata > Mammalia > Primates > Hominidae > Homo > Homo sapiens. Next base: position 75,583,365 of record NC_000016.10, on the reverse strand, counting down.
AATATTTCATTTGTTGAAAATTTAATTTCGGCCAATTTGATGCAGTTATATTCTATAGTTTCCTTTAGATTTTTACAAGGCCACCAATAATGTAGTGTAGATACCACACAACTCTAGGAGGTGCTGTTCACATTTTAGTCTTTGTGAACGGTGCATTCTAGAGTTGGTACAATAACAGTGGTCTTGAGTGATGTTAAGAATTTTGTTTATTGACCTGTTAGGTTTTCTCTTTTGTAGGAATTACACAAAATAATTGATTATATACATATGAAAAAATAGATTCCTATATTAATTATACATAAAATAAATTCAAGGTAAATTAAAGAGCTAAATGCCAGGCCGGGCATGGTAGCTTAAGCCTGGCCAGCACTTTGTGGGGCTGAGGCAGGAGGATTGCTTAAACCCACGAATTTGAGGCTGCAGTGAGCTATGAACATGCCACTGCACTCCAGCCTGGGCAGCAGAGCGAGACCCCATCTCTTTAAAAAAATAAAAACTTTACGATTTTTCTATGTTAATAAATGAGATCTATAATTTCTTTTTTCTCTTACACTGTCTTTTTGTTTCTGTGGGTTTTGTTTTGCTTTGGACACAGGGTTTCACTCTGTCACCCAGGCTGGAGTAAAGTGGCACGATCATCACTCACTGCAAGCTTAAACTCCTGGGCTCAATTGATCCTCCCACCTTGGCCTCCCAAAGTGTTGGGATGGGATTACAGGCATGAGCCACTGTGCATGGCCTCATGTTGTCTTTATAAAGTTTTAACACTGAGATTTGGTAAGTCTCAAAATGAATTTGTGGTTATTCCTTTTTCTAATCTCAAATAGTTTAAAAGTCTTTCGCCCATTTTTCTACTGGGTGGTTTGTTTTTATTGTTGTTGTTGTTTGAGAGTCTTGCTCTGTTGCCCAGACTGGAGTACAGTGGAGCGATCTCAGCTCACTGCAACCTCCACCTCCCAGGTTCAAGAGATTCTCCTGCCTCAGCTTACCGCATAGCTGGGATTACAGGTGCCACCACCACGCCCAGTTAATTTTTGTATTTTTAGTAGAGACAGGGTTTCTTTTCTTCTCTTTTTTTTTTTTTTTTTTTTTGAGATGGAGTCTCAACTCTGTCACCCAGGCTGGAGTGCAGTGGTGCAATCTTGGCTCACTGCAACCTCTGCCTCCCGGGTTCAAGCAATTCTCCTGCCTCAGCCTCCCGAGTAGCTGGGACTACAGGCACGTGCCACGACGCCCGGCTAATTTTTTGTATTTTTAGTAGAGACGGGGTTTCGCAGTGTTAGCCAGGATGGTGTCGATCTCCTGACCTTGTGATCTGCCCGCCTCGGCCTCCCAAAATGCTGGGATTACAGGCATAAGCCACCACACCTGGCCCTAGAGACAGGGTTTCATCAAGTTGGCCAGGCTGGTCTTGACCTCCTGACCCCAAGTGATCCACCCACCTCAGCCTCCCAAAGTGCTGGGCTTACACGTGTGAGCCACAGCACCCAGCCTAGGTGGTTTGTGTTACTGATTCCAAGAGTTCTTTTATTTATTTTGGATATTAATTATGTCTTGATTATATCTCTTACCCAGTCTGTGGCTTCTATTTGTTTTAGGTGCTTTTTTTTTTTTTTTTTTTTCCTGTTTTGAGACAGAGTCTCGCTCTGTCAGCCAAGCTGGAGTGCAATGGTAAGATCTCAGCTCACTGCAACCTCTGTCTCCCAGGCTCAAGCAATTCTCCTGCCTCAGCCTCCCAAGTAGCTGGGATTACAGGTGCCCGCTAACACGCCCAGCTAATTTTTGTATTTTTAGTAGAGACAGGGTTTCACCATGTTGACCAGGTTGGTCTTGACCTCCTGACCTCAAGTGATCCACATACCTCAGCCTCCCAAAGTGCTGGGATTACGGGCATGAGCCACTGTTCGTGGCCTGTTTTTGTTTTTCGCAACAGGGTCACCCAGGCTGAAGTGCAGTGGCACAATCATAGCTCACTGCAACCTTAAACTCCTTGGGCTCATCACCTGAGCTTCCCACTTCAGCCTCCTCAGTAGCTGGGACTATAGGCCTGCACCACGAGGCCCAGCTAATTCTTAAATTTTTTGTAGAGACAGTGTCTCACTACGTTGCCCAGGGCTCAAACTCCTGGCCTCAAGGGATCCTTCCACTTCGACCTCCCAAAGTGCTGGCAATACAGGTGTGAGCCGCCATGCTGTCTCATATTCAGATATTTAATCCACCTTGAATTTATTTTGTGTGTAATACAGGGATCTGTTTTTTCATATATAACCGTTATAGAGTCATGGGTCATCCAGTTCATTTTTCATGCCATTGCTGTTATATTTTAAACATGGGGGCCAGGCACCACTCATGAAGCTGAGATGGAAGGATCACTTGAGCCCAGGAATTCGAAGCTACAGTGAGCTGTGATCACAGCCCAGCACTCCAGCCTGTGTGACAGTGAGACCCCATCTCTTTTAAAATATATATATATGATTTTTCTATGTTGATAAATGAGACAAAGCTATAACTTTTTCTCTTATACTATCTTTATAAAGTTTTAAACATTGAGATTTTATAAGTCTCAAAAGAAATGTAATTATTCCTTTTCTAATCTCTGAAACAATTTAAGAAAGGGGTTCCTTAGTTTGATAAAATTCATCTGTACAATTTTACAAGTCTAGTGTCTTTTTGAGGAGTAGGGTTTGGGGGAAGAGTATATGCTTTTTTTTTTTAACTTTTAAAATCTTCACTTAGATGTTACATTTTAAAGGTAAAATTGACAAATCCACTGTTATTGACTGATATTCCAAATAAGGCTGCTTTCTTCAATGGTTTGTTTTGTAGCTGATAGCTACTCCCGCCTCTGTTCCAGGACTTCTGCTATAGCACTTACAACATTGCTTTGTAATTATTCTTTACATGTTGGTTTACCGCCAGACGGAAACCTCCTGGAAGACAGGATAGTACTTTGTTCGTATTTGTGCCCTAGTATGCAGCATGGTTAATCCTATTCTGTAGGATTCTGTATAATCCTACATTTACATGGTTAAGAAGAGGTTCACTACTCCCTCCCACCAGTCCCTGCTCCAAATGGGGCTGTTTGGTACACCAAGCAAGGCCAGAGTCCTCCCAGGCACATTATAAATAGAAAAAAAAAATCATGAAATGATTTGACATTGCCAACCACATCATTCTTCTTCAGTTTTACTTATTATCTCAGTTCTGCCACTTGGTAGTCGTGTGGCTGTGGAAACTTCACTACCTATCTTATGGGGGCTTTTTGAAGATTGTGATAATGTATGTAAATCATCTGGTATCCAGAGGGTGTTTAATAAGTGCTAACTATAAATTACTTAAAAGAAAAACACGGCTGGGCATGGTGGCTGACGCCTGTAATCCCAGCACTTTGTGAGCTGAGGCGGGTGGGTCACCTAAGGTCAGGAGTTCGAGACCACTCTGGCCAACACGGTGAAACCGTCTCTACTAAAAATACAAAAATTAGCTGGGCGTGGTGGCACACGCCTGTAATCTCAGCTATTCGGGAGGCTGAGGCAGAATTGCTGGAACCCGGGAGGCGGAGGTTGCAGTGAGCTGAGATTGTGCCATTGCACTCCAGCCCAGGCTGACAACAGCGAGACTCCGTCTCAAAAAAACAAACAAAAAACGCAATTGGCTTCAACGATACTTGCCTTTTGGTTTTCTTCTCTTTAGCTGTTTTTTCTCGTTTGCATTTGTGGGTTTGTGGTTGTGAAACAGAAATAAATCAAAATGCCTTTGGGAAGCCACCCCTCCTCCACTTCTGTAAAATCCTATTTCTGTTCATATGTTTAAGCAGAGGTTCACCATTCTCTGGCCCAAGCAGGGCTGTTTGGTAGTCCAAGCAAGGCCAGAGACCTCCCAGGGACTTTTGTTAGTGCTCTCAGAAAAGATGTTCTTCCTTCCACTAGAGTTGCTAAGCAACTCCAAAGATGGGGCCATCTTTGCCATCACATGGAGAGAACACAGAGAAAAACAAAACCAAGAGATGGAGTTTTGATGTTATTATTTGATCCCTGGTTCTAGCTACACCTCAAGCCAGTGAACCATCCCTCTGAGAGGTGAGATAATAAACTGCCTTTTTAATGCTAAGGCCTGTTTGAATTGGGAGCATGTCATTGCAAATAAAATTCCTTAGTAACACAGAGCTTGCTTTCCCTTTACCTTGATCGCTCTGAGGTCAGTTTCTAACTGCTTTTAGTGTGAAACTATCAGCAAAGAGAAACAGATTTTATTACCTCAAGTTTGGTAAAGACCCAACAAGATGTTTGTGACAAATTAAGAATGTTTCCTCTGATCCCAACTGAGAAGATGACATCAGTAGAGAGCTTGGATGAGCTGCTTATATAATTTGGTGAAGATAAAGTTAAAGGTCTTTGTTTCTTCCGCAATGGAAAGTGTGAGTCATTTTAATTACATGTTCTTAGACTGGTGGGACATACCTGGTTTCTTTATTCTTGTCTGTGTAGTGCTCTAGCCACCAACACAGTATGTCTGCAGAAGATTTAAGAAAGTATCTAAGCATTTCCTCTCAAATGTATTTGTGTCCTAGCAAGCCTACACATCTCTACTAATGTGTGAGAAATGAAACTCATGCGCATAGATAAATCTAATCTTGATTTTTAGGAAGAAGGGAGTAGAAAGCAGTACCTTAAAGAATGCAGGAACATGAAAAAGATGCACAGAAGTGATATGGAAAGATCACTAAAATATAATGTTAAATGAAAAAAAGCAGTGTATATAGAAGTGTATGTTTTCTTTGTATAAGAAAAAGAAGAAGCCGGGTGTAGTGGTGGGCGCCTGTAATCCCAGCACTTTGGGAGGCTGAGGTGGGTGGGTCACCTGAGGTCAGGAGTTTGAGACAAGCCTGGCCAACATGATAAGACCTCATCTCTACTGAAAATACAAAATTAGCTGGGCGTGGTGGTACATGCCTCTAATCCCAGCTATTCAGGAGGCAAGGCGGGAGAACTCCTTGAACCCGGGAGGCGGAGGCTGCAGTGAACTGAGATTGCACCATCACACTCCAGCCTGGGTGACAAGAGCAAAACTCCGGTCTCAAAAAAAAAAAAAAGAAGAAAGAAAATAAGGATATGTATTCATATTTAATTATCCTTTTTACTGTGCCATTATACTGTCCTTTAAATTATCCTATTTACTTTTAAAATATTGAAAAGAAACAAGAAGCCAGTAAAAGTAATTTCCCATAAAGGGCAGAGGTGGTTAGGAAGCTGGCAGGAGCAAGCCTTCTCAGTGTATACCTTTTTGTATTGTCCCGATACCTCAAACATGTGAACATATTAGTTATTCAAAACAATGTCTCTCCTCATGACCCTGGCCATGGCTTCCCGACCCAGGATGTGCGGCCATGACCTCCACAAGCCCTCTTCCTGGTCTGGCAGATGTAGGAGCCACTTCTCTGGCCCATCCAAATGCGGGTGAATAAAGGACATGGCCACAGTACAATGCCTTTATAAGAGAATTTTTATTGTTAATTATTTACCTTAATAGTTTCAGAAAGAGGAACAAATTAGCTCAGTCCAACATGATTGGCAGTTGGCATATTCTAGTGAAGCAAGTGTTCTGACTGCTAAGGATTTAATTTGGATAATTTTAATACTTAGCCATCTAACACTTCAAGCATAACCCAGAATAAATGCATCACCTTCCCTTTCACTTTAATACCGCACCTACCTCACTTCGATATAGAAATATCATTCAATATGATTTCCAGAAGGACAAGTTTCCTGGAGAATACAGGCATGAGGACAATGCACAAAAAGAAAAACTCAAAATAAAACTCTGTATGATAATTTACTAGTCTAAGGAAACAAAACCTTCCAATATATTAAGAAATAAATCCAGTTACAAATGCACTAATAGGTCTATGTGAAGAGGTTCTGGTATAATAACTGAAAATGGCTGGCTATTTACAAGATACACAAGCAGTTACGGTGCACCTAGCCCAGCAATGGCCCTCAGAAGCCAAAAGTGTTCTCTCCGCTGTAGGCCACATATAAGAATCCATCTTCATCTTTTTCCTTCTCGTAAAGCTGTCCCATAGTTAGGCTTGAAAGAGAAAAACAAAAACGTCATTGAAAATTGGAGTCCAGGTTTCAGGAGAAAAAGGATGGCCTGAGGACAGGAATTTAGTAAGACTTCAGGTGTCAGTACCTGCTGTGTGCTTATAATCCTGTTTTAAAGCAAGAGAAAGGAGCCATAAAAAGATTAAAATAAATGAAGTCTGCAGAAGGCAAAGCCATTTGACATCCTCCCAAGTAAATCCTTTAAAGCAGCCAGCTCCTTCAGGGGGCTTTGGCTGGCTAACACATGGATGCCTCTTAAATGCCAAGGACAAGGGAAGAAACTAAGCAAAATGAAGAACCTGAAAGGCTCACCTCTGTGTGGGTAAAGGACCCTAGCAAAGAAGAGTAGTTTGGGTTCATTCTCATGGAATCTCCCCAGCTAAACCGCTGTGCCCCAGGGTGCCCACATGGTGTATCAACATCATCAAAGAGAAGTTATTTTCCTCACACTTAATGCAAAAAGCTCTAAATGTATCTGGGATCCAAAGAAGCCTGCCCAACCTCCCAAAGAACCCTCCAAAAATAGATACTCTTCAAACTAAACGTGTGTGGGTAGAAAAGCTGGCTTTCCCTAAGCAGTAAAACAGACTGCGCAGTGGAGACCTAATCTAGTTCTGTGCCATGAAACTGAGTTGGACCAGCTCCAGAGTAAGACTAGTAACACCTGGATCCCTATGCAAGCTCTGCCCCGTGACTGTACTCTCTGAGATGAGAGGAAGTGCAAATGTGTTAAGACCATGAGTGAAGGGATCAACCAGAAACAGTGGTAAGATGCTCAGTCTGAGACATCTGAGGTCACTAGCCCAGATAGGTAAGTCACAACAGATCCTTAAAAGGGGAACTCATAAACCAAGAGCCAGTGGGGAAGATAAGGAGTCCAAGGCCTCAACCTGAGGAAACAGTGACTGCCCCACTTGCTGCTTTGCTCCTCAAGGGCTGAGTGGAACCTCCATGTAAACATGGACAAATACCACATTTATGAAGGGGGAGGTTTTGAGTTTTTTTCCTGTTCTTCCTGCCCCATTTGCAAGCTTAGCTCGGATGGCTGTGTGGGTAGATGAGAATTATTAAGTAACAATGTGGGGGAGGTCTGAATTTGAATATGAAAGAACCTGTCATCAGCATCTTGTACAATAAAAACGGTGCTCCCTGTGAGGACCTCTTAGCCTGGAATTTGTAAAATAAGGACTCCCTGGAACAGAACTGTTCAATAGAAATCTCTGCTCTGATTGAAATGTCCTGTATCACTGCCACAGCAGCCACTAGCTACATTCAGCACTTGAAAGTCTGGCTCGTGTGAATTGGGATGTGCAGTGTAAAACATAAACAAGGCTTCAGACTTAGTATGAAAATGCAGCAAAATAGCTCAATTTTGATTACATGTTGAAATGATAAAATTATGGATATACTGGGTCAAATAAAATATATTAAGTGGATCACCTGAGGTCGGGAGTTCAAGACCAGCCTGACCAACATAGTGAAACCCTGTCTCTACTAAAAATACAAAAGTAAGCCGGGCGCGGTGGCTCACACCTGTAATCCCAGCAGTTTGGGAGGCCGAGGCGGGTGGATCACAAGGTCAGGAGATTGAGACCATCCTGGCTAACAACGGTGAAACCCCGTCTCTACTAAAAAATACAAAAAATTAGCTGGGCGTGGTGGCGGGCACCTGTGGTCCCAGCTATTCAGGAGGCTGAGGCAGGAGAATGGCGTGAGCCTGGGAGGCGGAGCTTGCAGTGAGCCGAGATCGTGCCACTGCACTCCAGCCTGGGCGACAGAGCGAGACTCTGTCAAAAAAAGTATCCAGGCATGGTAGTGCACGCCTGTCATCCCAGCTACTCGGGAAGCTGAGGCCGGAGAATCGCTTTAACCTGGGAGGTGGAGGTTGCAGTGAGCCAAGATCGTGCCATTGTACTGCAGCCTGGGCAACAAGAGCAAAACTCTGTCTCAAAAAAAAAAAAATTAATTTCAACTGTTTTTATTTTTTTAATGTGGCTACTAGAAAATTCTTAAATTACATATGTGGCTTGCATCCATTTCTACTGACAGCACTGCCCCAGAACAAGACTTAGGGGGCAGTGGGTAGAGGGAGGAACAACGCCTGCAGCCGTGGGTCTCAGCCTTGGCTGCACATCAGAATCTTACTTTAAAGAGAGCTTTAAAAACATCTCTGTGCCCAAGCCCTACCCCAGACCAATGAAATCATCACTATGTTTTGTTTTGTTTTGTAAAGACAGAGTCTTGCTCTGTCGCTTGGGCTGGAGTACAGTAGCAGGATCTCGGTTCACTGCAACCTCCACCTTCCGGTTCAAACAAGTCTCATGTCTTAGCCTCCCAAGTAGCTGGGATTACAGGTGCATGCCACCACGCCTGGCTAATTTGTTTTTGTTTTTGTTTTTAGTAGAGGTGGGATTTCACCATGTTGGCCAGGCTGGTCTTGAACTCCTGACCTCAGGTGAGCCACCGTGTCCGGCCTCATCAGTATATTTTTAAATGCCAAAAATGATTCCATATGCAGCCAGGTTGCAAAGGGAAATGCCTGACCTTTTGTTGGGGGGGAGAAGGGAGGGTCATCTTTAAAAGCTATGTGATTAGGAAGTAGAGTGACAAGCCAGGAAGTGAAATGACAAGCCAGAAACTAGCAGAAGGGCTTGAACATGTAGCTGAGTCTCCCAAGATTTTTACCCTGGTGGTTGAGAATGCCCAGAGAGTAACCCCATTTTTCTCTGAAACTCCTCAGAATGAGGCTAATGGGAAAACAACTACAGCTACTGCCACAACTCTTTACCCCATTTGTCCAAGTGTCCAGGGTGATCTTGATGACAACTGTCGTAACATCTCCCCGCTGCCACTACCAGATGGGTTTAGATGCAGTAGCAGACATTGTGTGCAATTCAGAGTCGCCCCATAGTGTCTCTGTCAAGTTTGGTTCCAAACAGACTAAGTTCTGCTCTTTTCCTAGCAAGTTAGAAGCCCTAGTACAATGATTCTAAATCCCGCTGCTACATTAGAAACATTTGAAGAGCTTCGTAAACACCAGCAGCCCACCCCCGGGCCTGTGTATGCTATCCAGGGTGAACAATAACCACTGGACCGCTACTGTTGAAGGCAGGTCGTGAGACTCTGAGCCCTGACTCTTGGCAGGACAGGAGGCCCACAATCATGTGGCTTTCATTCCTTTCTGGCTTTAGATTCCATTGTCTTTTAAGTAAAACTTGGGTTCATTAATTTGTTTAAGCAGTGCCCTAGTAGCTACAGAAGCTGATAGTAAAAATCCTAACTATAATGGCAACACATGTGCCAAGCACTGCTTATACATTACATGTATTAACTCTTTATCCTCAAAACAATCTCATGAGGTAGATGGTACCATAATCCATAGTTCCTAGATAGGAAAACTGAGGCACAGAGATTCTAAATTCACTCCAGGTCACAAAACTAGGAGACCACCAAGCTTTGCTGCCTCCAAGTGATTAGACAGCTAGATCTGCTCTGATGACCTAACATTAGAGTCCTTGTACCTTCTGCAGAGATCTTCCTTAGAACAGTGCTTCTCATACAAATGTTGGTACCAACCATCGGAACATCAAGCTCCCAGGTAAGGCGACTGCTGCCAGTCTCTGCATCACATGCTGAGTAGCAAGGTCTTAGGGCTCTCTCCTTCCCATCTTGTAATTTGACAGTTAGATGCCTCAGTGCGTAAGAACTTAAGAATCCAACAATTTCTCCTTTTCTGACACACAACCTCATGTGGAAACTTAGTTGGCAGTAGCACTGTGTCCTTATAGTCAGGATACCCCTTGGGCAAGGAACTTGGTAACTGAATGCTCAATGCTGAACATGCACCTAATTTTGAGGCTTCACTGGGTGCCATGAAGCAAGACTGATTTGAAAACAGCACTTACGGGATCTGACTGCATACATGCAGAGTCAGAATAATTTGGCCTGCAGCCAAAATGAGCTGGGCCACAAACAGACTTAAAAAAAATTAACTCATTTTTGTAAAGTCCCATTAAATGGATATGCAAATGGAAGTGCAGGGAGACAAAATGTGACCCTTGCTAGCAGAGAGTCTATTAGCAGAAGGCTGGTGTGTCAGTTTGGGACACATTCCATAAACCTCTGAGAAGTTAAACTTCCCCCTCAGAATTTGGAGGCCTGAGCTATACACAGCACTGAGCAGGCCACTGCTAGGATGCCTGAGGATCCTGCAGCACAGAGGCAGCTCTAATGCATCTATCCAGCTAAGCTGCACAGGCTTGCTGGATGCCCTGACAACTCGCAAGTAGCACTGCAGCTCCAAGGCTTGCTGCCTAAGTTGCTGGGAGGTGGCTGTAGAGAACACCTGAAGATGGCCTCCAGTCCCTAACACGAATGCACACCCTGTGGCATCAAGTACCACACGCATTCATCTGAGAAAGATGCTGCTCTGAGTACAGAAGCACTGCCACCTTCCAAGCTCTGAGTCTGGCAAAGAAAGAAACGGGTAAAGCCAGTGGTAGATTCAAGCCATGGAGCTAATCTAAGGTGAAGTGGGACCCTGAAGTACTATGTGAAAATGAATTTAAACTGCCCCCTAAAGCCCTCTCCCCAACCCCTCCACTGAATGACACAGATCCAGGTAAAACCACTTCTCCAGTGGAGAAACTGTGCAATAAAAAAAGGAAAGTTGCAGCAAGACCTACATCCAGGAATGGCCATGTGACTCAAGACAGACATCAGTTTATGCTACCAACAGCGCTATGCATTGGGAGAGGCTGACCTAGAACTGTATGGATGCCCAATCCCTAGAGAACCTACGTTCGCCCCAACCAAGGGCAGGTCATGGAGGCTGTGGGGTCTACACCGACTCATGAATTGGCTGGGCTGATGAGCACACCTGGCCACCCATCTGCTTTGGAGTCCACGCGCTTCCACTGGACCTTGGATTATCTCTTCTCCAGCAGGGCAGGATGGGTGGTGGGAGGTGGAAGGGCAGTGACCACTACTGTCAATCCTGGAGAGGCACTGGCTTCACAGTGAAAGTTAATAAGGCCCTGAGGCTCCCCAAGATTCTAAAATAAAAAGATTAACCACTGGTTGTTGTTCCTTTTTTTGTTTTGAGACAGTTTCACTCATGTCACCCAGGCTGGAGTGCAGTGGCGTGATCTTGGCTCACCACAACCTCCTCCTCCCAGCTTCAAGCGATTCTCCTGCCTCAGCCCCCGAGTAGCTGGGATTACCGGCGACCGCCACCACACACGGCCTAGGACAGAACATATTTATCTGATAAAAAGAACAACTAGGCCGGGAGCAGTGGCTCACGCCTGTAATCCCAGCACTTTGGGAGGCCAAGGTCGGCGAATCACCTGAGGTCAGGAGTTAAGAGACCAGCCTGGCCAACATGGTAAAACCCGTCTCTACTAAAAATACAAAAAAAGTAGCCGGGCGTGGTGGCAGTCGCCTGTAATCCCAGCTACTAGGGGGCAGAGGCAGGAGAATCGCTTGAAGCTGGGAGGCAGAGGTTGCAGTGAGCTGAGATCGCGCCACTGCCTGGGCACTCTAGCCTGGGCGACATGAGTGAAACTCCGTCTCCAAAAAAAAAAAAAAAGTCCTGTCCTTAAAGAGGTATTTACCCAGAAATGATCAAAGTGCTTTAAGCACATTTCTAAATAAAGGATGATTAAGTGTGGGGTGAGAAGTCATTAATTGGGCCTGAAGGGTCAGGAATTGGATTTCTGGTTACTCTGTCCTAAAATCCTGACTTGGGTTACTGGTATAATCTGCTTTAGGGTGGATTCTCAGCAGAATGGAAAGGCAAATGGGACTTGGAGAGAAAATGGCCTTGAAGCAGTCTCTGTTGCCCTGAAAATCACTTTTCATTTCCAAAACATCACAACTTCCTTTTACTGAAGATCTCTTTAAGATCCAGAAGCAAATAAACACCATATTCTTAAACAGCACAGGTTTCCCAATGTCAGTTATAATATCTGGCCAGGCATGGTGGGTAACACCCATAATCCCAGCACTCTGGGAGGCCAAAGCAGGAGGATCACCTGTAGCCAGGAGTTTGAGACCAACCTGGTGAGGTAGGAGGACTTCTCAAGCCCAGGAGTTCAAGGCTGCAGTGAGCTATGACTGTGCCACTGCACTCCAGCCAGGGTGACAGAGCAAGACCTTGTCTCAACAACAATAAAAAATAATATCTTAGAGATATTATATTTAATGATATACTCCTGTTTCTATTTTAAACAGGGGATTAACAAGACTCTTATCTATGTTCTAAACAAACAAAGACCAAAGACCATTCACTGCCAGGTCTGAGTTCCCCTCTAACGTCATGACTAGGAAACTTGTACACTGATGTTTTTTCTGAAGTTCTGTCTGAACAAAGGCATGGTTCCCCATTCCGTTTTTGGCCTGATTCTTGATGCTGGCACCTAGGCAGAGAATTCAACTTTCCAATGCTAAATGGGAAAAGGCCATTGTGATTCCCTCTTTTTTAAATGAAACAAGAACTTAGAATTTAGGAAGTAAAACTTAGGGACTTGCCTCTGTCTCTATTTATAGAATCAATATTTAATACTAACTACTCTAAATAAAAATCATGACACTTTACATGGTGACCGCCTGTTTTCCACTCCAAGGCAGAAATAACTGAGAACTCACTCCCCTTCAGCCTCAGACATAATTGATCTTCATGCAGACCAGTCAGTCACCGGAGAGGGAGGGCTCCTGCAGGCCTGAATTCGTCCCTTCTCTAATTTCCCCAGCCACTCTTTGAAGCCAGCAAGCACTGCATGAAGGTTAAGGGAGGCTCCATGCTCCCCTAAGGAAGCTGAAAAGACCTGAGGAAGAGGCTGCTAAATTGTCTTGGGGAAGAGATGGTGAAGCTGAATCACAGCCAGCTTTAGGAAGGACCCTGTAGCACTTTTTATGTTTATGGGTGATTTATATATTGCATAAAGCCCAATGATGTCACACGCCTCTTATGTTTAGAAACAAATTTATATTTTTAGCCCGGTGTGGTGACATGCACCTGTGGTCCTGTCCCAGTTATTAGGGAGGCTGAGGTGAGAGGATCACTTGAACCTAGGAGGCAGAGATTGTAGTGAGCTCAGATTGCACCACTGCACTGCAATCTGGGCAACAGAGTGAGACTCTGTCTCAAAAAAAAAATTACTTCTGAGAATAAAACCCCAAAATAAACAGTTGCATTAAGTGTAGGGTGATAAGTCATTAACTGGGGCCAAAGAGCTGACAGCCTGGGCAAAAGGGCCCTAGCTGGTGACTCTAAATCCTGAAGGGTCAGGAGCTGGATTTCTGGCTACTCGGCCCTAAAATCCTGACTTGAGTTACCAGTGTAATCTGCTTTAGGGTTGATTCTCACCACACTGGAAAGGCAAATGGGACTTGGAGAGAAAATGGCTTGAAACAGTCTCTGCTGCCCTGAAAAATCATTTTTCATTTCCAATTCTATTTCTATCTCAGGGATAACGGGGGAGGGGAAGTTGATAAGACCTGTAGCCATTTTAATTGCTAGATTACTGTGGAGCCATCTGAGTAATCTTAAGGTCTCCAGAAGCCTGCTTCATTTCCTTTGAGAAGAACCAGAGAATCAGAATTGAGGAAAATAAACTCAATGCCATAGGTCCTAGTCACTTATTTTCTCCCACTAAGCCAACACCTCCAGGAAGTACAAAACACAGAGTCACCAAGGCTCTGTAGAAGTTGCAGATGTTATGAAAGAAGATTACCTCCCCAAACACGTTAAGGAAAGCCCAGGGTAACCACGGATGCCCAAGGCTTCCTCCCCTGGTGAAGACACAGCCCAGAGGCCTGGGAAGGAAGGTTAGAAGAGCCCCATGGGTGACAAGATCTCCTCAAGCAACACCACAGCTTCCAGAGCTACAGCTGTGGCAGACCAATGGCGTCCAGTGGGCAGGCCCTGGGGTGTCTCCTCAGGTTGAATACTGGCCTTAGGGAAGGAGCTTCCATTTCTCCCCTGCCTTTCTATCAGACACCAGGAAGTAGAGGTGGAGGACACTGGGAAAGAGGAAATCAGACCAAAAAATGGCCAGAGCTTTCCACCTTTAACAGAAATAAGGTCTGGAATTTGGCACAGGCCTCTTCTGGAGTCTTCAAGGATTTTCAACAGGAACCTATTTGGACAACATTGGGCTAGTTCCCAGGGCTTCTGAGAGCCTTCACTTTTAGAAGTATTACTTCTGGGAGTGGTAAATGAAACCTAGATTGGGTCACAAAGATAAGATGTGGCCAGAAACTCACACTCAGGGGAGAGGTGGGGGCTGGAATCTGGATCAGGGCCTACAACTACCCACTCAGTAACGGGAAAGGACTGACCAGGAGGTTAGACGGAGCCCATCCACTTTCCTTTTTCCACAGGGGACTAAAGCTGGGCTGTCAAACACACAGAAAACGGGAATTCTAATGCCTCTGCCTACATTCAGGCCACAAGTTACAGTCCCAAAGATTGCTTCCAGGCAGCACAATAGTCTGACAGTCAAAGCAAGTGCTACCAAGGGAGGTATAAGTCTGTAAAGAGACTTCAGAGCCCTTTACTGTGCCGCAGTCATTTTGTCAGACTTGAGGATCAGGCAGCTATAGACTCTTACAATGTCAAAGAGTTGACCAAGTTTGGGAGCAAGCAAACTGGATGATTAACTGAGTGAGCCTCAGCAGGGCCCACAGGCTCCCAGTGGAGGAGCATGCCAGGACTGCCTTCAGGGAAGAAAACCTCATTTCAGGCCTCAGTTCTACCTATAGCTTAAGACTAAATAAGTTCTCAACCGTTTTAAAAGATTCTTGGAGATCTTAGGCTGAGTTTCATCATTTTTTTAAAAGTCCAGGCCTTGTTCTATTTTCTGAATCCAAAATGCACTCTTATGTATTGCAGCCATTATTTTCCTGGAGCCCCTGATGTCAGGGAGCATAAAATCCAGATTTCTAGTCAGGACCCCTAAGAGTTTTCAGACTTCCAAAGTTTTGGAGTTCCGTAAGCAGCCAACCAGATGTCTAATACCAGAGGGCCCATCTAGTAAACACCTCTCACCTGGACTGTGGGACTGTCTTATCCACAAACAGGAAGATCGCCTTTTCAGAAGGAAGCTGGATCCTTTTCCTGATGATCCACATGAACTGAGCCACAGTGATATCAGATGGAACCAAGTACTTCCGTTTGTCAATGTCAACAATCTGAGAGCCTGAGACCTTTTCCACAATCACCTGGGAAAGTAAAGAGAGGTCAGGACTGTGTTTCCTAAAGCGAGGCTCTGGCCTCACATGGCTGAGGAGCTGATGAACAGAGTGTGGGCAAGGAGGTGGGTGGGGAACTGCATAGCAGGAGAAAATATGTCTTTGGCTTAATAAACCACACGCTCTGGAGGTTAAGAATTGATATAAATGTGTTACAGGGAAACAGTAAGTGCTTTTCTGTGGTCAATTATGTAAGAGAAATGCAGCCCTTACCACTAAGCTTTTCCACATTTTATCTGGGCAGACCTAAGAATATCTGGGGAGGGTTTCATCCATGGCCCGTTACTCCAGGACCCCAGAATGGATCCACCTTCACACTACAGGAAACACTACTGTGTTCCCAAGGAACACAGGAGACAAGAATGGATGGACTAATTGGAATGCCTGGAATTTTAGCCAGCCAAGAACCAAGTTCTTCATTTGGCCTGTTGCTCCTCTCTGAACAAGTTTCAAATCCGTCCCTCCTACTCCTTTCCCCAGACAAATTATTCACAAGCAAAGAGCTACAATAACAGGCCTTAATGTCCATTAAAAATTAATAACGATTACAAAACTATCTCCCCAACCATGGAAGAAATATAACATTATATTTATTATTGACTAAGAAGAAAATATGGCAGAAGGGGTTTTCAGCGGCTTTTCACATTATTTTGGTCAGGCAAGGATGACAGGGTCAAGGTGAGATAACGGAGCTAGAAGTTAGGTAAAGATGGAGACAAAGTAAAAGATGAACGTCCTGAGACTCAAGTACCACTTCCAAGACCAAAATGACAGTCTCCCTCCACCACCATTCCCAAAAGTGGCAGTGACCTGTTGCCCTGTCCTAGAACATCGTTCCTTACATAATTGGCCAGGGAGCCCCGAGGCTGCAGACGGCTCGCTGGCCTAGATCGGGAGATTCAGCACTGAGGCACCCTGAACAGCACCAGCCCGAGCCCCTCACGCCCCGGCCCTGGGCGGCCTCATCCCGGTCTGGCCCGTCAGCTACTGTAACTGGGACTGGAACCTCAACTTGTCAACTGTTGAATGGCCTGGGGCCTATCACGGGTCCCAGACGACAGAGGTGACAGCGAGGTGAGGGGGCGGAGAGTCCACTCACCGGAACCCTGTCGGGATATTTCGCTCGAATCTTCGCGGACTCCACGCATCTGTGTTCTGTGGGAGAAACAAACGGGGCTGACGGCCGCGCCTGCCCACCGGTCGGTTCCCGGCCCCCGGCCCTCCTCCTCCTGCGCCCTGCGTACAACCCAGGCCCTGGTTCCGGCGTCCCCGGGGCCGCGGTCCTGTCCCCTACTAGCTCCCAGCAAGGCCCGCGGAGGGTGACATGGGGTCAGGGGGCCGCTGCCCGAGGCACCAGGGCATGGGCGACTCCAGCCCGCAGCAGGGCATCCGCCCCGCTCCACTCGGCCCAGGGCCGCCCGAGTGGGGGAGGGGGCCCACCCGCCGCCCCAGCCCCCAGCAGCCGGGCCGACGACCAAGTGCTTACCCAGCGAGTGGTCCTCCTTGAACATCCACTTCATGGCGGCGGCGGGAAGGGGACGGAACCGGCTCGCGGAGCCGCGGAGCTCAGCGCACCGAGCACAACAACAACGACGGCGGCAGCGGCAGCGGCAGCGACGGCGGCGACTACACGGCAGGCGGGACTTCCGGCTGTCGGAGCCTAGCAACCGGCCGGGGGCGGGGCTTCCGGCGCCATTTGTCAGGGCGCCACGCCAAGGGGCGGGGCCGCACGTAAAGGGGCGGGGCCGCGGAGGACCCCTTTGGGGGCTCCTGGGCTGCGGTGGCGAAGAAGTTGGTTATGGGGACGTCTGTGAGCAGTATCTGCGACATTGCTCGCAGGAATGTTCGGGGAACTGGTGACAGGAGTGGGGTCTCGGGAGCGTTGGTGGCGGAAAACGTCTGGCTGATAGTGTAGGGCTCTTACTGAGGGCTGTTTGGGGGTGTGGCTGATAGCTGAGGGCTCTTAGAGCGGTTCATAGGGGAAGTCTGGGGAATTGGTGACAAGAACGGTCTTTAGGGGTAAGAATGACATAAGGAGGGCTTTCTAGAGCTTGGCGATAACAAGGGAGCTGTTTAGGGCGTTGACAGTTTGGGGAGTATTGCTCGGAGTGGTGACAGGTTGGGGGCTCATTATGGGAGGGGAGGGTGTTTGAGGACACTGTTGGAAGCGGCACTGAGGACAACCCGGAGGTCCGTATTAGGGACAGCCGTAGTAGGTTGTCTTGGACCTAGAAATTGAATTTAAACAAATCCCGTTTTCTTCCTTTATTCGTGAATAAATATTTGAATAAACATTTACGAAAAGGTATCACAAATGCACATTTGAGGCGGGGTACGGTGGCTCACGCCTGTAATCCCAACACTTTGGGAGGCCGACGCGGGTGGATCACCTGAGGTCAGGAGTTGAAGACCAGCCTGGCCAACATGGTGAAACCCCGTCTCTACTAAAAATACAAAAATTAGCCAGGCATGGTAGTGGGCGCCTGTAGTCCCAGCTCCTCGGGAGGCTGAGGCAGGAGAATCGTTTGAACCAGGGAGGTGGAGGTGGCAGTGAGCCGAGATCACACCACTGCACTCCAGCCTGGGCAACAGAGCAAGACTCCGCCTCAAAAAAAAATGCACATTTGAGGAGTGTAACATCACTGATCACAGACCCCTTAATTTTAACTGGCAGAGGAGTTAGAGGTGACTGTCAGACTCGGAGAATTCCCCTGAGAGCTGGTCATGAGATGGGTTTCCTTATTTGGCTGTGGGAGTGGTTTAGCAATCACAGCCTGAGCTGTGTGTGTGTCACCTGCCCGGACATATGCTTTGAGGTTCTCCAATCAGTGATGTAATGCCTTTTTTCCAAGCAGACTCATCAAGGCAGTCTGGTCTGGGTCACCATCTGTTTATAAGCTGCTGAACATGTAGCAGGAATATTCACTTAATTGGGCACATGAACCCTGCCACGTGCTTGTGATTCTGATGCACCTGTAAAGCCTGTATGTTTGAATGTGGTAGTTCATCATTTCCTACACTGGAAATTCCTGATCGATGCTGTGGAATCTAGCTTCATTCTATAAGTATTTTTGTTATTTTAAGACTGTGTGTCTGAGTAACTAGAATAGGTTTTTTTGTTTCTTTGTTTTTGTTTTTGTTTTTTGGAGACAGGGTCTTTCTCTGTCACCCAGGCTGGAGTTCAGTGGCACAATCTTGGCTTACTGCAGTCTGCCTCCTGGGTTCAAGCGATTCTGCTGCCTCAGCCTCCTGAGTAGCTGGGACTACAGGGACACACCACCACACCCAGCTAATTTTTGTATTTTTGGTAGAGATGGGGTTTTGTCATGTTCGCCAGGCTGGTCTTGAACTTCTCACCTCAAGTAAGTGATTTGCCCGCCTCGGCCTCCCAAAGTGCTAGGATTACAGGTGTGAGCCACTGCATCTGTTTGTTTGTTTTTAATGAAGTGGAAAAAATCCTTTGAATTTCCTACTTAGAAATTATTGTTACATACAAGAGCTCTGTGCTAGGTGCTGGGGAAAAACAGTGAAGAAGACAGATGACATCCCTATTCTCATGGGTGGCAGCATGAGATATTCTTGTCCCCCTGACATATTCTAGTGGGATAAGACAAAAAATAAGTATGTTAGGTAATGATAGGTGCTATTTCGAAAAATAAAGCACAGTAGGTGACTAGAGAGTGTGGTGGGATGGAATGCTAATTAGATAAAGTGCCTGGCATATTCTAGGGAACCCCTGTGGCTGGAGCTGAATAAATGAGAGAGGAGAGTGTGTTATGAGACAAATTCAAAGATATCTAGAACAAAACTGTGTTGAGCTTTGAATTCCATGCAAAGAGCTTTGGATTTTATTTAGAATGAGATGAGAAGTCAGTGTAGGGGTTTAAGCAGAGACGTAACACAATCTGCCTTTCCTTTTCAAAAGGCTAGCTTAGTAGACTGTAGGCGCTGAGGGTGGAAGCAGGGAAATAGTTGAGACACTATTGTGATAATCCTGGTGAAAGATGATGTTGGCTTTGGCCAAGGTGGGGTCTACAGAGGTGATGGGAAGCAGTTGTATTCTGGATATATTTCGAAGGTAAAACTGGTAACAGTTGCTGATAGATTGGATGTAAGACATGAGGGACAGATCAAAATCAAGGTTTTTGGAAGGATGGAATTGCCATTTACTGAAATAGGGTGGAGCCAGCTTGGGGAGTGAAAAACAAGAGTTTGGTTTTTGAGATATTAAATATGAGATGTCCAAGGGACATACACAAGTGAAGATGTAGAGTTGGTGAATGGTGCTATGAGTCTCAAATTTAGAGAGAAATATTTCAAGCTATTAAACTGGGTAAGATTAGGTAGACAGTGAGTTTAAAAATGAAAATACTTGGCCGGGTGCAGTGGCATATGCCTGTAATCCCAGCACTTTGGGAGGCCGAGGCAGGTGGATCACCTGAAGTCAGGAGTTCATGACCAGCCTGACTAACGTGTTGAAACCCCGTCTCTGCTAAATACAAAACAATTAGCCAGGTATGGTGGCACATGCCTGTAATCGCAGCTACTTGGGAGGCTGAGACAGGAGAATTGCTTTTACTTAGGAGGCAGAGGTTGCAGTGAGCTGAGATCGCGCCACTCCACTCCAGCCTGGGCAACAAGAGCGAAACTCCGTCTCAAAAAAAGAAAATACCTATTTTACAAATAGAATTAAACACTGAAGAATGAAGATGGTTGTTCACCATCTCCTAGTCAGTGAACCAGTGGAGGAGTTAGAAATTGGACTCAACACCCCTGCTTCCCTTTACAGAGCTGGTCATTGCATCCTAGTCCAAAATATATGTATATTGTCTTGCATGTGAAAGAGCTGAGAACACTTCTTAGGGGAAAATTTCACTGCACACCAATTCATAGACATGTCTTTTGATGGTCTCAATGATGTGCAATGCATTTTGGTCTTCCATCCTTACCTACTTTCTTGGTGTGTTTTCCCAGTTCACCATTCTAATTGACTTATTTCATCCACCTTGATGATATGTACCACCTTCTTTACATATTGGGTCATTGTATTTAGCTATGGAATGTTCTAAGGACACTGGATGCCTTCCTTGAGGGAGTGGTTAGTTAAGGACGTAAGTCAGGAGGAGAAATAGGATAATGAATATATGCAACGTAATTACACATTAACAAATCTATAAAACACAGAGAATGAATTTCAAATGTTGGAGAGGTATGTGAACATGGATACTGAGGCATTGCTAGGGCAATAGGGGCCAGCACAAAGCCAAGTGAGAATTAGCAAGGAAGACTTCACAGAGAATGTGAATCTTCTGTTGTAGAGAGAAGGGTACATTTTCATTGGGTAAACTTTTCCTTTCCAGATAAAAACAAAGGCTGGGGTTGGAAGAGGGAACAGAAAAGCAGTATAGATAAGTAAATAAAATGTTGGAAAGCTTTGAAGCAAACATTCAGAAGTTCTAACCTAATTCAGGAGACCCTGAATAAGAGCTCCTATAAAGGAGAGAAGAACATGATTAAAATGTGCAATTTGGGGCTGGGTGCAGTGGCTCATGCCTGTAATCCCAGCACTCTGGGAGGCCGAGGCAGGTGGATCACCTCAGGCCAGGAGTTCTAGACCAGACTGGCCAACATGGTGAAACCCCGTCTTTACTGAAAATACAAAAATTAGCCAGGCATGGTGGCACGCACCTGTGGTCCCAGCTACTCAGGAGGCTGCAGGCATGAGAATCGCCTGAGCCCAGGAGGTGGAGGTTGCAGTGAGCCAAGATAGTGCCACTGCACTCCAGCCTGAGCGACAGGGTGAGACTCCATCTCAAGAAAAAAAAAATGTGGCCAGGTGCGGTGGCTCACGCCTGTAATCCCAGCACTTTAGGAGGCCAAGGCAGGCGGATCATGAGGTCAGGAGTTCGAGACCAGCCTGACCAATAAGGTGAAACCCCGTCTCTACTAAAAATACAAAAAAAAAAAAAAAAATTCACCAGGCGTGGTGGTGAGCGCCTGTAATCCCAGCTACTCAGGAGGCTGAGGCAGGAGAATCGCTTGAACCCGGGAGGCGGAGGTTGCAGTGAGCCGAGATCGCCCCACTGCACTCCAGCCTGGGCTACAGAACAAGACTCCATCTCAAAAAAAAAAAAAAAAAAAAAGTGCAGTTTTAAGAGGATGACTCTTTTTGTCCTCAGAAATAAATTGTATGAAAAACAAGAACATTGTGGAAGTGGAAACTGAGAAGTCAGTTATCAGTCATGGGTGTATGGAAATGACACATATACACAGATCTTTAACATTTTTAAATCTATACTTTCTCTTAAAGAATTGAAATAAAACTACAAAACGAGCTTTCTCAAACCATGGAAGCAAAGAGTAAATAGTATCCATTATTACTAAATACTTTTGCAAAGTTCATGGCATCTCAGGGAAGGCTGAAGCACTTGGTACACCTAAATTCTTAGTAGTCACCTCCTTCTGTTTCAGGAGTGACTTTGGTACAGTATCTGTTTCCTTCCATTGAAAGAAGGAGCTTTGGAGGCAAACACTTCCTTCCTCACAGGATAGTGACTCTCAGGAGTCGACCCTAGATCCATCTATTCCAGAAGACCCCTGTGGTTATATAAATAAATGAAAGTCGGCTGGGCGTGGTGGCTCACGTTTGTAATCCCAGCACTTTGGGAGGCCGAGGTGGGCGAATCATGAGGTCAGGAGTTTGAGACCAGCCTGGCCAACATGGTGAAACCCCATCTCTACTAAAAATACAAAAAATTAGCTGGGCGTGGTGGCAGGTGCCTGTAATCCGAGCTACTCAGGAGGCTGAGAGAGGAGAATCGCTTGAACCTGGGAGGCTGAGGTTGCAGTGAGCCGAGATCACACCATTGCACTCCAGCCTGGGCAACAACAGTGAAACTCTCTCTCTCAAAAAAAGAAAGTCATCCACTTAAAGCATAGATATAGTGTGTCAGAATCAAACCATAGATTTAACCTTAACAATTGCTATATTTAAGAACTATGTTGAGGCTCAGTGTGGTGGTCCCAGCACTTCAGGAGGCCGAGGCAGGTGGATCTCTTAAGCCCCAGAATATGAGATCAACCTGCTAGCCTGGGCAACATGGCGAAATCCCATCTCCACCAAAAAAACAAAAACGAACAAAAACCTATGTTGAGGCCAGATACAGTGGCTCACACCCGTAATCCCAGCACTTTGGGATTACTCAAGAAGGATACTTGAGCCCAGGAGTTGGAGACCAGCCTGGGCAACATGACAAGACTTTGTCACTTAAAAACAAAATTTTTTTTTAGATGGAAGCGCCTAGGCTGGAGTGCAGTGGCACGATCTCAGCTCGCTGCAACCTCTACCTCCCGGGTTCAAGTGATTGTCCTGCCTCAGCCAAAAATTTTTTTAAAAATTAGCCGGGAATAGTGGCCTCAGCTATTCAGGAGGCTGAGGCAGGACAAGTACTTGAGCCCAGGAGGTAGACAGAGGGAGACCCTGTATAAAAACAACAACAACAACAAACTACATTGCCACCCCAGAAAAGCTTTTAATCAAGAACAAGTAGTATTGAACCTGATATTTCAAAAGCATTTTGTGGCTGATGACGTTGTCGTCTTGGACTGTAGTAAGGACCCTAGGATGGTTTTCCCAAATGGGCAGTCTTGACCTCTCTATTAAGTCTGTGATGTTAGGATGTCAGCTGTTCTCTTCATCTAAAAGCCACTTCGAGGTTGCTTTCAAAGTAGTGGGAGTAACTACTGGACTCCACCCAGCACAAACCTCACGCCATCTCCTGACACTGCAATGTGATCCTTCAGGGCTTTTTTTTTTTTTTCCCTTTCTTCAGACAGTCTCGCTCTCGCTCTGTCACCCAGGCTAGAGTGCAGTAGTGCAGTCACTGCTTACTGCAACCTCTAACTCTTGGGCTCAAGCAATCCTCCTTTCTTAGCATCCCAAAGTGTTACTGGAAAGGGGTCCCAATCCAGATCCCAAGAAAGGGTTCCTGGCTCTCAACACAGGAAAGAATTTGGGGCAAGTCCACAGAGTAAAAAAAAATGGCTACTCCATAGACAGAGCAGCAGTATGGGCTACTCGACTGAGTAAATTTATAGTTATTTCTTGATCCATATGGTAAACAAAGGGTAGATTATTCCTGACTTTTCCAGGAAAGGGGCAGAGATTTCCCCAGAACTGAGGGTCCCTCCCCTTTTTAGACTATATAGGGTAACTTCCGGACATTGCCGTGGCATTTGTAAATTGTCATGGCACCAGTGGGAGTATCGTTTAGCATGCCAATGCATTACAATGAGCAGATCATGAGCAGTGAGGACGACCAGAGGTCACACTCAAGGCCATCTTGGTTTTGGTGGCTTTTGACTGGCTTTTTTTCTTTTTTCTTTCTTTTTTTTTTTTTTCTCTGAGACAGAGTTTCGTTCTTATCACCCAGGCTGGAGTGCAATGGCGTGATCTCGGCTCACTACAACCTCCGCCTCCCGGGTTCAACTGATTCTCCCTCCTCAGCCTCCAGAGTAGCTGAGACTACAGGTGCCCGCCACCATGCCCAGCTAATTTTTGTATTTTTAGTAGAGACAGGGTTCCAGGCATGAGCCACCATGCCCGGCCTTGGCTGGCTTCTTTTTAACTGCATCCTGTTTTATCCACAGGGTCTCTGTAACCTGTATCTTGTGCCATCCTTCTAGCTCATACTGTGACTAAGAATGCCTTACCTCCTGGGAAGACAGCTCAGTAGGTCCCAGCCTTATTTTACTTAGCCCCTATTCGAGATGGAGTTGCTTTGGTTCAAACACCTCTGACAAAAGTGCTAAGATGAGCCACTTCACCCAGCCTCAACAGCCTCTTGACTGGTCTCCCTGACTTCTGTTTTTCCTCACCCCTCACTCAATGACCCCATCCTGGTATACTGTAAACCTAAAATAAAATTCTAAGCTCCCAACCATCTGAATGGAACCCTTGTCTCAGCCAAGGGCATTCCAAAGTTAACCTGAAAAACTAGTCTGGCCATCATGGGAAGTGGGGAGTCAGACGTAACTCATTATACCCTCCTCTTTTTGGAATTCAGACCCAGCTGACCAGTATTAGCATCAACACATAGATCTTAAGACTGATATTAATAGAACAGACTCTTAAAGTCTGATAAGAAACATTTACAATCTGTTCTCTCTGAAGCCTGGAGGCTTCATCTGCATGATAAAACATTAGACTCCACAACCCCTTATTGTTTTTTGTTTTTGTTTTTTTTTTGAAATGGAGTCTCACTTTGTCACCCAGGCTGAAGTGCAGTGGTATGATCTCGGCTCACTGCAGCTGCTGCCTCCCGGGTTAAAGCAATTCTCCTGCCTCAGCCTCCCAAGTAGCTGGGATTACAGGTGGACACCGCCAGATGCAGCTAATGTTTTTTTTTTTAATACATATTTTTGGTAGAGACAGGGTTTCACCATGTTGGCCAGGCTGGTCTTGAACTCCTGACCTCAAGTGATCTGCCTGCCTTGGCCTCCCAAAGTGTTGGGATTACAGGCGTGAGCCACTGTGCCCCGCCCACAAACCCACACATTCCTTTCTATTGATTCCAGGTCTTTAGATAATAACCAGTTGACAATTGGAAAAATCTCTGAATCTGCCAATTCTGTGGTCTGGAAGCCCCACCCCACCTCCACTTGTCTCATCTTTCAGTACTGAACCAATGTACATCTTACACGTATTGATTGATGTCTTATGTCTCCCTAAATGTATAAACTCAAGTTATACCCTATCCACCTTGGGCGTATGTCATCAGGACCTCCTGAGGCTGTGTCACAGGCATGTCCTTAACCTTGGCAAAATAAATTTCTACGTTGATTGAGACTTGTCTCAGATACATTTTGGTTTACACTACTGACATGCTGTCATTAGAGTGACTTTTCCAAATCACAAAGCTTATCATGTCTTTCCACTTAAATGTCATTTTACTGACCCTTTAACAAATTTACTTATATTTAAATATTTTGTATTTATTTTTTTAGAGACAAGGTCTCCTTCTGTCTCCCAGCCTGGAGTGCAGTAGTGCATTCATGGCTCACTGCAGCCTCCTGGGCTCAAGCCTTCCTCCTGCCCAGGCCTCCCGAGTAGCTGGACCTACAGGCATGAGCCACTGTGCTCAGCCACTCAGGACCTTTTTGTTGTTGTTGTTGTTGTTTGAGATGGAGTCTCGCTGCCACCCAGGCTGGAGTCCAATGTGTGATCTCCGCTCACTGTAATCTGTGCCTCCCGGGTTCAAGCGATTCTCCTGCCTCAGCCTCCAGAGTAGCTGGGATTACAGGTGCCCATCACCATGCCTGGCTAATTTTTGTATTTTTAGTAGAGATGAGGGTTCACCATGTTGGCCAGGCTGGTCTTGAACCCCTGACCTCAGGTGATCCGCCCACCTTGGCCTCCCAAAGTGTTGGGATTACAGGCGTGAGCCACCGTGCCCAGCCATTCAGGGCCATTTGATGAAGAAATTGGCTGTGGACCATAGATTTTTTTAAAAAGTCCTTCTACCATGTTAGAAATATTGGTTGGGGGTGGTGGCGGGGGGGTGTAGGCATTCAATTAAGCAATAAGCCAGTGATCTTTGGGGAGGACCATATATTCCTGTAAAACTCGCGGCTGAGCTGTACCCAACACAGGGTTAACGAAGTGCATCAGAGCTTTGTAGTAATTCCACTCTATCCGTGGAAGAGCCAGGGGATTTGTGTTTCCGTGTCTGTCTTGCATGGGAGCATAGTGGAAGCAACAGAAAATCTGGGGGCAAAAGCACCTGGCTTTGATCTCAGCCCAGGACCAGGTCCAGGACCACGGCCAGGCTTGTGACTGACTGGACTTCAGTAGGAACCACACTGGGGGTTAACAGATGACACAAAAGCAGGTGTTCGTTCTGTGCGGGAGACGCGCTAGGGGAGAAGAAAAGGCACACACACAGTACCTTTAAGGGTAAGCAAGCTTTATCCCACGTAAATGGCAATGCAGATATTATAATAAGCAAATTAATATAATAAGCAGATTGATATAATAAGCAAATTGCAATGGGAAGAGGAGAAGGAAAAAGACATATATATATATATATTTACACTCACCAGACTATGGAGGATTCACCTCCAGACTGGGAAGCAACGACCTGGGCTCCAGAGCCGGCCACTCGTCAGTGCACAGACGAGGAGAGGTCTCATGAAGCTTTTTGGCGTGGTCTGGGACCCTAGATCTTTTTGTAACATGTTGTCTAGCATGAGGCCCAGTCACGAGGGCCCTTTGCGACTGGGCTCAAGGAACACAAAAAGGTCAACTTGTTTTTGCGATTGTTGTTTTTCAATAACTGACGTATAGGAGTAGACTGAAATAGAGATTTCTCCGAAACAGCGCTGGATGAACGCCTCAAGGGGCTCCCACAACCTGTTTAGGGACTTGGTGACCATTGTTTGTGTCCATGTCAGTTGAAATTTAAATATTTAGTTCTTCCTCCTCAGTGTTCAAGTCAACTTTTATGGGCATCTTATTTTACACAAATGTTAACACAGACAACAGCCACGACTCTGGTCCACGGAAACGTTCTATCGCCGCCCAGCCTTTACGCAAACGTACACAGCTCGAAAAGCTAGGCCGACCGTCCCCGGCAGCGCCACGCCCGCTAACCCCGCCCCCGCCACTGGCTCCTTTCGGTGCGGCCTTGCTATTGGCTCCTTTCTGTGAGCCGTCGGTTGCCGTGGAGACCGAGGCGATGGCAACCAGGAGAAGCCAAACTTGGTCCCCCGGCTCGCGGAGTGCCTGCGAGCGGTGCTCATGGCGCTCTATGAGCTCTTCTCTCACCCGGTCGAGCGCAGTTACCGCGCGGGGCTCTGCTCCAAAGCCGCGCTGTTCCTGCTGCTGGCCGCTGCGCTCACGTACATCCCGCCGCTGCTGGTGGCCTTCCGGAGCCACGGTGAGCCTGCCCCGGCCGCTGTGCCACGAGGCTCCCCGGGCGCGCTCGGCCAGGGCCGGCCTCCCTAACCGCCTCCCTACCGCCCTCTTTAACTCAGGGTTTTGGCTGAAGCGGAGCAGCTACGAGGAGCAGCCGACCGTGCGCTTCCAACACCAGGTGCTGCTCGTGGCCCTGCTCGGACCCGAAAGCGACGGGTTCCTCGCCTGGAGCACGTTCCCCGCCTTCAACCGGCTGCAAGGGGATCGCCTGCGCGTCCCGCTCGTTTCGGTGCGTGGTTCCCGCCTGGGCCTGGGGCAGAGTCGGGGATAGGGTGGGGATGGGGACTGGAATGAGGATGTGGGGCGAGCGGCCCCGGCCCTGGGGAGCCCAGCTTTGATCCTAAGGACTCGCGAACCCGCAAAGGTGGCGTTTCATCTCCTAGGACCTAGGGAATCGATCTTCTGTTTCATTCTGCTTCTCCCAGATGTCCCCGGCCCCCAGAAAGTTAGCCATGCTGTCAGCGTGTGCGCCCTGACACAGAGTCCAGAAGTGTGGGGGCAGCCTGTGTCTGCCCGGGTCACACCCGCGGGCCTGGCCTGATGGAGGGTGTTTGTGAAAGTCCATTTAGGAGCCTGGAAGGCCGCGCGCTGTTAATGTAGATAACCCCATTCTGTCGCGGCGTTTCTGCATCACACCACTATAGGAACGGAAAGGGCAGCATTTTTATGCAGACCTGACCCCTGGAAACCAAGGCGCTGATTGGTTAAGCGGCCTTCCCAGAACGCGCTGTGGCCGAGTCACGCCTCCCTGGGTTTGTCCCATTGGAGACTGCGCCATCCTGAAGCTGTCGGGATGAAATGGAAGCATGTTACTGTCTGTAATTTATTTATTTATTTTTAAATTTTTTCACCAGTAGAGCGCTGAGAGGAATCTGTAATTTAGTATTTGCTTTGAGATAAGCGAATGCTTCCTTTGTAGTCACTCCTTTTCACTCATTTTCTGAAAACGTTTTCCTTTAGAAGTATGAAACTTCTGGTTTTCCTTCTTTCAAATTCGAATCTCTTCAGACATATCTAAGATGATTGCCCTACAAGCCAACCTTGTATAGCTGAGGAGAAAAGAAAATCAGACTTGTTCCCAGCAACTAAATAAAATTGTTTTTAAAAATCCGATTGGTCGTATAAATAACTGCAAAAAAAATAGTAATAGGTTGATGCAAAAGTCATTGCGGCTTTTGCCATTAAAAGTAATGACAAAAAACCGGAATTACTTTTGCACCAACCTAATATGATTCAGGTTACTTTTCTCCTATTACTTTATAAATGTTCTTATATTCTGATTACAAAAGTGCATGCTCATTCTAAAATATGATAGAGTTACAGGTAGATATAATGACAGAAATTGAAGGCTCAGTTTTGTATATGTATCAATACTTATTAATCAGCTGTATTCTTTTTGAGGTTTGCTTTGACTTTTTCACTATTAGGGACAACATTTCTTTTTTTCTTTTCTTTTTTCTTTTCTTTTCTTTTTTTTTTTTTTTTTTGAGACACAGTCTTGTTCTGTTGCCCAGGCTGGAGTGCAGTGCTGCAATTCTCTGCTCACTGCAACTCTGCCTCCTGGGTTCAAGCAATTCTCGTGCCTTAGCCTCCCGAGTAGCTGGGATTACAGGCTAATTTTTGGATTTTTAGTAGAGAAGGGGTTTCACTATGTTGGCCAGGCTGGTCTCGAACTCCTGACCTCAGGTGATCCACCCGCCTTGGTCTCCCAAACTGCTGGGATCATAGGTGTCAGCCACTGTGCCCGGCCTAGGGACAATATTTCAATGAACAAGGTTTTGACTAAATCTTATGCCTTTAAACATCAAATTTTGAGGAATTGGAATAGCAGCTCTTTGATGAAATGGTATAAGTACATAGAAAACTAAGCAAATAATTATTAACTGCAGGGAAATGAAAAGTAAGGAAAACTGAGAACCAAAATGTTATCAGAGTTGTGAATAGGATTGACATAGTCTTAATTATATGAACACTGAATGTTTACTAAAAAGAGATTTTAACTCTATTGGGGGTAATGAGAAAGGTATTGGGTATGTGATAGGGGATGGTGGGAGGAATTGGGGGAGAGAAGAAGCTAAATCATCTTTCCTTGTGGGAACTCAATAGAGAATGCCTAAAACTGAGAAACTGAGAATTTTCAATGCAAATGTTATCTCAAGACCTGGAGATACATTTCTAAATGATCAGGTAAATGAGATAAAAATATTTGCCGCCAGAAATGATAGCTCACACCTGTAATCCTAGCACTTTGGAAGGCTGAGGCAGGAGGATTGCTTGAGCCCAGGAGTTCAAGGCCAGTGTGGGCAACATAGCAAGACCCCACATTTCAAAAAAATAAAAAATTAAAAAGAAATAGAGAAGTGGTACAATTTGCCCTAGCTTTTCTTCTTTTCTTTTTTTTTTTTTTTTTTGCAACAGAGTTTCACTCTGTCAGCCAGGCTGGAATGCAGTGGCACAATCTCAGCTCACTGCAACCTCTGCCTTCTGGGTTCAAGCAATCCTCTCGCCTCAGCCTTCCAAGTAGCTGGGACTGCAGGCATGCACCACCACTCCGGGCTAACTTTTTTGTGTTTTTTAGTGGAAACAGGGTTTCACCATGTTGGCCAGGCTGGTCTAGAACTCCTCAACTCTGGTAATACACTCACCTCAGCCTTTCAAAGAGCTGGGATTACAGGTGTGATTACAGGTGTGAGCCACTGCTTTGAAGTGAACAGAGTCTGGACTGGAACTCAGTATTTCTTATGCTATATCTTAAAATCTTAGC
Source organism: Homo sapiens (assembly GCF_000001405.40). Lineage (NCBI taxonomy): Eukaryota > Metazoa > Chordata > Mammalia > Primates > Hominidae > Homo > Homo sapiens. The sequence goes on along the minus strand of NC_000016.10, from coordinate 75,553,268 downwards.
CCTTATTGCAACAAACTACTTTTATTTTCTAACTTTGAACATAGAGCCAGACTGACGTCAGTCTATCCAGGAAACTGTCCAGAAGGCAAAGGAAACAGTGGTTGTTGATTAAGGTTGGACCAAGTGCTGGGAGGTGGCTTTGCAGTGGCTAATTGGGGGAAATGCTGAAGTCACAAACAGCCTTGCTTCTGCTTTGGTCAGCTCATCCTGGACAGCGTCTCTAAGCTCCCTACATGTTTAATGCTTTGGAAGTCTAGTTTTTGTTGTTTTTAATGAGAGAAGAGAAAAGCAGAGTGACTTTTTCCCCCTCAAGCCTCAAGGAGGCTGACATAGCTCTTGAAGGCATGTGTGGACCCAGAGAATACAGGGACTGAAGGTTATAGAAGGATTCCAGAGGATGAGTGGAGAGTACCGTGTTTCTAAGACACCTGTTTCTTCTCATCCCTGAAATCAGTGTCTTCCTGTCTGTGGTTATCAACTGTTGGCAAGGAGGCAGGTATGGCATAGTTCTCATTGCTTACACCTGTGCCGGCATCAAAACATGCAGAAGGGGCATCATTTCTGTGTAAGAGGTAGGTGTTAGAAAAATAAAAATGCAATTAAAAAGAAGGGGCATCAGCAACCTCAGAGGAAACCCCAGAGACAGTAGTAGAACATTTTTTTAACCCCTGAATTGAATGGAGAGCAAGTAAGGGAAAGTTTGAGAGGCTTTTAAAAACAGGAAAGCTCTCCATAATTTCAAAGTCTGCTTAAGGGCCCAGACCAATGGCTTTTAGTTTCTTTTATGAATTGTTTGTTTGTTTGTTTGTTTGTTTTGAGACAGGGTCTCACTCTGTCACCCAGACTGGAGTTCAGTGGCGCAATCTTGGCTCACTGCAGCCTCCGCCCCCCAGGTTCAAGAGATTCTCCTGCCTCAGCCTCCGAAGGAGCTGGATTACAGGCTCCTGCCACTACGCCTGGCTCATTTTTGTATTTTTAGTATAGATGAGGTTTTACCATGTTGGCCAGGCTGGTCTCGAACTCCTGAGCTCAAGTGATCTGCCTGCCTCGGCCTCCCAAAGTGCTGGGACTATAGGCATGAGCCACCATGCCCAGCTGAATTTTTGTTTTTTGTTTTTGTTTTTCTTTTAATGCTGTATCACCAACATGTTTGATGGCACAAAGGACAAAGTTGCATAGAAAAGTATGGGTTGTTGACTGAGTTAAAGTGTTACTCAAAAGGATGAGGATGTAAAGAAGTTTTAGGAATCCCTGAATCAATTTATTTTGCCTATATTTTTCTTTCTTTTCTTTTCTTTTTTTTTTTTGAGATGAAGTCTCACTCTGTTGCCCAGGCTGGAGTGCAGTGGCGCAATCTCTTCTCACTGCAACCTCCGCCTCCTGGGTTCAAGCGATTCTCCTGCCTCAGCCTCATGAGTAGCTGGGATTACAGGCAGGCACCACCACGGCCGGCTGATTTTTGTATTTTTAGTAGAGACGGGATTTCATCATGTTGGTCAGGCTGGTCTCGAACTCCTGACCTCAGGTGATCCACCCACCTCGGCTTCCCAAAGTGCTGGGATTACAGGCGTGAGCCACTGCCCCGACCTATTTTGCTTATATTTTTCTAAGTAAATAAACATATCTGTGTAAATATGTCTAAATCTAAAAGCTCTTTTAGTAACTTTTTAAAAAGTAAGTGATTAGAAAAGTGTCATAGTTTAATTGGAAATGTTTTTCTTTTATCAGTGGTATATAAAATAATGGTTCATTTTATAAGTAATGGTATCTTAGATTGAAATACAAGGCTGAGCACTGTGGCTCATGCCTATAATCTCAGCACTTTGGGAGGCTAGCCCCTTGAGCTCAGGAGTTCCAGACCGCCTAGGCAACATAGTGAGGCCCTACTATAAAAAATTTAAAAATTAGCCAGGGGTAGTGGTGAATGCCTATAGTCCCAGCTACTCAGGAGGCTGAGGTGGGAGGATCACTTGAGCCTGAGAGGTCAAGGCTGCAATGAGCTGTGATCGTGCCACTGCACTCTAGCCTTTTTTGACCCTGTATCAAGAAAAAAAGAAATAGAAAAAAAAAGAAATACAGGTAGAAAGGTGGAAAGGAACCACGAAGTGGCAGTTTCTGCTTTGCTAGAGACCCACAACTGGTGCCAAAGAGTATTTTTAGCTTAAAAAGAAAGGAGCACCCGGTGATGACAAGTATATGGTGAAATAGACACTGGTATAAACTAGGAAATTAACCTTTAATAAAAGAATATGGGCCGGGCGCAGTGGCTCACGCCTGTAATCCCAGCACTTTGGGAGGCCGAGGCGGATGGATCACCTGAGGTAGGGAGTTCTAGACCAGCCTGGCCAACATGGTGAAACCCCGTCTCTACTAAAAACACAAAAATTAGCCGGGTGTGATGGCAGGTTCCTGTAATCCCAGCTGTTTGGGAGGCTGAGGCACGAGAATTGCTTGAACCCGGGAGGCGGAGATTGCAGTGAGCTGAGATTGCACCACCCATACTCCAACCTGGGCAACAGAGCCAGACTGCATCTCAAAAAAAAAAAAAAAAGAATACGACTTAAATGAATGAAATGTACGCAAACAAAACAGAAACCAAACAAAATTCCAACAAACCGTCAGATGCTGGGAATTCCTGACGGGGAAAAAAGTCACACATCAGGATACTCTGGAAACAATGGCACTTGAATTTCTGGCAATTCCTGCAGTCAGGTGGTGTGCTGGTTATGAGGTATTGTCTCAGCTCCAAACCCACCCTCCTACGCTCAGCTTCCAGGTTCCTGCTGAGATGCTGGAAACCACCTTCTTCCCCTGCAGCTTCCTGTTAGGTTCTGCCAGTAGGAGGCATGATGAGCCTTGTTCTGGGAGTGCAGAAAAAAAGAAATGAAACCAGTCACCACTGCCAGGGTGAAGAACCACTGTGGATGCCACAAACAGGGACAACCAGCAAACAGGAAGGAGCAGGACGCCTCTCCTACCGGCTTCAAGGTTCCCTCTAGTGCATGCTTCCTCCAAGCTCAGAGGTCCTGGCCCCATCTGGGCCGCGGTCCCTTCTTGAAGTCTGAGGCTCAGCTCTTCGAGGCCTCTTCCCTGAACCTCTAAGTTCTATCAGTCCCACCCGCTTCCCCTTCTTCTCTAGTCCTAGGTGTGGGAAATGTTCCCTGCAGCTACTATCTCTGTGTTGCTGGGATATCCCCTTTTTACGTCTTCAGTCCTCTAATACCTATGGGACTATTTATTCCCTATGTTAAATTCCCTCTGGCCAGGTGCGGTGGCTCATGCCTGTAATCCCAGCACTTTGGGAGGCTGAGGCGGGCAGATCACCCAAGGTCAGGAGTTTGAGAATAGCCTGGCCAACACGGTGAAACCCCATCTCTACTAAAAATGCAAAAATCAGCTGGGCGTAGTGGCGCACACCTGTAATCCCAGCTAGTCAGGAAGCTGAGGCAGGAGAATCACTCGAACCTGGGAGGTGGAGGTTGCGGTGAGTGGCGATTGTGCCACTGCACTCCAGCCTGGGCAACAGAGTAAGACTTCGTCTCAAAAAAAAAACAAAAAAATTCCCTCTGACTCTGCTCAGTACATGCGTGTGGATTTCATGTGTATCTCTAAAGGGTTATCCTCCTTTAACCATGAGAAATCTTTTCAGTTAGAGTTCTTATGAGCTATTATAGAAGAGCCCTGAATCAGGAGTCAGCAAACCAAGATCCTTGTCCCACAAGGTCCTAGTCCCAATTCTGTCACTGGGTTTCATAACCTCACCCTCAATTTATCTATCCATATACAGGGCATGAGAGTACCCACATCTCTCCTGGGATATGCAGAGGAATCACGTGGGACAATGAATGGATATAAAAATTGTTCCAAAGCCTGTATATACGTTGTAGATATAAGGTGGTGGTGTGATATGTGAATTCTCTTGGCTAAGTACCAGTTGGAGGTTAGATAGCGACCTAGAATTTGTGTTAAAGAAGTAGTAGCCTTTGAATGCCTGCCTTTGTTAGCTATTGCACATATGTTAAACTTACTTTCAACTAAATGGAATTAAATAATTGATTTATTCAGTGGTCCAAGTGATAACAGAGGAGCACAGCCAAACTTCGCCAGCCCCAGGAGGGTGAGAGTCCAGCTTGGTGACAGGTCATTTGTGGGAGACACATCCTTTCCATCGAAACTTCTCTCCCCCCTCTCTCCACCCTGCTCTCCTTCTCACCCACTCTGCCAGATGCATTGATCCCACGGGTACCCAGAGCACATGTACCTGATTAGCCTGGATCCCTCCTCTCTGAGATGTTCCTGCACCCCATCACTTCACTTCCTTCAGGACTCCAACAAGTTGGGTCATCCTGAATATTTAAAAATTTCTGTTAAATTCTTTTTGGGTTTTTTTGTTGTTTGTTTGAGATAGAGTCTTGCTCTGTCACCAGGCTGGAGTGCAGAGGCACGATCTCGGCTCACTGCAACCTCCACCTTCTGGGTTCAAGCGATTCTCCTGCCTCAGCCTCCCTAGTAGCTGGGATTACAGGTGCACGCCACCATGCCTAGCTAATTTTTGTATTTTTAATAGAGGCAGGGTATCGCCATGTTGCCCAGGCTGCTCTCGAACTCCTGAGCCCAAGCAATCCACCCACCTGGGCCTCCCAAAGTGCTGGGATTATAGGCATAAGCCACCACGCCTGGCCAATTTCTGTTAAATTTTACCTTCATTATTCTCTAATTTTAGCCTGCTTCATTTCTGTCAGCGGCACTTGTCACTGTTTTCTACATTGTCCATCGGGAATGTATGCCCCATTAGGATGGGGACTTTGTCTATTTTGTTTACCATTATAGTCTCATTATTTGAAATAGTGCCTGGCGTGTTTCCAAAAAGTACGTAACAGATCAATGAGTGAATTTAACAAGTAGACACTATTGATGGTGTTGTGCCAAATCTGTCCCCCGCGAACTTGGAATGGAAGGATGTGCACAGGCAAGTATACAGACGTAGATGCCTGGTGCTGCTGTTTTTCAGGAAGATTTGTCCAACCTGCTGTCTTCATTTGGAATTTTTAAAATAATTTTAGACATTTTGGTCCTAAAAAGAGGACCAGATTTGAAGTCACCTGATCTCAAATCCTGTCTTCACCATTACTTGCTGTACCTCTGATAAATGCCCTAATCTCACTCATCCTTGATTTTGTCATCTGTGTAATGGGAAAATACCTGTTCTGCCTGCCTGGGGCTTTACATTTATTGTAAAGATCAAAGGAAATGAGCTTTTCCCCCTCCCACAGTGTGTTGGAGTCTGGATTCTTCTGGCAGTTGTCTCCTGGCCACTATCCTCTGTTGCAAGTTGAGAAATGTGCTCTTTTCTTCCTGTCCAACCCTAAAGATCTAGAAGGTGTGGATCCATCACAGAGAGTTACATAAGATTTTCTACCCAGATCCCAATTGAAGAAAATCCACAGGAGACAAGGCAGGCTCTTTTATTTATTTTTTATTTTATTTTTTTGAGATGGAGTCTCGCTCTGTCACCAGGCTGGAGTGCAGTGGCAAGATCTTGGCTCACTGCAACCTCCAACTCCCTGGTTCAAGCGATTCTCCTGCCTCAGCCTCCTGAGTAGCTGGGATTACAGGCACGTGCCACCACTCCCAGCTAATTTTTGTATTTTTAGTAGAGACGGGGTTTCACCATGTTGGCCAGGATGGTCTCGATCTTCTGACCTCATGATCCGCAAGGCAGGCTCTTTTCATCCTACCTATAATGACTAGTCCATCATTGCCTCAGTAACTTGATCATCAGCCCTGGTAGCAGATATCCCTCCCCGAAGCTGATGAAACAGGGCAGAGAGGAAGTATCCAAGAGAAAAGGGAGGGAGGTTTCTCTAAAACAAGACCTAAGAGAAGGAACATTATTGTCTAGAAAGAAAGAAATAATTGAAAGTTTCTGAAAATTGAGATTTCTTCATTTCAAATGACCTTATTATTAGCCTGAAAAAGCACACACACAAAAAATCTCTTCCTTACGTAATAGTAATGGTGGGAATCAAAATGAATCCATAGATGGTGGATCCAGATGGGAATGCTGCTACACGATAGTAGAATTGTTCTGGGAATCCACAGTGGGAAAGGATCAGTTGTAGCAAAAAGATCCAGAGTTGTGCAGAGGGACCATGTCAGCAGTGATCACTTTTCAGTAACCGTGCTTTCCTGATCATCATTTTAGCATCACTGTTTGGCAAGACTGTGGATGGTAGGAGTGGATACCAGTTTTTTTTCACTGCCTACATATGCTTCATAAGCTGTATTTTGTCTTTTTTCCTCTACAGACCTCTGTCTTCTTTCCTTTCATGCCCGTAATTTATCAAATAGATATGGTTTTAATACTTTGCTGATTTGACATAGCTTCCTTTTTCATTTCATTGATTGCTACTAAAAGATGCACAAGGCTTTCAGGTCCTCACACGAATGATGAGATAAGATCCAACATCAAGAATCTGAAGCAAAGACACTCGTGGTTTCAGAATCTATAAACAGAGTTTGGTAAGGCCGGGTGCGGTGGCTCACGCCTATAATCCTAGCACTTTGGGAGCCTGAGGTGGGCGGATCACCCGAGGTCAGGAGTTCAAGATCAGCCTGGCCAACATGGTGAGACCCAGTCTCTACTAAAAATAAAAAAATTAGCTGGGCATGGTGGTGGGCACTTGTAATCCCAGCTCCTCAGGAGGCTGAGGCAGGACAATTCCTTGACCCTGGGAGGCGGAGGTTGTAGTGAGCCGTGATTGCGTCACTGCACTCCAGCCTGGGCGATAGAGTTAGACCCCGGCTCAAAAAAAAACAAAAAAAAATAGAGCTTGGTGATTTTCTGTTGAGTTTGAGTTTGTTGGAGGAATGCATAATGATTAGGATTAGGTGTTTTTCTATTTTAACAAGTTGACTTCTAGAGACATAGAAGACTATTCTGACATGCTACTTAAAATTTCCATACAAATTCAGGCATATTTGTAAAAAAGAAAAAAATATCAGTGCAAAATAAGCAAGATCACATGAGACAACTGAAAGGCACAAATACTATCCAGATGTTTTTTGTTATTGCCCATTTATTTTGGCCAGTGAACATTTGAAAGGCCCAGATATGAAGTTCAGGGACCATGCACTTTGTGTCTCTCCCCAGTATTAATGCACTTACATCTATCTGCTTTTCTCTTTTAGTGGAGGAGATAATGCCTGTTGTGTACAGCAAGACAGTGGGTCATTGTGTATTTACAGAAGTGATGTGGATTCCTCCCAGACTCATTAGTGACCAGGGCTGCTGGGCCTGTTTGGGTTTCCTAGACTAGAGAAGAAGACAGGAACCAGGATGGGAAGACGGACATGTTACATTTTAAGCTGGAGCTTCCCCTGCAGTCCACGGAGCACGTTCTCGGTGTGCAGCTCATCCTGACTTTCTCCTATCGATTACACGTGAGTCAGTCCGCTGGGAGGCTGTCCTCTCCCTTGTGTCTTTTTAGTAGACCAGAGTCCTTCTTCTGATTTCTAGAAGACCCGCACTCTAGCGGGCCCTCTTCCCCATGTAGTTTGGGATTTAACTTAGGCCAATGGAATGGTTTTCACTAGTCATATTAACTGACATGGGCTATTAATAGCTCAGAAGGTTCTAGGCAGTGTTTCCTGCATGGCTACGCTAGGTATGTGAGGGCCTCTTAGGTTTCAGCCAAGACAGGTGACTCTTAGCACCCAGAGCCCTTCAGATCTGATGGCGGTTGGTATTGTTGGTCCTTCTAATGATTTCAGAGGATGGCGACCCTCGTGATGCAGAGCATGGCGTTTCTCCAGTCCTCCTTTCCTGTCCCGGGATCCCAGTTATACGTGAACGGAGACCTGAGGCTGCAGCAGAAGCAGCCGCTGAGCTGTGGTGGCCTAGATGCCCGATACAACGTAAGAGCGCTTCTCATTGTCCAGCTCCTTTGTTTCTCTGTGTTACTGTTCATTAAGTTCTTTAAAGAGGGGAATGAAAAGTAGAAATGTCAGGCCAGGCGCAGTGGCTCATACCTGTAATCCCAGCACTTTGGGAGGCGGAGATGTGCGGATGGATCACTTGAGGTCCGGAGTTTGAAACCAGTCTGGCCAACCTGGTGAAACCCTGTCTCTACTAAAAATACAAAAAATTAGCCAGGCGTGTGGTGCGTGCCTGTAATCCTAGCTACTTGGGAGACTGAGGCAGGAGAATTGCTTGAACCCAGGAGGTGGAGGTTACAGTGAGCTGAGATCTCGCCACTGCACTCCAGCCTGGGCAACAGAGCAAGACTCTGTCTCAAAAAAAAAAAAAAAAAAAAAAAAGAAAAAGAAAAGAAAAGTAGAAATATCATTTCTTTGTGGGTGGCACCAAAGAGGGTCTCTGTAGAATTCTTGCCATGAATTTTTTCAAACTACAGAGAAGGTACACGCATAGTTACACCTAGAAGGGAAGAGAAACAAAATCTGTGTTTGTCGAAGAACTAAATTGCTTATTGCTTTTAGGTCCACGTGGGTGCACACACACACATTGTGTCTTCCATACACACGCTTGGTCACACGCAGGATGTACTCCGAAGGACACTGTAAAATGATGATGTAAAATGTTCATGTAAAGTATTTCAGAAATATTACTAGCCATAGTTTACTGAACTCATAACATATGCCACCCCTGAGTGCAGGCGTTTACCTATATCATCTCCTTTAATCATCATGGCAACCTCTGAGCTGCCTGCATTGTCCTTTCCCCGCACTCCAGCCACTTGTCCCATCACTGCCCCCGCTTGCTCCCTTCCAGCCCCCCTGGCCTTTTTGCTGTTCCTCAAACCCAAGAAGCAGCTGCCACCTCAGGGCTTTTGCTTTTGCCATTTCCTCTGCCAGGCATCCATGTGGCTTATCGGACCATGCCATTCAGGTCCCTGTTCAGATATCCCCAAGCCCAGTCCTTCTCTGACCTGCTTCTACAGTAGCAGCCCCTCCTTCCACCATTCCTCAGCCAGACTCTCCCTCCTGCCGCCTGGCCTACTCAGGATATGTGTTTGTGTGTTTATTTGCTGTCTCCCTCAGCCTTGACAGCAGTGGCATCTCAAATACTATCACATCCGTGCCTAGCACACTGCCTGGCAGATGGTAAGCTCACAGAGATACTTGTTTAAATAATGAACTCATTTTGCAGAAGACGTAACTGGGGCTTAAAGTGATTAATTTTCCCAAAGGCTCAAATCTTGAAAGATAACAGAGCCTGTCTGTGTGCAGAACTCATGCATCTAATCACTCATTCCTCACTTTTATTTTATCACAATGGGGACCATAGAAGTTGAGCTGAGGTACTTCTGAAAATGAAAAAGGGATGTTATCGGTTATTACAGCCATAAACCCAGACTTGTAGATATATAGTGGGTTTTACTGTTGCTCTGACTATAATCAATATAAGTTGTAAAGAATAGGAAGCTGCAACATATGAAATGAATATGGCACTTTTTGTTTGAATGTCTATATATCAGATTACATTAACAGCAAGCAATTATTTCCTCCTTTAAGGGATTATATGCTTATGGTTTGCATTTTATCTATATCTCTATATTTAAAAGTGATAAAGAACTTAGCACCCAGAAAAGACCAAGAAAATGACAAAGGAGTTGGAAGTATGGTTTCTTTTTTTTGTCTTTGTGTAGGGGTTTTTATTTGTATTTTATTTTTATTTTTGAGACAGAGTCTTGCTCTGTCACCCAGGCTACAGTGGAGTGGCATGATCTCGGCTCACTGCAACCTCTGTCTCCCAGGCTTAAGAGATCCTCTGATTTCAGCCTCCTGAATAGCTGGGATTACAGCCATATGCCACCACGCCTGGCTAATTTTTGTTTTCTTTGTAGTAGAGATGGGGTTTCACCATGTTGGCCAGACTGGTCTCGAACTCCTGGTCTCAAGTGATCCATCTGCCTGGGCTTCCCAAAGTGTTGGGATTAGAGGCGTGAGCTTCCATGCCTGGCTTTTTATTTTTTTTTATTTTTATTTTTTTTTGAGAGATGAAGTCTTTCTCTGTTTCCTAAACTGGAGTGTAGTGAGTGGCATGATCATCATTGACTACGGCCTTGAACTCATGGCCTCAAGTGGTCCTCCTGCCTCAGCCTCCCAAGTCACTGGGATTGTAGGCATGAGCCACCACACCTGGCGAAAATACGGTCTGTTAAAATAATTTAAGGAATTCTTTCTCCCGCTGAGATAAAGAGGGGTATTTTAAAAATAGCTTTAAAACCTGTAAAACATGGACACTGACCCCTTATTTCCATCCACAGAAAGAAAGACTGAGAGTAAATGGGCTTAAATTGTTGCAAGAGAGTTTATTCATCTTTGAAGAGAAGATTATTGATACTGCAGTAGGCCACCAAGAACAAGAGGGTGCTCTGTGGGACCAGCCTGGGTGGGCAGCAGCCTGTTTTATTCATCTTTGAAGAAAAGATTATTGATACTGCAGTAGGCCACCAAGAACAAGAGGGTGCTCTGTGGGACCAGCCTGGGTGGGCAGAAGGGTAGAAGGAAAAGGGGAGGAGTCTCCCAGGTGCTCACACCACATCCTCCTCCCGTGTCCCAGATATCCGTGATCAACGGGACCAGCCCCTTTGCCTATGACTACGACCTCACCCATATTGTTGCTGCCTACCAGGAGAGGAACGGTGAGTCACAGGTAGAGCCCATTCAGCCGCTGCTCAGGACTTTCAAGGTTAGTGGGGGCAACAGAGACAAGCAGAACTGGAACCCTTGTGATGAAAATGTCAAAACCCGTGAATGCTCAACGATGGGAGCAAATATGCTGTCCAGGATTTGTCTTTTTCGTCCTGATCTTCAGACCTGGGACCGCCCCCACCCCTCCAGCATCCCATGGTCCAGCAGGCTAGTGATGGTTAAATGCCATCATTATCCCACCACTGGCTTAGTGGGTTTCTCTTTTAAAAAATATAAGCCTAATTGAGTTGTTCCCCATACCACACCTATCCACACCTATAACAGATGCCAAAGACAAATTGCTGTTCATGCTTTTCAGAGAAAAACAGAGAACGTGGGTGACTCTCCCCACATTAGCAGTCCAGCAGGAGAACAGGAGTGCCCCTGTTTCCTGCCAGAAGGCACAGTGTGCTTATTCCTTACAGAGCTCTAGGCCATGGCATGTGTGGACTCGGCACGTTTGTCTGGTCGGTGGCTGAGGTTTTCTCTAAAAGCATCTACAGTGTTACTTGGCAAGCAGACATCATGGAGACTATACACAGACGTCTCACAAGGGGGATGACTGCAAATCCAGTATTGCTTACTGATTTTATGGCATATACTAGTGGCATTATTGCAATAATAGAGGGAATTTTAAAACAAAAGTAGAAAACATTGCCCTACAAATCAACTATTTTTTCATTCCTTTCATTCTTTAGCCTTCTGCAGATCTTTTTATACAGCCATTGTAGTGTAGAAACACATTGGGATCCAAGTTACTTTTATTTATTTAAACTTGGAATATAAATACTTCCCCACACAGCTACAAAGCTGTGATACTACTTTTAGTGGCAGTATAGTATTCCTTCAGTTAGCCATTCAGCACATGTAGAAGAAACTCTTTCCAAGTTTTTTATGTATTTTAACAAAAGTATTTTGACTATTATTTTAACAAATAATGTGTGATCAGCTTTGCACATGCAATTTCTCTTTCCTTCCGAATGATTTCTTTCAGTTCTGAAGCACAGGATAATTTCCAGGTATCAAATAATCTTTATAGCCTTCAACTGCCAGAGTCAAACAGCCATCGTGGTTAATGGTTAATGATTGCATTGCAGTTACCACCGTCCTGAATGATCCCAACCCCATCTGGCTGGTGGGCAGGGCCGCAGATGCTCCATTTGTGATTAATGCTATCATCCGATACCCTGTGGAAGTCATTTCATATCCTTTCTGTTAAAGAGTCCATGTTAAGGCTGGATGTGGTGGCTCCTGCCTATAATTTCAGCACTTTGGGAGGCCAAGGTGGGAGGATCATTTGAACCCAGGAGTTCACAACCAGCCTGGCCAAGATAGTGAGTCCCTGTCTCTACCAAAAAAAAAAAAAAAAAAATTAGCCAGGCATAGTGGCGTACATGTGTAGTCCCAGTTACTTGGGATGCCGAGGCAGGAGGATTGCTTGAGTCCAGGAATTCAAGCTTGCAGTGAGCGATGATTGTGCCACTGTACTCCAGCCTCGGTGACAGAGTGAGACCCTGCCTCTTAAAGCAAACAACAATTTAAAAAAAATCAATGGTAGCTCAGTTTTCAAAGAGGAATGATTCCTTAGTTGTCTCAAGTAGTAACAGACGTGGGAGGTTTTCTCTTGGAAATCATGACAGGGTTATAGCCTCATAAAAATGGCTGCGTCTTTGACATCTTAGGCTACATGTCTCAGAAAATGACTGTATGTCTGCTATTCATATAGGAACAAATAATTCATGTCTTGGTCCTATTTGTTTCCAAGCAATTCTTCTAGGTAAGAATCATCCATATTTATGTCTTAATAATCATATGATATCCCTTTTATGCTAAGGTTATGTGAAACATTCTTGCCAGTCCCTGTCTGACCTAAACTTTGGTTTAATTTTGACTTAGGTCGACTAATGGAAAATGAAACCAACACCAACACTGCAGAGAAGCAAACAAAAGAGAAGGCATTTTAACTGGGGTCTTAGGAATTACAATTCCAGAGACACAAACCTAGGAAGCAGCTAAATTGTGTTCCGTACAGGTGCAATTAGGCAGGGGCTAAGGGTGTTCCAAGTTTACACAACTGGAAGATTTTAGAAGATGGATGGATGGCTGGTTAACAGCTCAGGATATCTCTAGTCCATGATCAATCTAGTTTGGCATAGTTGTCTGTTTAGGAGGTTGGTCATCAGGCTTGGTATATAAATAGCTCAAATCAAATGTGGCTGGTTTTACCATTTGGCCAAGTTCAGGTCAGCTTCCATCTGGGTGTGTACATGACAGAGGTCCTGCCTCCTTTCGAGATACCTCTGCCACAGCCAATTCCATCTTGGATTTTCTCTTCATACTTAACACCATGTGGCCCTTCACTCCTTAACTGTCCATACTTATCAGCCAGGATTCTGGGAGATGGTAAAGTTCGCCTGGGTGCAGTATGTCAGCATCCTGCTTATCTTCCTCTGGGTGTTTGAAAGAATCAAGATCTTCGTGTTTCAGAATCAGGTGGTGACCACCATTCCTGTGACAGTGACGCCCCGGGGAGACTTGTGTAAGGAGCACTTATCCTAGAAAGGCCATTTCTGAAGACTCAGCAGGACCGTGGCTGCCTCATTGTCATCTTCTGGGAACATCTTAGGACCTTTTGAAAGAGCCCAGCGGACACCTGCGGGCTTGTGTGCTTTTCCCTCAGAGACAACGGTTCTTTCCGGTTTTGCTCTACACAGTTCCGTATCTTCAGAGCTCCTGCAGAATTGTCAGGGACTAGTTTGTGGAAAGGTCTGAGAGTTCCTGGAGGCTATAATTAGCTTTTTGGGTTTTCCTTCTTTGCCTTAGCGTTGAATTTCAGGAGAAAATTGCAGTCAGTTCAGACATCTTGGAAAGAGTCCCATCTCTGGTCAAGCAGAGACTTTTCCTCTGTTGAACTGAGGAACACACTGTGCATTTCTACCTTCTGTTGTGAGCCACTCTTACTCTTTTCAGGGCTCTCTTGTGACAAACATGCCAATCACTAGCACTTTGCACCCCTGGGCTTCTCCATTTCCCATTCACAGCTTTGATTTCCAGAGCTGAGGCCTTTAACTGGAGACCTGGAGGGGCAGGGCCCAAGGGCAAGGGCCGCATTAGCACAGGCAATCAGGGAGGGCCGCTGAAGGACACTTGGACCGTCCACCTGCCCCAGCCCAACAGTCAGTCATCTGTCATCAGCTCAGCTGAGCAGCCCTGGATCTTTGCCGTACTGTGACTGGGCTCTTTGCCCTATTTTTCCCTCTGTCTGTGCCCCTGGATGGCAGGCTGAAGTCAGAGGGGCTGTTTCATTCTCAGCCCCCTCAGCAGCACTGGGGGAAGAAAGCATTGTCACAACAGGTTCTTTCTGGCCCTCACCCAACAGCCTGGGCACTTGGCCCTCCTCCTCCTTGACAGCCCTCCCCCTTCCTGCAAAGGACAGGGGCGACAGGGGTTGGTGTTGGGATTGGCTCCCGCTGCCTGACAACCACAAGTTTATTTGGAAGGCTAGCGGGAAGCCCAGCGGCTGGCGTTTCCCTTGACTAAGGAACAGGGTGCCCATCAGAGTGGGGCGGGCAGCTTTGGGAAGGACACAAGAAGCAGTAAGAGTGTAAAGAGGATGCTGGCCTGGGCAGGCCAGTCCAGCCTGGCCACTAGCAGAATACCAAGCAGTCCAGTGGATTACCCTCGTGGCTAAGCAAGTGTCTGCAGGAGCAGAGATGGCTGGAAGGGGCCTCTGCACACGGAAGATGGCTTGTTCAGCCCATTCACCTCCTGAGGATGTGGGCAGTCTCCTCCAAGAACACATGGAGCTGCTTCCTGATCCCAAGCAGGTCATTGCCACTGGAAGGACATGGCCCCGGTGATCCATGCTTCATGCCCACCCAGAAACACACCCCTCAGTGTGTGCCTCAGTTTACTTTGGAGATCAGTTGTCGTTTTTAGTGCTCCTTTAGGCTTACTAAAACAGTTTTGGAAACAAAGCTATTTTGAAGTATTCAAGCAGAGGAATTCCCTAACACTGACCCCCTTGTCTTTTTTTAATATTCAGGCTGTTTTATATGCCTAAATTTTTTTCTTAAGATCTAAACGAAAAATAGTTTCTTGTTTAAATTCACATAAGGCAATGAGATATGGAAAGATGACAAGATACGTATAAACATTGGTTTGCATTTTATTAAATTATTCTAATGCAAATCTTGTATAAAGAACCCATGATGTTTTGTAACTTTCTAATTAAAATGTTCAAAATGAGGCCGAGCATGGTGGTTCATTCCTGTAATCTCAACACTTTGGGAGGCCAAGGTGGGAGGATCACTTGAGCCCAGGAGCTTGAGGCTGCAGTGTGCTATGATTGCACCACTGTACTGTAGCCTGGGTGACAGAGTGAGACCCTATCTGTTAAAATAAATAAATAAATAAATAAAAAAGTCAAAATGGAAGATCACATGTACCTTTTTCGAGGGAAAGGGTTTGGAATGGCAAAGAATAGGGAGGGCAGAGGTTGCACACACCTGTCTTTATTACTCATCTACAGCCATGCTTTACAAGGCTCTGCCTAACGACCTTGGAACTTCCATGAGGTCTTTGGTGAAAGTCCCCTAGTTCTTCCCCAGGTAGATGAGTTTTCAGTGGGATTCACATGCCATGTGAAATCTACGTGTTGGATAATTATGACTGTGTCTGGTGAATATGAAATTATTTACAGACCAGATGTTGATAGTTTCTGACTCTGAATCACAGCATAGCTGCAAGAGGTAAATAAAAAGCAAGAGGCCGGGAGCGGTGGCTCACGCCTGTAATCCCAGCACTTTGGGAGGCCGAGGTGGGTGAATCACAAGGTCAGGAGATCGAGACCATCCTGGCCAACATGGTGAAACCCCATCTCCACTAAAAATACAAAAATTGGCTGGGTGTGGCGACACGTGCCTGTCATCCCAACTATTTAGTAGGCTGAGGCAGGAGAATCGCTTGAACCCTGGAGGCGGAGGTTGCAGTGAGCCGAGATTGCGCCACTGCACTCCAGCCTGGCAACAGAGCTAGACTCCGTCTCAAAAAAAAAAAAAAAAAGAAATATAGAGGATTTTATTAACTCAGCTCCGACCCATAGCTAAGTTAAGGTTTGATGTTATTACTGAATATTTGGAGGCAGAAAGACTCCTGATTTTGCCAAATGATTAGTACAGTTTCGGCTTAAGTCAGATGAGGCCCCCCTAATATTCCATCATGTAAGGCTAATAAAGCAATTATTTCTTTTTTTTTTTTCCTTCCAACTTTTATTGTAGACTCATGGGGTATATGTATGGGTTTCGTATATAGCTAAATTGTACAACCTGGGGGTTTGGTGTACAGATTATTTCATCACCCACGTAATAAGCATAGTACCCAGTAGGTGGTTTTTCTTTTCTTTTTCTTTTTCTTTTTTTTTTTTTTTTTTGAGACAGAGTCTCACTCTGTTACCCAGGCTGGAGTGCAGCAGCATGATCTCAGCTCATTGCAGCCTCTACCTCCCAGGTTCAAGTGATTCTCCTGCCTTACCCTCCCGAGTAGCTGGGATTACGGGTGCCCACCACCATGCCCGGCTAATTTTTGTGTTTTTAGTAGAGACAGGGCTTCACCCTGGTGGTCAGGCTGGTCTCGAACTCCTGACCTCAAGTGATCCATCCGCTTTGGCCACCCAAAGTGCTGGGATCACAGCAGTTTGATCACAGAAGTTATTATGGTTGGCATTCTGGCACACATCTTTCTAATCTTTTTTGTTGTATGTAACCTTTTTAGTATCACAAACAACACTTTTATAAACCTTGTGTAGAAATCATTGTTGCTGGTTTATTTCCTTAAGATACATTCAGAAAACTTATGACCATTGTTAAGGATCTTAATTCATTGCCAAACCACAGCCAGGAAAGACTGCTAATTTCTACTCCCAGCAGCAGGGACTCCTCGTTTCAGATACCACCATGGATTAAAGGACCTCCCAATGCTCTATCCTTTTCAGATTACTGGACTCTGCCCGTTTGTTTCTTTGTTTTTGAGATGGAGTCTCGCTTTGTCACCCAGTCTGGAGTGCAATGGCCCCATCTCCGCTCACTGCAGCCTCCACCTCCGGGGTTCAAGCTATTCTCCTGTCTCAGCCTACCTAGTAGCTGGGATTACAGGCATGTGCTACCATGCGCGGCTAAATTTTGTATTTTCAGTAGAGATGGGGTTTTGCCACGTTGACCAGGCTGGTCTTGAACTCCTGACCTCAAGTGATCTGCCTGCCTTGCCTCCCAAAGTGCCGGGATTACAGTCATATGCCACCAGGCCAGGCTGAGCTGTTATTTGTAAGGGGTGGGTGGGGAGCTTTTATTTACTGAAACATATCCTGTATTCATTGGAACATGTTATCAAGCCTGCGCCTCTGGGCGGAGGCTAGGGCAGGGAGGGCACAGCTCCTAAGGCCACCTGGTCTTTCAACTCCTCCCAGCTGGGACACTGCACCGGGAGGCAGCACGGATTCCTGTGTCATCAAGGTGCCTGGGTCTTGGCTTAGGGCTGAGGTTGGGGCCTTGGGAAGGGTTTGGATTCCAAGTCCCTTGGCTGCAAGGATGCCCCCAAGAGCGAGGAGGGCCAAGATTAAGATTCGACTTCCTTCACTAGGGCCTTTGTCCTCCCAGGAGCTCCCAGGTTCTCTGGCGATTGGGGGGGTGAGGAAGGGTTACAACGTTCATTTGTGGTCAGTTAGATGAGAAGTGACTCTGCCAGCGTCCTTTGACATCCCCGGCTAAAAGGTGCGCCTCTTAGAGCCCCAGCCCACCTGGGCCCTCCTGCTCTGCCCTCGGCCAGCGCCCCTCCCCGAGACATGGCCCCTCGGTCGGGGGTGGGGAGAGGGAGCTGGGGGCAAAACCTGCTCCTTCCTTCCTTCTCCCATTTCCCTGGCTCCCGCCGGCCACCCTGGGACCGCAGCCACGTCTGAAAGCTCCTCACCAGGCAGCGCTGAAGATTGCGGGGCAGCGCCGAGGGTTGTTGGCCGGCGCGCGGGGAGTAGAGGGCGCGGGCCGCAGTGCCGGGCTCCGGAGGGAGCTCTGCGCCGGGTCCTTCCCTGTGGTAGCCCCAGGACACCCCCATCCTCAACATCCCATTCTGGGACTCCTGCCCTGTTCCCAGATTCGCTCTGCCTCGAGTCTCCAGGAGCTTCCAGTGGCTTGGTTACCCCCGACTCTTCGTCCATGCCTCTTAGAGCCCCTTTCCCAGCCTCACTGGGTGTCCCTTAATAGTCTTGGGACCTTAAGGAGCAAGTCAGCCCCTGCGGAACCTCCCAGTGAAGAGAAAGAGCTGGCTGTGCGGTGGAACTTGGAAGAGACGACGTCTGGGAGCTTTTGCTGAGCCCAGGGGGAGAGGCGTCCCTCTGGCTGCTGCTCCAGCTCTGGCAGACACGCCAAGCTTTGAGGTACTTTGGTTCTTCATTCTCCACCGGAGGTGTCCCCACACTCGGTTGGGCTGGGGGCCGGGCCAGTGGCCCAGCTGTGACGCTCCTCTGTCCTGCACCAGAGACCTGGGTTGGCGGGAAGAGCTGGGGGTGGCTTTTCCATCAGCAACGTGGAAAGTTCATCTCCCCTGCTAGCGCTGGTTTGGAAGTGTCTTGCTGGGGCTTCGGCTGCACGCGGGAATCCTCACTGCGCAGGGCAGGGGTCGGGGTGCGGGTTCTTATTCCATACTTGGGTCTCAAAGGGTGTGGCTTTCAAAAGCTCTCCATGAAATTCTTGAGAAAAAATAGCTTGGTGAGTTAATTTGCAACCAGACTCAGGGGAAGTGGAGTCGTGCCTCACTGCCTCTAGGGCCTTGATGTTAGGCTTTAGGAAAGGCCCTCTGGGCCCCAGGACAGTACAGGTGCCTAGGAAATGTTTTTTTGTTTGTTTGTTTGTTTGTTTGTTTCGAGACGGAGTCTCGCTCTGTCACCCAGGCTGAAGTGCAGTGGCCTGATCTTGGCTCACTGCAACCTGTCTCCTGGGCTCAGGTGATTTCCTGCCTCAGCCTCTGGAGTAGGTGGGATTACAGACGCCCGCCACCACACCCAGCTAATTTTTGTATTTTTACTAGAGACGGTGTTTCACCATGTTGGCCAGGCTGTCCAATTCCTGACCTCAGGTGATCCGCCCCGCTGAGGCTCCCAAAGTGCTGGGATCACAGGCGTGAGCCATGGCACTGGGCCCAAATTTTTGTTTTTGTTTTTGTTTTTTCAGATGGGGTCTCACTCTGTCACAGAGCCTGGAGTGCAATTGTGCCATCTCGGCTCACTGTAATCTCCACCTCCTGGGTTCAAGTGATTCTCCTGCCTCAGCCTCCCGAGTAGCTGGGATTATAGGCATGAGCCACTCTGCCCAGCTAATTTTAGCGATGGGGTTTCACCATGTTGGCCAGGCTGGTCTTGAACTCCTGACCTCAGGTGATCTACCCATCTTGGCCTCCCAAAACACTGGGATTACAGGCATGAGTCACCGCACCTGGCCTAATTTTTTTTTTTTTTTTTTTTTTTTTGATATGGAGTTTTGCTCCTGTTGCCCAGGCTAGAGTGCAATGGCACAATCTCGGCCACTGTAACCTGTGTCTCCTGGGTTCAAGCTACTCTCCTGCCTCAGCCTCCAAGTAGCTGAGATTACAGGCACCTGCCACCAGACCTGGCCTAATTTTTGTATTTTTAGTAGAGATAGGTTTTGCCTTGTTGGCCAGGCTGGTCTTGAACTCCTGGCGTCTGGTGACCACCCACCTAGGCCTCCCAAAGTGCTGGGATTACGGGCGTAAGCCACTGTGTCCAATGTCTAGCAAATGCAAATGTTGACTTCCTTTCTCTCTCCTTTTACACAGAGGCAAGGCAGTCAAGAATTGCATTTTGGCCAGGCGCTATGGCTCACGCCTGTAATCCCAACACTTTGGGAGGCCAAGTCTGCGATGCCCTCATCTCTACTTTTTTAATTTCGTGTGACCTGTTTGTATTATTTTTCTAAAAATTAAACATGTAATAAATATGTGCCCCCAGAAAAGAATCAAAAAACGGAAGAATTTAGAGGGGAAGGGGACAGTCCTTCCAGGATGGAAGAGTTCACTGGACAAAGGCTTAGGAGTGTGACCCACCACAGGGCCCTGCACTGGGAGTCTGGCTCTTGGACTTAAGCCCCTGCCCTGCCTCTTTCTTACTGGGTATTAATGTCTCTGAGCCCCACTGCTTCAATTAAAACAGATAGGGATGGTTATTTCTACCTCCAAGGGACTTGGGAGGATAACATTCAATCATGAAGATGAAAGTGCATATCACAGGGCCTGGCTGACTGGTTCTCCCTAACTTTGCACCCTTGGCCAATTGTCCACTGTGCTGAATGTAAGTCTCCTTATCAGAAAGCTCCCAGTGAGGAACTGGTCTTCTGGAGACTCTGTGTGGCATAGAGTGATTCAACCACCTTAAGAAGACCTCTGGCTTTCCTGGAACACAGGTAACAAACACCTTAGCTTGGGATCAAGATCCTCCCTACCCAGGGAAGGGCTGGGCTGGCCAGGACAACTGTGTTTGGGCCAGAGCAGCAGGGTCCTGCACTCTGCAGGGGGCAATCACAGGTGGGAGAGGCCCACAGCCTGGGATCAGAAGTGCCAGGAGCTTCGGAACAGGAGTCCTGGAGTCCCAGCTTTCTTGCTGTCTCTCTAAGCCTTGAGTCTTTCACCTGAAAAATTGACATCATCATGCCCACCTCAGGGCCCAGAGTTAAGTTATCCAGTGGACTCGAAGCACCTAGCACTTGTGATCATTGAAGTCAGCAAATATGAGTTCCCTTCCTTTCTGGCACTCTGTTGGCAAGGGAGCTCACCATCCATCAGCCAGCACTGGAAAAAGTACAGTTGCACTTGTAGCGGAGGTGGGGGGCTACTCTCCTCATCTTCCAGGTTTTCCAGGAGTGGGTGTGGGGATCCAGAAGGCAGCTCGGGAGTCAGCAGGTGACAGAGGTGTTGGGCATCCTCCGCTCACTCCTGTCCCCGCATTGAGGCGAAGGAGCAGAGGTGAGATCTGCTCACAAGTTAGACCCTGGCTTCTCTCAGTGGGCAGTGTGGACAGGGGAAGGGGGCAGGCAAGGAGCAAAGGATGCAGGAGCAAGGAGAAAACTTCCAGGCTCCTCCCTTCCAAAGTCACCCAGCCTTGAGATCATTGCAGATGCAACAGGTGCAAACAGAAGAACACTTTAGGACCTTGGAATGCGGGAGGCTGGCTCAGTGTTCCTTCCACCCTGTGAGAAATGCGTGACATTCTTAAGGTCCACTAAAGGCTCAGGGTGGTTGGACGCCAGAGGATGGCCTGGGAGATACAGGGATTGGAAGGGTAGGTGGCCTGTGGGTGTCTCCTCTGTGGGGAGACTCACCAGGTGGAGGGGGTTCTTTCTCTCCAGATGTAGCTCAGCACAGGGACAGTAACAGTAACAGGGGCATGTGTGTAAGGAATGCTTCCCCAGGCCCTCCCCTCATAGGTGTTTGCAGCAGCATCCATCACAACAGCTCTAAGAGGTTAAATATTGCAAATCCCATTCTACAGAGGTGCAAATTGAGCCTCAGAGAAGTTAAGTCACTTGCCCCAGGTCTCATAGCTCCCCATTGGCAGTGCTGGGATTTGGAGCCAGCTCTCTCGCTTCCATCCATCAGGAGACCCCGCCAGTTCCCAGCCATTTGGAGAAATGCCCTACTCAGACTTATTCAACCTCAGCAAGCCTGGTGGTGGTGTGACATCCGCCTAAACCGTCATCAAGCCCTTTAGCTCCACAACCCAAAAGGGTCTCTCTACGAGTTATCCTGAAGCAAAAGGCAGGCAGGACAGCTCTGTTCCCACCCTGGGGAGCTTTCTATGTACAGGGCTGTCTCTCTGTAGGGCTCTGATCTCCTCTCCTTCCTGCTTTGCCAGATGTCGAGACATCTCCCATGGATTTGTGATCAGCGTTGCAGCTCTCCCAGCAGCCCTGGACGGTGGTGAGTCCCCTCAGCTGGCCAGGACAGTACTCTGCTCTCACCTCTCTGCTTCTTGGGCTCCATCCCAGCTCCCCATCAACTGATCTTCTTGCAAACCCACAGGGCTCCAGGACACCCTCCTTCTGGAGCCCATGCTGCCTACAGCACTTCACTCCCCACCAGTGATGACAACAGTTGCTGTTCTTTGTCCACTTTATTTACTTGTTTATCTTTAATGACAAAAGTTTTTTTTTTGTTGTTTTTTTTTTTTTTTTTGAAACGGAGTCTCACTCTTCACTCAGGCTGCAGTGCAGTGGCGCAATCTCAGCTCACTGCCACCTCTGCCTCCCAGGTTCACGCCATTCTCCTGCCTCAGCCTCCCGAGTAGCTGGGACTACAGGCGCCCACCATCACGCCTGGCTAATTTTTTGTATTTTTAGTAGAGATGGGGTCTCACTGTGTTAGCCAGGATGGTCTCGATCTCCTGACCTCGTGATCCGCCCGCCTCGGCCTCCCATAATGCTGGGATTACAGGCGTGAGCCACCGCGCCTGGCTGACAAAAGTTTTATACCTGCCTGTTAAAAAAATTATATAATACAGAAGCACACCTTGTAAAAGGTGCAATCCTCAGTTATGGGCATGACTGCGTGTTCCCTTCCCCCATCTTCATTATAATAACCCCCCAATCCCCCCAGATCCTGTGAGCCAGGTACCGGAATTATCCCTCTTTCACACACGGGTAAAGTGATCCGTCACAGAGAGATTTAAGTGATCTTCATAAGCAAGATCATAGGCTAGGAAGTGGCAGAGCCAGGATTCAACCTCGGCGAGCCTGGTGGTGCTCTGACATCCACCGAAGCCCCCATCAAGCCCTTTTAGCTCCACAACCTAAAAGGGTCTCTCTAAGAGGTATCCTGAAGCAAAAGACAGGAGTTCTCTTTGAAACATAGTATTTCTCTCTACAGATAGATAGCCTGTAGGTATGTAAGTAGGTGGGTGGGTGGGTAGGTAGACAGTTTGATGATATCCCACATTATTCTGCAACTGGACTTCTGCTGTGAGCACAGACTATATTCTGGCCTATGTCTTGACTCCGTATTCCTGGGAAAGTGCTCGACTGAGACCTTGGGAGTCTTGGGAAGTCCAATGGGTAGGGTAGCCGAATCTGAGGGCTGATCCCTGAGGGCACTGGGCAGTAATTGGGGCATGGGATGGGCATGAGGGCCCGGGTCCCTAAAGTTGCCCACTCCACCCGAAGGCCCCCAGCCGCCCGCATGTGGCTGCCACGGTTCTCCAGCAAGACAGTGACAGTGCTCCTCCTGGCACAGACCACCTGCCTCCTGCTCTTCATCATCTCCCGGCCAGGGCCCTCATCCCCAGCCGGCGGCGAGGATCGTGTGCACGTGCTGGTGCTGTCCTCGTGGCGCTCGGGCTCATCCTTCTTGGGCCAGCTCTTCAGCCAGCACCCCGACGTCTTCTACCTGATGGAGCCCGCGTGGCATGTGTGGACCACCCTGTCGCAGGGCAGCGCGGCAACGCTGCACATGGCCGTGCGCGACCTGATGCGCTCTATCTTTTTGTGCGACATGGACGTGTTTGATGCCTACATGCCACAGAGCCGAAACCTGTCCGCCTTTTTCAACTGGGCAACGAGCCGCGCGCTGTGCTCGCCGCCCGCCTGCAGCGCCTTTCCCCGAGGCACCATCAGCAAGCAGGACGTATGCAAGACACTGTGCACGCGGCAGCCATTCAGCCTGGCCCGGGAGGCCTGCCGCTCCTACAGCCACGTGGTGCTCAAGGAGGTGCGCTTCTTCAACCTGCAGGTGCTCTACCCGCTGCTCAGCGACCCCGCGCTCAACCTGCGCATCGTGCACCTGGTGCGCGACCCGCGGGCCGTGCTGCGCTCCCGGGAGGCGGCGGGCCCGATACTGGCACGCGACAACGGCATCGTGCTGGGCACCAACGGCAAGTGGGTGGAGGCCGACCCTCACCTGCGCCTGATTCGCGAGGTGTGCCGCAGCCACGTGCGCATCGCCGAGGCCGCCACACTCAAGCCGCCACCCTTCCTGCGCGGCCGCTACCGCCTGGTGCGCTTCGAGGACCTGGCGCGGGAGCCGCTGGCAGAGATCCGCGCACTCTACGCCTTCACCGGCCTGACCCTCACGCCACAGCTCGAGGCCTGGATCCACAACATCACCCACGGGTCGGGGATCGGCAAGCCAATCGAGGCCTTCCATACTTCGTCTAGGAATGCGCGCAACGTCTCCCAGGCCTGGCGCCACGCGTTGCCCTTCACTAAGATCCTGCGCGTGCAGGAGGTGTGCGCCGGCGCGCTGCAGCTGCTGGGCTACCGGCCTGTGTACTCTGCGGACCAGCAGCGTGACCTCACCCTGGATCTGGTGCTGCCACGAGGCCCAGACCACTTCAGCTGGGCATCGCCTGACTGAGAACTCTGGGCCTTAGAGCAGGCCCCGAACTGTGGTCGCCAGGCCCAGGAGGCGACTGCATGGTGGAGAGGGAGCTGGGGCGCATGGGGAAGCAGGTCCCTACTATCAACCGGGAGTTTGGGGTCCTCCCCTGAAGTAGGCAAGGACTGCACGTTTCTTTCTCTCCTGATTCTCGGTTTTCCTTTGAGTCTTCTGGAGCTGCCTTCTCATCAGGTGCACTCTTCATGGAAAGCAACTCTTGCCCCTACCTCTTCTGGGCGCAGGGAGTAAGTTACTGCTAAATTAAATTAAATGTGTGCCAGGCCGGGTGCGGTGGCTCATGCCTGTAATCCCAGCATTTTGAGAGGCTGAGGCGGGTGGATCACCTGAGGTCAGGAGTTCGAAACCAGCCTGGCCAACATAGTGAAACCCCCTCTCTACTAAAAATGCAAAAATTAGTCCGGCGTGGTGGCACACTCCTGTAATCCCAGCTACTTAGGAGGCTGAGGTGGGAGAATCACTTGGACTCCAGAGGTGGAGGTTGCAGTAAGCTGAGATCATGCCACTGCACCCTAGCTTGGGTGGCAGAGCAAGACTCTATCAAAAAAATAAGTAATAAATTTGTTCAAAAGTCCTGCAATCTAGTGAACTGTAACCTCATTTTTTCTCTCTTTTTTCTTTAATTGCATGATTCCATTTATTTAAAGCAGAAAAACTAGTCTATGGTGATAGAGGTCAGAATAGGGGATACTTTGTAGGGAGGATTTGACTGGGATGTAACCTTATTTATTATGTAAACAAACTACAACTTGACCAGGCAGTATATTCTTGTAAGAAGAAAGGAGTCTTCTCCAATCATAGCAGCCAGCCTTCAGCCAGGGGCAGACTGCAGACTGACCAGATGTGTCCAAATTAGACAAAGGTTGAGCTGTAACCAATCAGCCTATATCCAATGCCACTTCCTTTTTCTGTTTATAAACGCTGCTTGCCCACTGTTGCTGGGTGGAGGTCTCTGAAACCTCTCTAATGTAGATCTCTCATTTAATGGGGAGGGTTTGGCCTTTAATCACCATCATCCCTGAACAAAGACTGACCAATTGGACTCAAATGCTATTGAACTATCTTTATTGCATGGACTTTGAGTTATTTGATTTTGACTAGTTGTTTGTTGAAACTCCTGATAAGGAGTGTACTTCAGTTTCTTGGCATTGTCCACTCATAGCCATCATAATAGTCTCCCTGGTCGGGCACAGTGACTCACGCCTGTAATCCCAGCACTTTAGGAGGCCAAGGCAGGCAGATCGCTTGAGCTCAGAAGTTCGAGACCAGCCTGGCCAACATAGTGAAACCCTGTCTCTGTTAAAGATACAAAAAATAGCCAGTGTGGTTGTGCATGCCTGTAATCCCAGCTACTCAGGAGGTTGAGGCAGGAGAATCTCTTGAATCCAGGAGGTGGAGGTTGCAGTGAGCCAAGATTGCACCACTGCACTCCAGCCAGGGTGACAGAGCAAGACTCCATCTTAAATAACAATAATAGGCCAGGCACAGTGGCTCAAGCCTGTAATCCCGGCACTTTGGAAGGCCAAGGCGGGTGGATCACTTGAGGTCAGGAGTTCAAGACCAGTCTAGCCAACATGGTGAAACCCTGTCTCTACTAAAATACAAAAATTAGCCAGTGTGGTTGTGCATGCCTGTAATCCCAGCCACTCAAGAGGTTGAGGCAGGAGAATCGCTTGAACCTGGGAGGTGGAGGTTGCAGTGAGCCAAGATTGCGCCACTGTACTCCAGCCTGGGTAACAGAGCGAGACTCCCTCTCAAAAATAATAATAATAATAAAATAATAATAATAATAGTCTCTCTGATGTGTTGACTCCCCTGGGAAGTCTTACATACTCCTATGCAGCCATTCTTTATAAATCAACTGGTCTGTTAGGGTTAGAGTAACAAAAACATGAAGAAAGCATAAAGAATCATTCAACTAAGGTGAAATTGTGAAGTCAATACTGAAACAAAACAAGTCCATTATGATGGTGACAGGAAATGGAGTCAGGGCCCAAGGTTTTGGTCAATCTCTCAAAATTGAGAGGCTGACCAAAAGGCAGAAATGTTTAAATTCAATTAAATTTGGCCCAAAGTTCCCAGCACTTTGGGAGGCCAAGGTGGGCGGATCATGAGGTCAGGAGATCGAGACCATCTTGGCCAACATGGTGAAACCCCATCTCTACTAAAATACAAAAAATTAGCCGGGCATGGTGGCACATGCCTATAATCCCAGCTACTCGGGAGGCTGAGGCAGAGGAATCACTAGAACCCAGGAGGCAGAGGTTGCAGTGAGCTGAGATCGTGCACTGCACTCCAGCCTGGTGACAGAGCAAGACTCCGTCTCCAAAAAAAAAAAAAGAGAATTTGGCCCAAAGCTGCTGCCATACCTGTTGAACTGCAACCTAACTTAATATTTAAGTAAACTGCCTCCCAACTGAGACTATATTCTTGTAACAAATAGTTGAATCTCAGCAAGTCACAGCAGCTGTGCTTTAACCAGTCACAGGCTGCCAACTGATCAGACCAAGTCCATATAAGGCAAATGCTGAGCTGTACCCCATCAGACTGTTTCTCTGTGTTACTTCCAAAAAATTCGGCCTGCCAGTGTTTCTGGGTGGAGCACTTTGAACCTTTACTGGTTCAGGGTGCTGCCCGATTCATAAATTTTCTTTGCTCAAATAAAGTCTGCTTAATTTGTCTAATGTTTTTCTATTAACAGTTCAGATGACTTGGCCTCTACCCAAACTCTTTCTTTCCCCTAGACTCTCCTCTCTTGGAATGCATCCTGAAGCAGCTGAAAAGGGGTGCCCCGGGCCCAGCAGGGAGCAAAATCTGGTGATATTGCTTCTGAACATCCCACATGTGCCACACACGTGCACCCCCCCACACACACACATGCACACTCACATGCACACTCACATGCACACTCACATGCACACTCACATGCACACTCACATGCACACTCACATGCACACACAGCCTGGACTCTGTTCCCCTTATGCCCCTGGCACCACACTCCATCAAAGCCATTGACCTTTATATCCCCCTGTGTCTTCAGTAAGAGGTATATCAGGCCAGACATGGTGGCTCATCCCTGTAATTATCAATTACCCGGTCTCTGGTATTCTGTTACAGCAGCACAAAAGGGACTAAAATAGGCTCCTTAACAAAAAGATTCACAGACAAGAAGTTTGTTTGTTTGTTTGTTTGTTTTGAAATAGTGTCTTGCTTTGTGGCCCAGGCTGGAGTGCAGTGGTTCCATCTTGGCTCACTGCAACCCCCACATCACTGACTCAAGAGATTCGCCCATCTTAACCTCCCAAGTAGCTGGGACTACAGGCACATCACTATGCCAGGCTAATTTTTGTATTTTGGGGGGCTACATGTGTTTCAGTATGTAGCCCACGCTGATCTGTAACTCCTGTGCTCAGCCTTCCGAAGTGCTGGGATTACAGGTGTGAGCCACTGTGCCTGCCCAAGAACAGTTCATTAATACATGCAGCATATATCACACAGGACAAACCTAAATGAAAAGTAACAACACAGTGGCTCAGAACACTGCCTTACACAGCAGATTCCAAAAGACACAATAAATTTGTAGAGAAATAACAGGAAAAAGAAAGTTTTAGGCCTCCAAAGGTGAGAAACTGTGCATAGGTAAATATCTGAGAGGAAGCCGATGCAGCAGGATTTCTCTGCGGTGCCTCTGGTACCGCCGCTGGCTGGGCAAAGTTAAGGGTTGTCTCCAGTGAAGGAGAGTTTATATTGTGCCTTTAGGCAGAAAGGGGAGGGAAACCTGAACTTTTCCTGTATTTTCTGCTTCTTAATTGCCTTAAGCTGAAAATCATTTTTATGTGAAAGAGGCATAATCTGGGATGACGCCTCTGCTTTCCTCCACCTGAAGAGAACCTGTGTGCTGCTCCTTTGCTTTGGACCTCTACCTCTGCCACGGAGAAAGCCCAGGCCAACCTGCTGGACAAGCAGGGACCGTGAGAAGGAGAGTTCAGGTGTCCCAATCCAGGCCATCCTAGACCAGCCAGCCCCTCACGAGCCCCAGCTGATCAGCACGCAGCCACTTCTGCTATCTTCTACTGGCCAAAGTGAGTCCAGGGTTCACCCAGATTCAGAGGTGGGGAAACTGAGTCCACCACTTGAGAGGAGTAGCTATAAAGACATACGAGCGAGACCAGCTGAGCCCAGCACTGCTGGCCAAGTTGAAGACTTTAGGACCAGCCACACATGTTCCGTGGCCACACGTGGCCAGTGGCTCCATATTGGACAATGCCAATCAGACTCCTCATTCTCATTACATTTGTATACCCTTCTGGCCCTGAGATCTTTCTATATCCGCATCTGACTAAGATGCTCTACTAGAGAACAGCATCTACTTCATATTTCCATCCTTTGGAAACCCAAAGAGCCAGCAGAAGTTTTGACTTTGCAATTGATCCTACACGTTCAAATTTCTAGCATCTATCAGACCGTGTAAGATGGAAGAGAGACTTACAAGGGCTCCCATTACCTAGCCCAGGGTATGTGCTCAGGGCTCTTGGCACTTCTCCTCTTGGTTACACATGGTTCAGATAATGTTGGCCACTTCTTAACATTAGTTTCTCATGGCTTGATTCCTAGGAAGCATTATTCCTCCCATTTTAAGAGGGCAGCCAGTTGAGTGATTCAATGAGTCAGGCCCAGTACCAGGCCCCAGGGACACAGTAAGAGACAGAGTACACATAGCCCTTGCTCTTGTCTGGGGTGCAGACACTAAACAAATAATCAAACAGATTAAACATGCAATTATAGGTTTTAATTATGCCCTAAGAAAAAACAAAGCCGGGGGCAGTGACACAACTGTAATCCCAGCACTTCGGGAGGCTGGGACAGGAGGATTGCTTGAGGACATGAGTTCAAGACCAGCCAGGCAAATGAATCTTGTGGGATAGCACTGTCAGGCTGGGCTCTGAGCCTGCATCAAAGCAGACCCTGTGTCTACAAAACATTTTTAAAAGTTGGTCAAGCATGGTGGTACACGGCTGTAGTCCTAGCTACTTGGGAGGCTGAGGCGGGGGTGTTGCTTGAGCCTAGAAGTTCGAGGCTGCAGTGAGCTACAGTGAGCTGTGATTCATCCCACTACACTCCAACCTGTGCGACACAGCAAGACATCATCTCTAATTTAAAAAAAAAAAAAAAAAAAAAGAAGGAAAGAAAGAAAAAAGGATGATACAAAATAAGCCGAGCGTGGTGGCACATGCCTGTAATCCCAGCTACTCGGGAGGCTGAGGCAGGAGAATCGCTTGAACCTGGGAGGCGGAGGTTGCCATGAGCTGAGATCGCGCCACTGCACTCTAGCCTGGGCAAGAAGAGCGACACTCCATCTCGAAAAAAAAAAAAAAAAAAAGAGGCAGGTGCAGTGGCTCACTCCTGTAATCCCAGGACTTTGGTAGGCCATGGCAGGTGGATCACTTGAGGCCAGGAGTTTGAAACCAACCTGGCTAACATGGCAAAACCTCAGCTCTACTAAAAATAAAAAAAAATTAACCAGGCGTGGTGGTGCGCATCTGTAATCCCAGCTACTTGGGAGACTGAGGCAGGAGAATCACATGAACCTGGGAGGTGGAGGTTGCAGTGAGCCGAGATCATGACATTGCACTCTAGCATGGGTGACAGAGGGAGACTGCATCTCAAAAAAAAAAAAAAAAAAATGAAGAAGCGGCTGGGCACGGTGGCTCACACCTGTAATCCCAGCACTTTGGGAAGCCAAGGCGGGTGGATCACGAGGTCAGGAGTTCCAGACCAGCCTGGCCAACATGGTGAAACCCCCATCTCTACTAAAAATACAAAAATTAGCTGGGCGTGGTGGCAGACGCCTGTAATCCCAGCTACTTGGGAGGCTGAGGCAGGAGAATCACATGAACCTGGGAGGCAGAGGTTGCAGTGAGTCTAGATGGTGTCATTGCACTCCAGCCTGGGCAATAGAGTGAGACTCTGTCTCAAAAAAAAAAAAGAAGCAAATATGAAGACTATGTAGTCTTGAAGAGGACACAATCTTTTGAACAAGACACAAAATCCACAAACTGTGAAGAAAGAATTCACTTTCAAAATATAATAAATAGGACAAAACTTTTTGGAATTTGCTTGTGGTGACGTGGTGATCTGATCTCACAGGTCTATACATCTAATTTTATACCTTACATATAAATATTTTATATAAATTATGTCTCAATACTTTTTTTTACAGAAGCATTGGGGGAAAATACCATAAAGTAGGTTAAAAAACAGATGACAAGCTAGCAGAAACCATTTGCCATAAAAATAAGAGCAAAACCAAGAGGAAGCGGAAAGTCAACAGAAAAATGAGCAAAGCCCTTTAACAAAGAAAAAAGAAGGCCAGGCCGGGCGCAGTGGCTCACGCCTGTAATCCCAGCACTTTGGGAGGCTGAGGTGGGTGGATCACCTGAGGTCAGGAGTTTGAGACCAGCCTGGCCAACATGGCAAAAACCCGTCTCTACTAAAAATACAAAAATTAGCCGGGTGTAGTGGCACACGCCTGTAGCCCCAGCTACTTCAGAAGCTGAGGCAGGAGAATTGCTTGAACCCGGGAGGCAGAGGTTGCAATGAGCCGATATTGCTCCACTGCACTCCAGCCTGGGTGATAGAGCAAGACTCCGTCTCAAAAAATAATAATAATAATAATGATAATAAAAAGGAGAAAAAGGAAGGCTGTTGATTAATAAGCATGAAAAGATGCTTAGCTGCCCAGGGAATTAAAGAAACGTAGGTTAAAACAACATCAAGTAACATTTTTAACCCATCAGCTATGCAAAAGTGAAAATGATAGATTTAGCCATGTATAGGTGGTGGTAGCACCCACCACCACGCCTGGCTAATTTTTATATTTTTAGTAGAGACAGGGTTTCACCACGTTGGTCAGGCTGGTCTCAAACTCCTAACCTCAGGTGATCCACCCGCCTTGGCCTCCCAAAGTGCTGGGATTACAGGCATGAAGCACTGCGCCCGGCCTTTTTAATTTTTTTTGGACAGTCTTGCTCTGTTGCCCAGGCTGGAGTGCAACGGCACAATTTCGGCTCACTGCAACCTCCACCTCCCTGGTTCAAACGATTCTCCTGACTCAGCCTCCCAAGCAGCTGGGATTACAGGCACCCACCACCATGTCCAGGTAATTTTTATGTTTTTATTTTATTTATTTATTTTTAATTTTATTTTTTGAGACAGAGTTTCGCTCTTGTTGCCTAGGCTGGAGTGCAATGGTACGATCTTGGCTCATACAACCTCTGCCTCCCAGGTTCAAGCGATTTTACTGCCTCAGCCTCTTGAGTAGCTGGGATTACAGACATTCGCCACCATGCCCAGCTAATTTTGTATTTTTAGTAGAGAAGGGGTTTCTCCACGTTGGTTAGGTTGGTCTTGAAGTCCCAACCTCAGGTGATCCGCCCGCCTCAGCCTCCCAAAGTGCTGGGATTACAGGTGTGAGCCACTGTGCCCAGCTCCAGGGCTGGTTATCTTTGTATTTTCAGGTAGCCAGTTCTCCCCACGCCCTCTACTGAAAGATCTCATGCATCACATTTTCTCCCTTTGGGGTAAGACCAGAGAACCTGGCCTGTCCTGCAAGTCTTGTGTTATTCTGATCCCAGTCTTCATGAACTCCACTCATTCATTCAACACACATTATGGGTTGAGCACCAACCAGGCATCGGGCTTTTGGAGGAGCTGGAGATAGAGCAGGACCAAGATAGACAAAAAGCAAAAACCCCTGCCCTGTAGGAACTTGCATTCTGATGGTGGGACACAGCCAGTGAATGAGAAGTTTGATAAATGGCTAAATTATTTAGCATATTAGAAAGTGCCAAAGATTAAAGTGGAGAGGGATCAGGGGATTAGGAATGTATGTGTGTTTAGGGGTGTGAGTTGTTAATTTTTTTTTTTAAGACAGAGTTTCACTCTGTCACCCAGGCTGGAGTGTAGTGGCACGATCTTGGCTCACTGCGATGTCTGCCTCCCGGGTTCAAGGGATGCTCCTGCCTCAGCCCCGCTGAGTAGCTGGAAATACAGGCGTTCGCCACCATGTCTGGCTAATTTTTATATTTTTAGTAGAGATGGGGTTTCACCATGTTGGCCAGGGTGGTCTCGAACTCCTGACTTCAGGCAATCCGCCTGCCTCAGCCTCCCAGAGTTCTGGGATTACAGGCGTGAGCCATTGTGCCTGGCTTTTTTTTTTTTTTTTTTTTTTTTTGAGACTGAGTCTGGCTCTATTGCCCAGACTGGAGTGCAGTGGCGCGATTTCGGCTGACTGCAAACTCTGCCTCCCAGGCTCAAGTGATTCTCCTGCCTCAGCCTCCTGAGTGGCTGGGATTACAGGTGCCTGCCACCACCTGGCTAATTTTTTTGTATTTCAAGACCAGGCTGGTCTCAAACTCCTAACCTCAAGTGATCCACCTGCCTTGGCCTCCCAAAGTACTGGGATTACAGGAGTGAGCCACCATGCCTGGCCTTTTTTTTGTTTTTTGTTTTTTTTTGAGACAGTGTCTCACTTTTTCACCCAGGCTGAAGTGCAGTGGAGTGCAATGGCACGATCTCAGGTCACTGCAACCTCCACCTCCCGGGTTCAAGTAATTCTCCTGCCTCAGTCTCCCGAGTAGCTGGGATTACAGGTGCATGCCACCAGGCTCAGCTAATTTTTTTGTATATTTAGTAGAGACAGGGTTTCACCATGTTGGCCATGGCTGGTCTCGAACTCCTGACCTCAAATGATCCACCCGCCTCAGCCTCCCAAAGTGCTGGGATTACAGGCATGAGCCACTACGCCCAGCAGTTTCTTCCACTTCTAATAGACTCTGCTAGTCTAGGAAATGTACCAAAAAGACAGCATGGTTAAAGGTCAGTATTTCATGACCTTTTTTATACTTCCTATTTTTATTTTATTTAGGTTTCTTGGTTGATACAAAACGTCAATTGTAGTGGTAGGGAACCTGCATAAGGAAGCTTCCTAAACAGAGGCTTCAAGAGAGAACACTAATAGGCCGGGCATGTTGGCTCATGCCTGTAATCCCAGCACTTCGGAAGCCCAAGGCGGGTGGATCACCTGAGGCCAGGAGTTCAAAGCTGGCCTGGCCAACATGGTGAAACCCCCCTCTACTAAAAATACAAAAATTAGCTGGGCGTGGTGGCAGGTGCCTGTAGTCCTGGCTACTCGGGAGGCTGAGGCGGGAGAATCGCTTGAACCCGGGAGGTAGAGGTTGCAGTGAGCCGAGAACGTGCCACTACACTCTAGCCTGGGCCAGAGAGTGAGACTCTGTCTCAAAGAAAAAAAAAAGGTCGGGGGAGGCTTGAGAGAATGGGTTCACTTTCTTCCTCCATGTGAGGACCCATAGGTAGTGCCAGCAGTGAGGCACAGGCCCTTTCCAGATACGCAACCTACAGGCGCCTATATCGTGGACCTCCCAGCCTCCAGAACCATGAGAAAGTAAATTTCTGTTCTTTATAAATTACCCAGTTTACTTAAAAAAAAATTTTTTTTGAGACAGGGTTTCCCTCTCTTGCCCAGGCTGGAGTTAAGGAGCACCATCTCTGCTCACTGCAGTCTCCGCCTCCCAGGCTCAAGCAATCATCCTACCTTAGCATCCTGAGTAACTGGGATTGCAGGCATATGCCACCACGTCTGGCTAATTTTTCTATTTTTTGTAGAGATGGGATCTTGCTATATTGCCCAGGCTAGTCTCGAACTCCTGGGCTCCAGTGATCCTCCTGCCCTGGCCTCCTAAAGTGCTGCGATTGCAGGCTTGAGCCACCACACCTGACCTTGCTTATTCCTTTTCACAATTTCTCTGCCTACATTTTAACGGGATCTCTGAAGGGAGGTGAGTCAAAAGTGTGATCCAGTTTTGTTGTATTGAATAGAAGGTCTTTAAATTTTTATTGTATTTAAAACTCGGTAGCAGCTGGGCAAGGTGGCTCATGCTTGTAATCTCAGCACTTTGAGAAGCTCAGGCAGGGAGGATTGTTTCAGGCACAAGTTCGAGATCAGCTTGGGGTAACACAGTGAGACCCCATTCTTTTTTTAATTTCTTTTCTTTTCTTTTCTTTTATCAGACAGAGTTTTGCTCTGTTGCCCAGGCTGGAGTGCAATGGTGCCACCTTGGCCAACTGCAACCTCCACCTCCCAGGTTCAAGCGATTCTCCTGCCTCAGCCTCC
Organism: Homo sapiens; assembly: GCF_000001405.40. Lineage (NCBI taxonomy): Eukaryota > Metazoa > Chordata > Mammalia > Primates > Hominidae > Homo > Homo sapiens. The sequence goes on along the minus strand of NC_000016.10, from coordinate 75,518,917 downwards.
TGAGTAGCTGGGACTACAGGCGCGCACCACTACGCCCAGCTAATTTTTGTATTTTTAGTAGAGAGGAGATTTCACCACGTAGGCCAGGCTAGTCTCGAACTCCTGACCTCAAGTGATACACCAGCTTCGGCCTCCCAAAGTGCTGGGATTACAGGTATGAGCCACTGCGCCCAGCCGAGACCCCATTCTTAGACACACACACACACACACACACACACACACATGAGAGAGAGAGACAGTGAGAGAGAGAATTAGAGAATTAGCTGGTCATGGTGGTGCATGCCTGTAATCCCAGCTACTCAGGACGCTGAGGAATGAGAATTGCTTGAGGCAGAGGCTGCAGTGAGCCAAGATCGTGCCACTGCACTCCAGCCTGGGCGACAGAGCTAGACCCTGTCTCAAAACAACAACAAAAAACAACTACTTTGCACTGTACAGAGACTATATATCCACAGGCCAACCTCCCTCCCATTCCGGTCCCACACCAGCCTTTTAATAGGTTTTTTACAAGGCCGGGCGCGGTGGCTCACGCCTGTAATCCCAGCACTTTGGGAGGCCGAGGCGGGCGGATCACAAGGTCAGGAGATCGAGACCATCCTGGCTAACATGGTGAAAGCCCGTCTCTACTAAAAAAAAAAAAAAAAAAAAAAATACAAAAAATTAACCGGGCCTGGTGGCAGGCGCCAGTAGTCCCAGCTACTTGGGAGGCTGAGGCAGGAGAACGGCGTGAACCCGGGAGGCGGAGCTTACAGTGAGCCGAGATCGCACCACTGCACTCCAGCCTGGGCGACAGAGCAAGACTCCGTCTCAAAAAAAAAAATAGGCTTTTTACTATCCGGTTTAAATAGAGAATTTTTTTTTGCTTGTTTTTTGTTTTCTCTCTTTTTTTTTTTTTTTTTTTGTTTTTTGAGACAGAGTCTCACTCTGTCGCCCAGGCTGGAGTGCAGGGGCCCGATCTCGGCTCACTGCAACCTCCTCCTCCCGGATTCAAGCGATTCTCCTGCCTCAGCCTCCCGACTAGCTAGGATACAGGCGCGCACCACCACGCCCGGCTAATTTTTGTATTTTTGGAAGAGACGGGGTGTCACCATGTTGGCCAGGATGGTCTCAAACTCCTGACCTCAAGTGATCCGCCCGCCTCGGCCTCCCCCCAGAGTGCTGGGAGTACAGGCGTGAGCCACCGCACCCGGCCTGAGAATGTTCGTATTCTACTCATGAAGACTTCGTAAATATTGGGGTCCAGACCTAGATACTACAACGTTACAAATCTGTTCTGATCACTGCTTTGCCAGATCCCTGGTAAATCCACAGCTCTGGCCGGGGGCGGGGGGGCCGCATGCAATTCCCTTCTTTCCTACAGGGGGCGCTGCAGAGAAGGGCAGAGCAGAGCGCGCAGTTCGCGGGCAGGGGCCGCTTCTCCAGGATAGCGCGCGTCCGAGGGGGTGGGTCTGTGCTAGCCCTGCGCAACCTCAGGGGCGGGAACAACTCTGGCTCTGCCCCCGCCGGCTGGAGCGCCTTCTCATTGGAGGAGGGAACGGTCACTTGGCAGCGCCGTTGGGATTGGAGGAAGAGGGTCTCGGGTGGAGTGACGCTGAGGCGGCGAGGGGGCTGGTGGCTGGCCGCTGCTGCCCTTCGGTAGCTGGTCCCTTAACTCAGTGGTGAATGGCGACCGGATGGAGCTCTAGGGAAGCGACAGCAGCGGCGGGTGGGCCGGGTTATGGGCGCCCCGAGTCCGGGCGGCGTCCCCGGTGTGCCGCTGACCTGCTGGGTGGGCGCTGTCCTCCCGGAGGGGGGTCCCTTTGCTCTCCCGGACCCCTTTACCCGTCACTTCCTCGCCGGTCCCTGAGGCAGGTCCCCGGAGCCCCGCTGGGCGTGAGGTGCAGGGAGCGGCCGCAGGTGGACCCGGGGCTGGAGGGCGCTCGGCCACCACCCGAGCGGGTCTTGGCCTTGAGCTTCCGAGCGCCTCAGGTTCAGAGCTGCACCCCACGAGCCCGGGAGGCGGTGGTCCGCGCCCTGCCTGGGTTGCCCCACGGCGCCCGGCCTCCTTCGAGGGGCCTCGGAGCGGCCCGGCCCGGCCCGGCTGAGGAGTCAGAGCTCGCGCTCCCCTTGCCCGGGAGCTGCAGCCCGGCTCCTCCGTGCGGGCGCTCGTTCGCTGATCGCGGGCACCTCGGGCCAAATCCACCCCCTCCGAGACCCGCTCCGCTTTCTAGGAGTCTCTTTCCCAGACCTGGTGCCACCTGTTGCTGGGTCTCCCACTAAGCCTTCGAGATCTTTGGCATAGCTTCCTTTGAACTCTTCCTCCCCGCTGCGGCTTGAGCTGGGCCTGCTAGGAGGGTTGCTCAGAATTCCAATGCCAGAAAGAACGCTCCGTGCCCTGAAAGCTGGAGGGAGGAGAGAGGACTTCACCTGGGAAGGAGGAGAAAAGCTTTGAGGGGAGGCACAGTTATTTGTGTGGTCCTTGAAAGGCAAGAAGACTGGGGCCCGTGGCCCTGAAAGGGGAGGTGGGGCTCCCAGCAGAGGGGACTGAGGTCTTCATAAACAATGAGGGACCAGAGCAGAGGGAAGGAGGACGAGATTCCAGACTCTAGTTCCAAACAAGGCACCTGTGATTTCTCATCCCCTGGGCAGTGACTGCCAGGCGCCCTTCAGCGGACACCTGGGACTTGCAGTGTTATGTGCCCAGGGATTTTCCTGGACGGGATTGTGAAGTAGCGGGTAAGGTCATCAGGCAGGTTGGGGTCAGATGCAGATGTTCGCTTGTGGTCATTCCTGAAATGAGAATCTGGCAGCTCACGTTATTTCAGAAGGTGCTAGGATCACTTTTGACAGTGATACCAAAAAATTGATGGTATTCTGGTGACCCTGTGTGAAAAATGAAATGTTCGTGCAATCTGGAGACACTACTGGGACCAGATTAATCTGTTTTTGTTTCCTTATTTATTTATTTTTGAGACGGAGTTTAGCTCTTGTTGCCCAGGCTGGAGTACAATGGCGCGATCTCGGCTCACTGCAACCTCCCCCTCCTAGATTCAAGCGATTCTCCTGTCACAGGCTCCCGAGTACCTGGGATTACAGGCATGCACCACCACGCCTGGCTAATTTTGTATTTTTAGTAGAGACGGGGTTTCTCCATGTTGGTCACGTTGGTCGTCAACTCCCAACCTCAGGTGATCTGCCTGCCTCGGCTTCCCAAAGTGTTGGGATTACAGGTGTGAGCCTGCCCGCCCAGCCTTTTTTTTTTGAGGCGGAGTCTCGCTCTGTCTCCCAGGCTGCAGTGCAGTAGCTCGATCTCGGCTCACTGCAAGCTCCACCTCCTGGGTTCACACCATTCTCCTGCCTCAGCCTCCCGAGTAGCTGGGATTACAGGCATGCACACCATGCCCAGCTATTTTTTTTTTTTTTTTTTAGTAGAGACAGGGTTTCACCATGTTGGCTAGGCTGGTCTGGAACTCCTGATCTCAAGTGACCCAGCCACCTCGGCCTTTCAAAGTGTTGGGATTACAGGCTTGAGCCACCATGCCTGGCCTATGCCAATTGTTTCATAGAATGTTTACAATCTAGCTTCCTCTGATTTTCTTCATTATTAGATTCAGATTTTTTGTTCAGAATGCCACCTTCATAGGTGATGTACACTTGTCAGTGGATCACCTTAAGAGATGTCAGTTTATACCTTTGTTGACAAGTTTGATCCTTTCGTGAAGATGGTGTCTGTCAGCTCTCTCCATTGTAAGGGTACCTGAACCCTCTCTTAATTAACAGTCCTATATGGGGTGATACTTTGGAACTGAATATTCTGTTGACTCTTCTGGCTTTTAGTTCACTTTTATTTCATTAAGAAAAGATTGAGATAAGTGGATTTAGGATGATAGTTTTAATGTACCAAAGTAGAGGATCTGTATGCATGAGAATTGTTTTGATCTCAGAAATTGTTCTGAAAATTTTAAACTGCATTGTGTACTTAAGTTTAAGATTATTTTTATGGATATATAACTTCAAGGTGTTGGATACCACGGATCATTCATTCAATGTGTATACATTTGGCCAAGTGCAGGCTCTGACCTGGAGGTATAAGCAGATAGGAGGCGTGGCCCTTGACCCCAAATAGATGAGAATTTGGTGGTAAATACATAACCTGTGTATTAGTCCATTTTCATGCTGCTGGTAAAGACATCCCTAAGACTGGGCAACTTACAAAAGAAAGAGGTTTAATTGGACTTACAGTTCCATGCGGCTGGGGAAGCCTCACAATCTTCATCGCGGAAGGCAAGGAGGAGCAAGTCCTGTCTTCCGTGGATGGCAGCAGGCGAAGAGAGAATGAGGAAAATGCAAAATCAGAAACCCCTGATAAAACCATCAGACCTCTTGAGATGTACTACCACGAGAGCAGTATGGGGGAGGAACCGCCGCCATGATTCAATTATCTCCCACCAGGTCCCTTGCACAACACATGGGAATTATGGGAATAGAATTCAATATGAGATTTGTGTGCGGACACAGAGCCAGACCATATCAACCCGCATCCCGTCTTTAGCTGGAATGATGGCTGTATTAGGTACATGAGGTCTGATCTTGTTTGAGGCACCAAAGCCTGCTTTCCTGAAGCATAGTTAATATTTTGGCCCCACAGAAAAGGTTATTTGCAGTTTATGCCAACTTGTTATTGCAAAATCATTGCTCTGAAATATTCATTTCTACCAGGAAGCTTTGGATTGATTTTTTTTACCCGCAATATCTGCCCAACCCTCCTTATTCCAGTTGTTTAGATTTCTTTTGTCATTTTTAATGAATCTGAATGTCAAGGAAGGCAGATCTTTTTCTGGTATCAGGATTGATTTTATTGTGTGATAATACAGATTTCACTAAACTAAAGTCCTAGAGGGTCTTGTGATAATTAAAGTACAACCCAATAATATTTTTCTTGTGTCATTGCTGGAATCAAGACTGGGTCAGATTTGGACCACTCATTTATTCACTCAACAAACATTTACTGAGTGTCAATTGTGTGCCCCCCTTTTTTTTCTCTAGGTACCAGGTCAAGATGCCATGGTGAACAAAACAAAGCCCTTTCCCACATGGAGCTTTAATTCCAATGGAGGGAGGGAGAAAACAACCAACCTGTGGGCTGGAACAGCTGGTCGTGAGTGTCAGGGTGAGGGCAGAAAGTGGTAGGGCCTGTGTAGCTGGGGTGGAGTGCCATTTGTCGTTGGGTGATGGGGAGACCCTCGATGGTGATGATATTGGAGTCAAAATCCGAAGGAAGTGAGGAATGAGCCAACAGCTCTTGGGGTAAGAGCAAGTGTTCCAGTCCAGGGAGCAGCCGATTCAGAGGCCCTGAAACAGGAGCTTACAGAAGAAACATTGAGGGGGCCAGGGTGCCTGGAGGGACTATGTGGGCAAGGGGGAGAGGAGGAGGGGAGGGCAGGTCCTGGAGGGCTCTACTGGGGGGTTTTGAGCAGAGATGAGATGATTCTGACTTTTATTTTTATTTATTTATTTATTTTTTTGAGATGGAGTCTTACTCTGTCGCCCAGGCTAGAGTGCAGTGGCGCGATCTCGGCTCACTGCAAGTTCTGCCTCCCGGGTTCACACCATTCTCCTGCCTCAGCCTCCTGAGTAGCTGGGACTACAGGCGCCCACCACCACGCCCGCCTAATTTTTTGTATTTTTATTAGAGATGGGGTTTCACGGTGTTAGCCAGGATGGTCTCAATCTCCTGACCTCATGATCCGCCAGTCTCGGCCTCCCAAAGTCCTGGGATTACAGGTGTGAGCCACTGCGCCTGGCCTTTTTTTTTTTTTTTTTTGAGATGGAGTCTCACTCTGTCACCCAGGCCGGAGTGCAGTGGCAGGATCTCAGCTCACTGCAGCCTCCGCCTCCTGGGTTCCAGCAATTCTCTGCCTCAGCCTCCCGAGTAGCTGGGATTATAGGCACCCACCACCACACCCGGGTAATTTTTGTATTATTAGTAGAGACAGGGTTTCACCATCTTGGCCAGGCTGGTCTTGAACTCCTGACCTCATGATCCACCCACCTTGGCCTCCCAAAGTGCTGGGATTACAGATGTGGGCCACCATGCCCGGCCAATCCTGACTTTTTTTAAAGTACACAGTCCAGTGGTTTTTAGTGTGTTCAGAGAGTTGTATAACTGTTGCCACAATCAATTTGAGAATATTTGCATCATCCCGAGAAGAAATCCCTTACCCAGTGGCATTGACTTACTGGCTTTGCGTGGAGAATAGATGGAAAGCCTGATCAGGACAAAGTCTGCTCAGGCTAGGATCCAGAGACCACTGAGGTAAGGCAGGCCAGGGGCACACCCACGAACCAGGGAGGAGCAGGCAGGCAGTATCCGAGAGAGGTGGTTGACTACAGTTGGTAGTTCAGTGGGCATGTCCTCTTGTTAGAGAGGAGTGGAGGGGACAGTTGGACCTCCAGGCAGGGAGGTGGGGTTTGGCAAGAGAGGAGTCTCCCATTGGACAATGGGTAGAGTTGCAGGCTGATGGGCAATGATTAGTATCAAGGCAGCTCAGCACGGAGTTGAAGGACCACATAAGACTCTTAATCCCCAGGAGGACCCATGTGGTCTGCCTAGAACCCCAGCTTCAGAGGAACTGGCTGTGTTGACCCAGTCATTCACTGGAACACAAGATGAAAGTGGGGCCAGCTGGAAGGAGGGCTGAGTGCTGAGCCTCATGCTGCCCACTTGGCTCAGTTTCTTTGCATTGCTGCCATTTGGGGCCAGGGTGGTCTTGAGGCCTTGGTTGGGAGTTAGGTGACTCTGCTGTGGAGGTTAGAGGCTAGGGAGCCAGCCATTACAGACCGCTTGTGTTTATGTTCTCTATATCTGTTCTCTTTCACTGCAATATCTCTCTGAAAATACATCCTTAAAGAAATAAGCTCTTTGAGAGCAGGCATCTTAGACTTTTTTCACCAATGTTGCCAGCATATAGAACGAACTCTGTAAATATTCACAGATGGACTGGGCACAGTGGCTCACGCCTGTAATGCCAGCACTTTGGGAGGGTTAGGTGGGCAGATCACCTGAGGTCAGGAGTTCGAGACCAGCCTGGCCAACATGGCAAAACCCCATTGCTACTAAAAATGCAAAAAAAATTAGCTTGGCGTAGTGGCTTGTGCCTGTAATCCCAGCTACTCAGGAGGCTGAGACACGAGAATCTCTTGCACCCAGGAGGCGGAGGTTGCAGTGAGCTGAGATCGTGCCACTGCACTCCAGCCTGGGTGACAGAGTGAGACTCATAAATAAATAAATAAATATTCATGGATGAATGAATAAATTCTTAATGTTTGTATAAGTTTGCTATTGTTACTGTAATCAATTCCCCAAATTGAGCTACTTAAAACTATATTGATTTTATCATCTTATAGTTCTTACTTCTGGTGGTCAAAAGTCCAAATTGGATGTCTCTGGGCTAAAACCAAGGTTCAACGGGACTATGTTCCTTCTAGAGGCTCTAGGAAGAATTTGCTTCCTTGACTTTACCAGCTTCTAGAGGCCACTTGCATTCCTAGGCCCATGGTCCCCTCCTCTTCTCCAAATCCAGCAGTGTAACATCTTCAAATCTTTCTGACTCAACCTCCTGTCTCCTCACAAAGAAACTTGTGATTACTTTAGACCCATCTTGAAAATTTGCAGTAACCCCCTACTGCAAGATCTTTAATCACAGCTGATTAAATATCCTTAATTTAATCACAGGTTTTTTAAAATTATTTTCTTCATTTTGTTAAATAGTCTAGCAAACCATTTCTTCAGCACCTTTTGCCTTGTAACCTATTCACAGGTTTTGGGGATGAGAATTTTAACACCTTTTGGGGCCCATTCTACCACAGTGCTTAGTCTCATTTCCCCTTATATTCTTTTATTTTTTTATTAATTTGAGACAAGGTCTTACTCTGTTGCCCAGCCTGGAGTACAGTGGTGCTATCATGGCTCACTGTAGCCTCCCCCTCCTGGGCGCAAGTGATTCTCACACCTCAGCCTCCTGAGTATCTGGGACCACAGGTGTGAGCCACCGTGCCCAGCTAGTTTTTTATTTTTTATTTTTTGTAGAGACAGGTTCTCCCTATGTGGCCCAGTCTGGTCTTGAACTCCTGAGCTCACATGATCCTCCCACCTCGGCCTCCCAAAGTGCTAGGATTATAGGCATGAGCCACCACTCCCAGCCGCTTTTTGTTTTTGTTTTCGTTTTTTATTTTTTAAAGACATGGGGTCTTGCTCTGTTGTATAGTGATTTCGTGTCGTGTCATGCAATGATGTGATCATAGCTCACTGTAACCTTGAGCTTCTGGGCTCACACAATCCTCCTGCCTCAGCCTCCCCAGTAGCTAGGACTACAGAGAAGCCAAGACCTCAGGTACATGTTCCCACACATGGCCAGTAGCTGGAGACCAGCCATGGACTGGGCACAGTGGCTCACGCCTGTAATCCCAGCACTTTAGGAGGCTGAGGCGGGCAGATCACCTGAGGTCAGGAGTTTGAGACCAGCCTGGCCAACATGGTGAAACTCCGTCTCTACTAAAAATACAAAAAATTAGCCGGCCGTGGTGGCACATGCCTGTAATCCCAGCTACTCAGGAGGCTGAGACAGGAGAATCGCTTGAACCCGGGAGGCGGAGGTTGCAGTGAGCCGAGATGGCGCCACTGCACTACAGCGTGGGCAACAAGAGCGAAACTCTGTCTCAAAAAAAAAGAAAAAAAAAACAGACATTGGCTGGCCTTGTGGCTCACACCTGTAATGCCAGCACTTTGGGAGGCCAAGGTGGGAGGATTGCTTGAGGCCAGGAGTTCAAGGGTGCAGTGAGCTATGATTGAACACTGCATTCCAGCCTGGGCAACGGAGAGGGACCATGTCTCTAAAACACACACACACACACACACACACACACACACACACACACACACAATTGTTTCCTCAGTTCTGGAGGCTGGAAGTCTGAGATAAGGGTGCCAGCATGGTTGGGTTCTGACTGGGAGTTGGGTGTCTTCTGTGTCCTCACATAGCAGAGAGAGAGAGATCAGGAGATTGAAATCTCTTCCTCTTGTAAGGCCACAGTCCTATCATATTTAACTTGGGAATCTGTGGTGCACACAGTTCAGCCCTTAGTAGTTGGTTGGCACACCTGTGTCCAGACCCATTTTTCTGGAAGTTTCCAGCTTCATGTGTTTCTGGCAGATCAGGGCGCTGCCTCCTAGGTCACTGCCCTGATGGTTATGGGACAGTCAGTAAGAAGCTAGGCTCCGGCAGTGCCTTGAATTACTGCAAAAAGCAGTGCTTATCACAGCTTCAGCAGAAGCCTTCCACAGCAGGAGTCCGGGGTGTGGTCTCACATCGGTGGGGGCAGACAGCAGCCAGTGGTGACTAATCTGAGTTCTTTGTTTTCTGAGACGGAGTCTGGCTCTGTTGCCCAGGCTGGAGGGCAGTGGTGGTGTGATCTTGGCTTACTGCAACCTCCGCCTCCCGGATTCAACCAATTCTCCTTCCTCAGCCTCCCAAGTGGCTGGGATTACAGGAGTGTGCCACTGTGCCCAGATAATTTTTGTTGTTGGCTTTTTTTTGGTGGGGAACAGAGTCTCAGTCTGTCACCCACGTTCCAGTGCAGTGGCACAATCTCAGCTCACTGCAACCTCTGCCTCCCAGGTTCCAGTAATTCTCCTGCCTCAGCCTCCCGAGTAACTGGGATTACAGCCATGCACCACCACACCTAGCTAATTTTTATTATTATTATTAATAGTAGAGATGGGGCTTCACCATATTGGCCAGGCTGGTCTCAAACTCCTGACCTGAGGTGATCCACCTGCCTCAGCCTCCCAAAGTGCTGGGATTACAGGTGTGAGCCACCATACTGGTCTTAATCTGAGTTCTTGGAGGCAGGTTTGCATCTCATTTGTTCACTTGGACCAGTGAATTCCTGATGCCATCATGGAACTTTGTGCAGACTAGATGTTCGGGTGGTCAGAGGGTCAGATTGATTTGGGAGTGGCAGGTGAGGACCTGGGATAGAAGATGGTCTTTCTGCTTTGGAAGAGAAGCATGGTGCTGTGTGGGGGCTTGGGGATGAGCTGGCGGTGGGTGGTGGACAGGGGGCCTCAGCTCGGAGGCCAGGCTGCTCTTGACTGAGCCAGGGGCCACAGTAGCTGCCCAGGCAGGAGGGATTTGTGTGGGCACCAGAGCTCTGGCAGGTGCACATTTGTTAGGGAGGAGCAGTATCCAGATACAGGCACTGCTCCCTCTGGAGTTGCTGCCAGCCAGGGAGGGTGCGTCTCTGGGCAGCGAAAGGCAGGAATAGCTCCTGGCCTAATGGCAGCTGGAAAAGAAGCTGCAAGAGGATATGGGTTTGTTGTGGAAGAGGTGGGGGCTGAAACCCTGAGGACCAAGAATCCTGCCCTCAATTTCTGATTGACACTATTGACTAAAGGTAGCTTTTTTCATTGGTGGAGGAAGGGCAGTAGTTCATTTGTTCAGCCTCAATTTATCTATCCATATCCTGGGCATGAGAGTAGCCAACTCTCTCCTGGGATATATGGAGGGATCACATGGGACAATCAATAGATATAATAATTGTTTCGAATCCTGCATATACCTTATAGGTGTGAAGTGGTTGTGTCCTTTGTGAATTCTCTTGGCCAGGCACCAGTGGGAGGTTAGATAGTGACCTGGAGTTTGTGTTGAGGAATTAGTAGCCTTTGAATGCCTGCCTTTGTAGCTGTTGCACATACGTTAGGCTTACTTTCAACTAAATGGAATTAGCTAATTGATTTCTTCAGAGGTCCAAGTGATAACAGAGCCAAACCTTGCTAGCCCATAGGGGTGAGAGTCTAGCTTAGTGACAGGTTGTTTTTGGGAGACACACCCTTTGTGTCTTCACTTCTCTGTCCCCTGTCTCCGTCCTGCTCTCCCTCTCACCCATTCTGCCAGCTCTGCTGGCCCCATGGGCACCTAGAGCACATGCACTTGGTGAATCTAGATCTTTCTTCCCTGAGACATTGCTGCACCACATCACCTCATCACCTCGCTTCCTTCAGGTCTCCAACAAGTCAGGTCATCCTGAATATTTTCTGTAAAACTTTCTGTTAAATTCTACCTTCATTATTCTTTCATTTTAGCCTGCCTTGTTTTTCTCTGTGGCACTCATCACTATTTGATATTGTTGCATATTTATGAATCTATTTTCTGTCTTCTTGGTCGGGAACATAAGCTCCATTAGGATGGAGACTTTGTCTGTTTTGTTTAGATTATATTCTCATCATCTGAAATAGTGCCTGTAGGGCCTCAAAAAGTTCATAGCAGATTAATGAGTGAATTTAACAAGTAGACACTATTGATGGTGCTGAGCCACATCTGGGCCCTCTCTCAGCGTGGAGCGGAATTATGCACACAGGCGAGTATACAGACTTTGATGCCTGGTGCTGCCGTTTTGCAAAAAGACTTCTCCAACCCACTGTCTTCTTTTTGAATTTTTAAATAAATCTGGCCGGGTGTCGTGGCTCACACCTGTAATCCCAGCACTTTGAGAGGCCAAGGCGGGCGGATCACGAGGTCAGGAGTTCGAGACCAGCCTGGCCAACATGGTGAAACCCCATCTCTACTAAATATACAAAAAAATTAGCTGGGCGAAGTGGCAGGTGCCTGTAATCCCAGCTACTCAGGAGACTGAGGCAGGAGAATTGCTTGAACCCAGGAGGCGGAGGTTGCAGTGAGCTGAGACCGTGCCACCGCACTCCAGCCTGGGCAACAGAGTGAGACTCCGGCTCAAAAATAAATAAATAAGTAAGTAAGTCTGGATATTTTAGTCCTGGAAAGGATACCACATTTGAAGTCAAAGACCTGATCTGAAATTCTGTCTTCACCATTACTTGCTGTACCTCTGATAAATGCCCTAACCTCCCTCACCCATGATTTTCTCATCTATGTAATGGGAAAATACTTGTTCTGCCTACCTGGGGCTTAACATTTATTGTAAAGATCAAATGAAATGAGTTTCTCCCCACGCCCCACAGTGTATTGGAGTCTGGCAGTTGTCTCCTGGCCACTGTCCTCTGTTGCAAGTTGAGAAATGTGATCTTTACTTCCTGTCCAACCCTAAAGATCCGGAAGGCGTGGATCCGTCACAGAGAGTTACACAACATTGTCTACCCAGATCCCAATTGAAGAAAATCCACAGGAAGACAAGGCAGGCTCTTTTCATCCTACCCATAATGACTAATCCATCATTGCCTCAGTAACTTGATCGTCAGCCCGGGTAGCAGATATCCCTCCCCGAAGCTGATGAAACAGGGCAGAGAGGAAGTATCCAAGAGAAAAGGGAGGGAGGTTTCTCTAAAACAAGACCTACAATAAGGACATTATTGTCTAAAGGAAATAAATAATTGAAAGTTTCTGAAAACTGAGATTTCTTCATCTCAAATGACTTTATTAGCCCAAAAAAGTACAAAAATTATTTTCCTCACATAATATTAATGGTGGGAATCAAAATGAATCAGTAGATGGGGGATCCAGATTGGAATGCTGCTACACCATAGTAGAATCCTTCTGGGAACCTACGGTGGGAAAGGATCACTTGTAGCAAAAAGATCCAGAGTTGTGCAGAGGGACCACGTCAGCAGTGATCACTTTTCAGTAACCGTCTTTTTCTGCTGATCATTTTAGGGTCACTATGAGGTCAGACTGGATGGTGGGAGTGGATACCAATTTTTTTTTTACTGCCTACATATGCTTCATGAGCTATAATTTGTCTTTTTTTCCACCACAGATCTCTGTTTCTTTTCCTTACTTTCATGCCCATAATTTATCTTACAGATGTGGTTTAATGCTTTGCTGATTTGACATAGCTTTCTTTTCCATTTCATTGATTGCTACTTAAAGATGCACAAGGCTTTCAGGGCCTCACATGAATGATGAGATGAGATCCAACGTCAAGAATCTGAAGCAAAGACACTTGTGGTTTCAGAACGTGTAAATAGAGCTTGGTGATTTTCTGTTGAGTTTGTTGGGGGAATGCATAATGATTAGGATTAGGTGTTTTTCTATTTTAAAAAGTTGCTTCTAGAGGCATAGAAGACAATTCTGATACACTATTTAAATTTTCCATACAAATCCAGGCATGTTTATGCAAAAGAAAAAAAAACACCAGTACAAAACAAACAAGATATGATCTGACTGGGCATGGTGGCTCACCCCTGTAATCTTAGCACTTTGGGAGGCCAAGGCAGGAGGATCCCTTAACCACAGGAGTTCAAGACCAGCCTAGGCAACATAGGGAGAACCTCTTTAAAAAAAAAATTTTTTTTTAATTTAAAAAAAAAAAGATCAAATGAGACAAATGCTATTCACATGTTTCTTGTCTTGTTATCGCCACTTCAAGTTCCCATTTATTTTGTCCAGTGAACATTTGAAAGACTCAGATATGAAGTTCAGGGGCCATGCACTTTGTGCCTCTTTCCCCAGTATTAATGCACTTACACCTGTCTATTTTTCTCTTTCTTTTAGTGGGGGAGATAATGCCTCTTTCTTTTGTGTACAGCAGGACAGTGGGTCATTGTGTATGTACAGAAGTGATGTGGATTCCTCCCAGACTCATTAGTGACCAGGGCTGCTGGGCCTGTTTGGGTTTCCTAGACTAGAGAAGAAGACAGGAACCAGGATGGGAAGACGGACATGTTACATTTTAAGCTGGAGCTTCCCCTGCAGTCCACGGAGCACGTTCTCGGTGTGCAGCTCATCCTGACTTTCTCCTATCGATTACACGTGAGTCAGTCCGCTGGGAGGCTGTCCTCTCCCTTGTGTCTTTTTAGTAGACCAGAGTCCTTCTTCTGATTTCTAGAAGACCCGCACTCTAGCGGGCCCTCTTCCCCATGTAGTTTGGGATTTAACTTAGGCCAATGGAATGGTTTTCACTAGTCATATTAACTGACATGGGCTATTAATAGCTCAGAAGGTTCTAGGCAGTGTTTCCTGCATGGCTACGCTAGGTATGTGAGGGCCTCTTAGGTTTCAGCCAAGACAGGTGACTCTTAGCACCCAGAGCCCTTCAGATCTGATGGCGGTTGGTATTGTTGGTCCTTCTAATGATTTCAGAGGATGGCGACCCTCGTGATGCAGAGCATGGCGTTTCTCCAGTCCTCCTTTCCTGTCCCGGGATCCCAGTTATACGTGAACGGAGACCTGAGGCTGCAGCAGAAGCAGCCGCTGAGCTGTGGTGGCCTAGATGCCCGATACAATGTAAGGGCGCTTCTCATTGTCCAGCTCCTTTGTTTCTGTGTGTTACTGTTCGTCGAGTTCTTTGAAGAGGGGGATAAAAAGTAGAAATATTTCTCTGTGGGTGGCTTTCAAGGGACCTTCTGAGGAATTCTTGCCATGAAGTCTTTTCAGACTATGAAGATACACCTGTATTTACACCTAGAGGGAGAGAGAGAAAAAATCTGTGTTTGTTGAATAACTAAATTGTTTATTGCTTTTAGGTACACATGTGCACGTGCACACACACGCACATACATTCTCTCTTCCATACACATACTTGGAGTATGTGTTTCCAAGAGATCATGTAAAATGTTCATGTAAAGTATTTCAGAAATACTACTAGACAGTTTACTGAACCCATAACATATGCCAGCCTTGAGTGCAGGGGTTTATACGTATCATCTCCTTTAATCATCACAGCAACCTCTGAGCTGCCTGCACTGTCCTTTCCCAGCACTCCAGCCAGTGGTCCCATTGCTGTCCCCCTTGCTACTTTGCAGCCCCCCTGGCCTTTTTGCTGTTCCTTGAACCCAAGAAGCAGCTGCCACCTGAGGGCTTTTGCTCTTGCCATTTCCTCTGCCAGGCATCCATGTGGCTTATCTAACCATGCCATTCAGGTCCCTGTTCAGATATCGCCAAGCACCATCCTTCCCTGACCTGCTTCTAGAGTAGCAGCCCCTCCCTCCACCATCTCTCAGCCAGACTCTCCCTCCTGCCCCCTGGCCTACTCAGGATATGTGTTTGTGTGTTTATTTGTTGTCTCCCTCAGCCTTGACAGCAGTGGCATCTCATACACTATCATGTCCATGCCTAGCACACTGCCTATCACTTGGTAAGCTCACAGAGAAGCTTGTTTGAAGAATGAACTCATTTTGGAGAAGACAAAACTGGGGCTTACAGTGATTAATTTTCCCAAAGGCTCAAATCTTGAAAGTATAACAGAGCCAGGAACTTTCTGTGTCCAGAACTCATGCATCTAATCACTCATTCCTCACCTTTATTTTATCACAGTGGGGACCATAGAAGATGAGCTGCTGTACTTTGGAAAATGAAAAAGGGAAATTATCAGTTATAAGGCATCCTCCCACCTCAGCCTCCAAGGGTACTGGGAATACAGACATGAGCCACTGCACCTAACCTTTTTTAAAACAATTTCATTTATTATTTTATTTATTTTTTGTGACAGAGTTTCACTTTGTCACCCAGGCTGCAGTGCAGTGGCGCAATCATGGCTCACTGCAGCCTTGACCTCCCCAGGCTCAGATGATCCTCCTACCTCAGCCTTCTGAGTAGCTAGCTGGGACTACAGGTGCATGCTACCACGCCTGGCTAATTTTTACATTTTTTGTAGAGACGGGGTTTGCCATGTTTCTCAGGGTGGTGTCAAACTCCTGGACCCAAGTGATCCACTCACCTTGGCCTCCCAACATGCTGGGATTACAGGTGTGAGCCACTGTGCCTGCCCCCGCACCCCCTTTTTAATAAAAAAACTAGACTCTCACTCTGGCCCAGGCTGGAGTGCAGTGGCCTACCTATGACTCATTGTGCCTCATACTCCTGGGTACAAGCAGTTCACCCACCTCACCCTCCCTGGAAGCTAGGACTGGAGGCACCACAATGCCTAGTTTATTGGGATTTTTTTTTTTTTTTTTTTTTTGGTAGAGATGGGATCTTTATGTTGCCCAGGCTGGTCTTGAACTTGTGTCCTCTCAAGCAGTCCTCCTGCCTCAGCCTCCCAGATTGCTGGGATTACAGGCATGAGCCATGACATCCAGCTGAGAGAGATTTTATAAATAGCTTTAAAATCTATGAAACATGGACACTGACCACTTATTTTCATCCCCACAGAAGGAAGGACAGAGTAAATGAACTTAAATTGTTGCAAGAGAGTTTATTCATCTTTGAAGAAAAGATTATTGATACTGCAGTAGGCCACCAAGAACAAGAGGGTGCTCTGTGGGACCAGCCTGGGTGGGCAGAAGGGTAGAAGGAAAAGAGGAGGAGTCTCCCAGGTGCTCACACCACATCCTCCTCCCGTGTCCCAAGTATCTGTGACCAACGGGACCAGCCCCTTTGCCTATGACTACGACCTCACCCATATTGTTGCTGCCTACCAGGAGAGGAACGGTGGGTCACAGGTAGAGCCCATTCAGCCGCTGCTCAGGACTTTCAAGGTTAGTGGGGGCAACAGAGACAAGCAGAACTGGAACCCTTGTGATGAAAATGTCAAAACCCGTGAATGCTCAACGATGGGAGCAAATGTGCTGCCCAGGATTTGTCTTTTTCGTCCTGATCTTCAGACCCGGGACCACCCGCACCCCTCCAGCATCCCGTGGTCCAGCAGGCTAGTGATGGTTAAATGCCATCATTATCCCACCACTGGCTTGGTGGGTTTCTCTTTTAAAAAATATAAGCCTAATTGAGTTGTTCCCCATAGCACACCTATAACAGATGCCAAAGACAAATTGCTGTTCATGCTTTTCAGAGAAAAACAGAGAACGTGGGTGACTCTCCCCACATTAGCAGTCCAGCAGGAGAACAGGAGTGCCCCTGTTTCCTGCCAGAAGGCACAGTGTGCTCATTCCTTACAGAGCTCTAGGCCATGGCATGTGTTCACTCGGCATGTTTGGCTGGTCCGTGGCTGAGGATGTCTGTGAAGGCATCTAGAGTGTTACTTGGCAACCAGACATCATGGAGACTATACACAAACATTTCACAAGGGGGAACGACTGCAAATCCAGTATTGCTTTCTGATTTTATGTCATACATTAGCAGCATTTTTATAATAGTAAAGGGAATTCTAAAACAAAACTAAAAAGCACGGCCCAAGAAATCGATGTTTTTTCTTTACTTTTTTCACTCTTTATTCTTATGTGGATTTTAAAAATATACCTATTATGATAGTGTTGAAACACTTTGGCATCCAAATTATTTGTATTTCCATGTAATAAAAGTATTTCCCCACACTGCTACAAAGTTCTAATTTTTTTTTTTCTTGAAGAGACACAGGGTCTTGCTCTGATGATCAGGCTGGAGTGCAGTGCTGTAATCATAGCTGATTGTAACCTTGAACTCCTGTGGGCTCCGTGATCCTCTCACCTCAGCCTCCTGGGCCGCTAGGACTACAGGCACGTGCCACCATGCCCAGCTAATTTTTTTTTATTTTTTAGTAGAGAGAGGGTCTCAATATGTTAGCCAAGCTGCTCTCAAACTCCTGGCCTCAAGTGACCCTCCCACCTTGGCCTCCCAGATCCTTGGGATTACAAGAATGCGCGACTTTGTCCAGACAAACATATTATTTAGAGTGGCAACATGTTATTCTTTCAGTTAGCCATTCAGCAATTGTAGATGATCACATGACCATTTCCAAGTTTTTGACGTATTTTAATATAAATATCGTATTAGTCCTTTCTCACACAGCTGTAAAGACATACCTGAGACTGGGTAATTTATAAAGAAAAGAGGTTTAACTGACTTAGAGTTCTGCATGGCTGGGTAGGCCTCACAATCATGGCAGAAGGCACCTCTTCACAGGGCGGCAGAAGAGAGAATGAGAGCAGAGCTAAGTAAGCAGATCTGATAAAACCATCAGATCTGGTGAGAACTCACTATCATGAGAATGGCATGGGGAAACTGCCCCCATGATTCAATTATCTCCACCTGGTCCTGCCCTTGATCCGTGGGGATTGTTACAATTCAAGGTGAGATTTGGGTCATAGAGCCAAACCATATCAAATGCTTTTTTGACAAGTATCTTAACAAATTATTTGTTAATCTACTTTGTACATGCAATTTTTAATGCTTTCGAATGATTTCTTTTAGTTCTGAAGTACAGAATATCCCACAGGAATAAAATAATACTTTTATAGCCGAGCGTGGTGGCTCATGCCTATAATCCCAGCACTTTGGGAGGCTGAGGCAAGCAGATCACCTGAGGTCGGGAGTTCAAGACCAGCCTGACCAACATGGAGAAACCCCATCTCTACTAAAAATACAAATTTAGCTGGGCATGGTGGCACCTGCCTGTAATCCCAGCTACTTAGGAAGCTGAGGCAGGACAATTGCTTGAACCCGGGAGGCAGAGGTTGCAGTGAGCCAAGATCACTCCATTGCACTCCAGCCTGGGCAACAAGAGCGAAACTCCATCCCAAAAACAATAATAATATTTTTATAGCCCTAATATATTTTGCCAATAGGCTGCCCCATCATGGATTAATGGTTAATGATTGTATTGCAGTTGCCACCATCCTGAATGACCCCAACTTCATCTGGCTGGTAGGCAGAGCCATGAAACTCCATTTGTGATTAATGTTGTCATCCAGTACCCTGTGGAAACCATATCATATCCTTTCTGTTACAGAGGCAGTGGTAACTCAACTTCCAAAAAGGAAAGATTCCAAAGTTGTCCCCAGCAGAAACACATGTGGGAGCCTTTGATTGGAAATTGCTACAGCACTGTATCTCCACATAAATGACTATGTCTGCTCTTTATACAGGGGGGAAGATCATTTCCTGTTCGTATTTCTTTCTGAGCCATTCTTCTAAGTCAGAATCATCCATATTTATTTTTTAATAATCTTTTATTATTCCTTTCATCTTAAGAGTATTTGAAATATTCTTGCCATATCCTGTCTGGCCTAAACCTTAGTTTACTTTGACTTATACCATGTGGTCCCCAACTCTTTAACTGTCTGTCCTTATCAGCCAGGATTCTGGGCGATGGTAAAGTTCGCCTGGGTGCAGTATGTCAGCATCCTGCTTATCTTCCTCTGGGTGTTTGAAAGAATCAAGATCTTCGTGTTTCAGAATCAGGTGGTGACCACCATCCCTGTGACAGTGATGCCCCAGGGAGAAGTGTGTAAGGAGCACTTATCCTAGAAAGGCCGTTTCTGAAGACTCAGCAGGACCATGGCTGCCTCATTGTCATCTTCTGGGAACGTCTTAGGACCTTTTGAAAGAGCCCAGCGGACACCTGCGGGCTTGTGTGCTTTTCCCTCAGAGACAACGGTTCTTTCCAGTTTTGCTCTACACAGTTCCGTATCTTCAGAGCTCCTGCAGAATTGTCAGGGACTAGTTTGTGGAAAGGTCTGAGAGTTCCTGGAGGCTATAATTAGCTTTTTGGGTTTTTCTTCTTTGCCTTAGCGTTGAATTTCAGGAGAAAATTGCAGTCAGTTCAGACATCTTGGAAAGAGTCCCATCTCTGGTCAAGCAGAGACTTTTCCTCTGTTGAACTGAGGAACACACTGTGCATTTCTTCCTTCTGTTGTGAGCCACTCTTACTCTTTTCAGGGCTCTCTTGTGACAAACATGCCAATCACTAGCACTTTGCACCCCTGGGCTTCTCCATTTCCCATTCACAGCTTTGATTTCCAGAGCTGAGGCCTTTAACTGGAGACCTGGAGGGGCAGGGCCCAAGGGCAAGGGCCGCATTAGCACAGGCAATCAGGGAGGGCCGCTGAAGGACACTTGGACCGTCCACCTGCCCCAGCCCAACAGTCAGTCATCTGTCATCAGCTCAGCTGAGCAGCCCTGGATCCCTGCCCGACTGTGGCTGGCTCTTTGCCCGGTTTTTCCCTCTGTCTGTGCCCCTGGATGGCAGGCTGAAGTCAGAGGGGCTGTTTCATTCTCAGCCCCCTCAGCAGCACTGGGGGAAGAAAGCATTGTCACAACAGGTTCTTTCTGGCCCTCACCCAACAGCCTGGGCACTTGGCCCTCCTCCTCCTTGACAGCCCTCCCCCTTCCTGCAAAGGACAGGGGCGACAGGGGTTGGTGTTGGGATTGGCTCCCGCTGCCTGACAACCACAAGTTTATTTGGAAGGCTAGCGGGAAGCCCAGCGGCTGGCGTTTCCCTTGACTAAGGAAAAGGGTGCCCATCAGAGTGGGGCGGGCAGCTTTGGGAAGGACACAAGAAGCAGTGAGGGTGTAAAGAGGATGCTGGCCTGGGCAGGCCAGTCCAGCCTGGCCACTAGCAGAATACCAAGCAGTCCAGTGGATTATCCTCGTGGCTAAGCAAGTGTCTGCAGGAGCAGAGATGGCTGGAAGGGGCCTCTGCACACGGAAGATGGCTTGTTCAGCCGATTCACCTCCTGAGGATGCGTGCAGTCTCCTCCAAGAACACATGGAGCTGCTTCCTGATCCCAAGCAGGTCGTTGCCCCTGGAAGGACATGGCTCCGGTGATCCATGCTTCATGCCCACCCAGAAACACACCCCTCAGTGTGTGCCTCAGTTTACCTTGGAGATCATTTTTCATCTCCAGCATCCGTTTCCTTTAGGCTGACTAAAAACAGTTTTGGAAACAAAGCTATTTTGAAGTATTCAAGCAGAGGAATTCTCTAACACTGTCCCCCTTGTCTTTTTTTAATATTCTGGCTATTTTAGATGCCTAAATTTTTTTCTTGAGATTTATTTATTTTTATAGATGGGGTTTTCACTATGTTGCCCAGGCTGGTCTTGAACTCCCAACCTCAGGAAATCCTCCTGTCTCAGCCCCACAAAGTGCCAGGAATATAGGCATGGGCCAGTGTGCCCCGTCTCTTGAGACTGAAATGAAAAATTGCTTGTGGTTTAAATCCCCAGAATTTAATGAAACATGGGAAGATGGCTAAAGATACGTATAAACTTTGGTTTGCATTTTATTAAATTATTTGAATGCAAAACTTGTATAAAGAATCCATTATGTTCTGTAGCTTTCTAATTAAAATGTTCAACATGGAAGGTTGTATTAGCTATTTTTGAAGCAAGGCTTTGGAGGGAGGAAGAATAGGGAGGGCTGAAGTTGAGCACACTTCTCCGAGTTACTCACCAGTAGCCTTGCTTTGCCACGGCTCTGCCCAAAGACCTTGGAGCTTTTGTTAGCTCTTTGGCAAAAGTTTCCTGGTCCAACCCCAAGTATATTAGTTTTTAGTGGAATCCACATGGCATATGGGAGCTGCGGGTTGGAAAATTACAACTGTGTCTGGTGAATATCAAATTATTTACGGATCATTTATTGGTAGTTTCTGAAACTGAACCACACAGCATAGTTGCAGGAGGAAGAAAGGTAAGAAATACACAGGATTTTATCAACTGAGCTGAAGCCATAGATAAGTCATATTTGAGATAATTATTGAATTTGTTTTGTGGGAGAGAAATCTCTAATTCTTCCAAATGATTAGTCCAGTTTCTGCCAAAGCAGGTGAGGTGTCTAATGCCCCACTGAGTGCCCATCTTGAAGCTTATTAAAGCAATTCTCTCTCTTTGCGTCCCTCTTACCTTATCCTCCACATCCTTGCCCCCTCTCCTTATTCATGCTTTGTAAAGAGGTTTTGGAGCTTTCTGGCCAGATAACTTCTAAATACTGATTAAGGAAATGTAAATTACATGATCCTAAGGAAAATAATGATTGCCGGCCAATCCCCTACCCAGAGTTATGGTTGGCCTTCTGGCACACATCTTTCTATCCCATACACTATTTCTAACTTTTTAAAAATCATGAACAGGCCGGGCACGGTGGCTCATGCCTGTAATCCGAGCACTTTGGGAGACAGAGGCGGGCAGATCACATCTGAGCTCAGGAGTTCGAGACCAGCCTGGACAACATGGTGAAACCCTGTCTCTACTAAAAGTACAAAAATTAGCCTGGCGTGGTGGTGGGCACCTGTAATCCCAGCTATTCAGGAGGCTGAGGCAAGAGAATCACTTGAACTCGAGAGGCGGAGGTTGCAGTGAGCCTAGATCCTGCCATTGCACTCCAGCCTGGGCTACAAAAGTGAGACTCCATCTGAAAAAAAAATCAGTATCAAAATCATGAACAACACTTATATGAACCCTGTACATAAATCCTTGTTTCTGGTTTATTTCCTTAAGATAGCTCCTAGAAAGGAATTACCAATCCGAAAAGCTTACGACCATTGTCAAGAATCTTAATTCATCTTGCCAAACCACAACCAGGAAGGACTGCTTATTTCTTCTCCCAGCAGCAGGGAGTTCTTGATTAAGATCCCATCACTAATTTGACAAGACCTAGAAATGCTTCATCCTTTTCAGGTGCCTGGGCTCTGCCCTGTTATTTGTAAAGGGGATTTTTTTTTTTTTTTTTTTTGAAACAGTTTCGCTCTGTCGCCCAGGCTGGAGTGCAGTGGTGCAATCTCAGCTCACTGCAACCTCCGCTTCCTGGGCTCAAGCAGTTCTCCTGCCTTAGCCTCCTGAGTAGCTAGGATTACAGGTGCCTGCCACCACGCCCGGCTAATTTTTGTATTTTTAGTAGAGACGGGGTTTCACCCTGTTGGCCAGGCTGGTCTCGAACTCCTGACCTCGTGATCCACCCACTACGGCCCCCCAAAGTGCTGGGATTACAGGCGTGAGACACCGCGCCTGGCCGGATTTTTTTTTTTTTTTTTTGCGAGGGAGTCTCGCTTTGTCGCCCAGGCTGGAGTGCAGTGGTGCGATCTCGGCTCACTGCAAGCTCCGCCTCCCGGGTTCACGCCATTCTCCTGCCTCAGCCTCCCGAGTAGCTGGGACTACAGGTGCCCGCCACCAGGCCTGGCTAATTTTTTTGTATTTTTAGTAGAGACGGGGTTTCACTGTGTTAGCCAGGATGATTTCGATCTCCTGACCTCGTGATCCGCCCGCCTCGGCCTCCCAAAGTGCTGGGATTACAGGCGTGAGCCACCGCGCCCAGCCCTGGCCGGAAATATCTTATTTATTGAAACGTATCATGTCTTTATCTGGACCTGCTATGAACCTGCGCCTCTGGGCCTAGGCTAGGGCAGGGAATGCGCAGGAGGAGGGGAAAAGCTGCGGACCCAGCTCCTAAGGCCACCTGGTCTCTCCGCTCTTCCCAGTTGGGACACTGCACCGGGTCCATGTGTCATCCAGGTGCCGTGGCCTTGGGAAGGGTTTGGATTCCAAGTCACCTCGCCGCAAGGATGCCCCCGAGAGTGAGGAGGGTCAAGATTAAGATTCGACTTCCTTCACTAGGGCCTTTGTCCTCCCAGGAGCCCCCCTTCTCTGGGGATTTGGGGTGGGGTGGGGTACAACGTTCCTCTGTAGTCAGATGAGAGGTGACTCTGCCAGCGCCCTTTGACATTCTGGGCTAAAAGTTGAGCCTCTCAGAGCCCCAGCCCACCTGGGCCCTCCTGCCCCGCCCTCGGCCGGCGCCCCTCCCCCGAGGCGTGGCCCCTCGGTCGGGGGTGGGCCAACCGGCTCCTTCCTTCCCCCACGGCGCTAGCTCCCGCTGGCCACCTCGGGACCGCAGCCACGTCTGAAAGCGCCTCATTGTGTGCGCTCGGGCGGGCTGCACCGGGCAGCGCCGAGGGTTGCCGGCCGGCGCGCGGGGAGTAGAGGGCGCGGGCCGCAGTGCCGGGTTCCAGAGGGAGCTCTGCGCCGGGTCCTTCCCTGTGGTAGCCCCAGGACACCCCCAGCCTCAACATCCCATTCTGGGACTCCTGCCCTGTTCCCACATTCGTTCTACCTCGAGTCTCCAGGAGCTTCCAGTGGCTTGGTCACCGCCAACTCTCGTCCATGCCTCTTAGAGCCCCTTTCCCGGCCTCACCGGGTGTCGCTTAATAGTCTTGGGACCTTAAGGAGCAAGTCAGCCCCTGCGGACCCTCCCAGTGAAGAGAAAGAGCTGGCTGTGCGGTGGAATTTGGAAGAGACGACGTTTGGGAGCCTTTGCTGAGTCCAGGGAGAGAGGCGTCCCCCACCGTGCCGCTGCAGCTCGGGCAGAGCCGCCAAGCTTTGGGGTACGTTGGTTCTTCATTCTCCGCGGGGGATGTCCCCACACTCGGGTCGGCTGGGGGCCGGGCTGGTGGCACAGCTGGGGACGCTCCTCTGTCCTGCACCGGGGACCTGGGGTGGCGGGAAGAGCTGGGAGTGGCTTTTCCATCAGCAACGTGGAAAGGGCATCGCCGCTGTTGGCGCCGGTTTGGAAGTGTCTTGCTGGGGCTTCGGCTGCGCAGGAGAATCCTCACTGCGAGGGGAGAACCCCTTTTGTCTCGATACTTGAGTTTCAAAGGACATGACTTTCAAAAGCTCTCCAAGGGCTTTTTCCATAGAATTATTGAGAGACGGTAGCTTGGCGGGTTGATTTGGAACCAGACCCAGGGGAATTGGAGTCCTGCGTCACTGCTTCTGACGGCTTCATCTTGGGCTTCAGGACAGGCCCTCTGGGCCTCAGGACAGGTGCCTAGCAAATGTTGACTTTCCTTTCTCCTCCCTTTTTCACAGAGGCAAGGCAGTCAAGTTTCCCATTTTTGAGGATGGGAAAACTGAGGCCTGAAGAGCAGAAAGGAGTTGGCTGACTTAAACCCACAAGCGAGTAGGCCAAGTACCAGGGCCTCTGAGGGTGCTATGCTGCTCCGGGAGCTGGGGCTGGGCTCCTCTCCAGCCTGAGAGGCCGGAACTTTTCTGGCTTTGTTCTACAAACAGAGTCAACTGGAGTATAGAGAGCCAGAGAGTGACTTGCTCTAAGTCACACCCCTCACTGGTAGTAGAGACAGGATTTGAACCCAATCCGGCTTCAGAAGCCAAGCTTCTAAGGCCAGTCGCAGTGGTTCACGCCTGTAATCCCAGCACTTTGGGAGGCCGAGGCAGGTGGATCACCTGAGGTCAGGAGTTCAAGACCAGCCTGGCCAACATGGTGAAACCCCATCTCTACTAAAAATACAAAAATAAGCTGGGCATGGTGGTGAGTGCCTGTAATCCCAGCTACTTGGGAGGCTGAGGCAGAAGAATCACTTGAACCCAGGAGGCGGAGGTTGCAGTGAGCTGAGATTGCGGTACTTCACTCCAGTCTGGACAACAGCGAGACTCCATCTCAGAAAAAACACAAGCCAGGCCTCTAGCCATGACTTTCCAGCGTCTTCTGTTTTGTTTGCCCTTGTGGGGACCCTGTCTGTGCCTGCCACATTCTGTTGCTGGGGCACTGGGGCACCTGAATCTGGTAGAGCCATTGTCCTTGGGTTTTCCTCATTCAAAGACTTTCCCTTGGATTCATAGAATATAAGTGTGGCCCAGGAAGGAAGATTGCTAAGCAAATACTCATAAGTGCACTATGCGCCAGACTTTGTTCTGCTTTACAAATATCCACTCACTCACTCTTTCAATCAAGCCCATGAGTTGGGTTATATTGTTTCCCCCACTTTACAGATTTTTTTTTTTTTTTTTGATACGGAGTCTCGCTCTGTCACCGAGGCTGGAGTGCAGTGAAAGTGACATAATCTCGGCTCACTGCAACCTCTCCGCATCCCAGGTTCAAGCGATTCTCCTGCCTCAAATTCCTGAGTAGCTGGGATTACAGGCACCCGCCACCACGCCCGGCTAATTTTTGTATTTTTAGTAAAGATGGGGTTTCACTATGTTGGTCAGGCTGGTCTCAAACTCCTGACCTCGTGATCCGCCCTCCTCAGCCTCGCAAAGTGCTGGGATTACAGGTGTGAGCCACCGCACCTGACCTTCCAGATTTTTTTTTAACCAAGCAGGCACAGAAGGAAGTAACTTGCACAAGATCGCTCAGTAAATGGTCAAGTGGGATTCACACTCTTAACCTCAGTGCTCTATACCTACTGTCTTTAATGAGACAGACACCATTCTGCTTCTAGTGTCTTGGGCGGGGAAATGGGTCCAGAAATACATGAACAAGATTGTTCTGGGTAGTGATAATAGTATTAATAATAATTTCTCACTATCACCTATTAGTCAATATTGAAATATATCTGATTACCTCTAGGGTATCTCCTGGCAGATGTTTTTTTCAAATCAGAATCCACACAAGGTCCACATGTTGCATTTGACTATGTGTTTTTTGGTTTTGGTTTTTGTTTTTGTTTTTGTTTGAGATGGAGTCTCTCTCTGTCGCCCAGACTGGAGTGCAGTGGCGTGATCTCAGCTCACTGCAGCTTCGGACTCCTGGCTCCAGTGATTCTCCTGCCTCAGCCTCCTGGGTAGCTAGGATTACAAGCACGTGCCACCACACCTGGCTACTTTTTGTGTATTTAGTAAAGACAGGGTTTCACCATGTTTGGCCAGGCTGGTCTCCAACTCCTGACCTAAGGTGATCTGCCTGTCTTGGCCTCCCAGAGTGCTGGGATTACAGGCGTGAGCCACCGCGCCCGGCCCTGAGTTATTTTCCTATAAAATAGTCTCTTCCTTTTTCTGTCATAGATTTGGAAGTATGATTTACTTTTAAAAAATAAGGTAATTAAAATAAATGGTTAATAAACCAGGGAACATTCCAGATTATCTCTGTAATGAGAGGGCTCTGTCAATACTTAGGGAAACAGGCAAATGTGCTAAAAGCACAGTCCCACTCCGTACCCTGTGTGTGTTGCTGCACAGAAGAAGTGGGGAACCCTCAGACTTTATGGCCTCCAGCTGTAAGGTACTACAATTTAGACCAAGGCAGGTGCTGTTTGAAGTGCCCTGTGAGAATCCCTAAAGCTCCCAGCCAAGGAAAAGGGTTTGTGTGTTGCTATCTGCTTATCTGCTCTGAAATGCCCCAGGGCAGTGGCTCTGAGCCAGGGAGGCTTGAGGCTCCTTTCCCAGGCTAATTAGAATTCATTTCCCAGTAGATTTTGAAGGCAGATCTGTTTTCTCCATCAGCATCTGGGCCTTGCAGTCCCAGCCCCCTGCCTCTGGGGGATGCCATGCAGCTGCATCACCAGGACTGGCAGAGTTGGCAGATGTGGCCAGGGCTTGGGGGCCAGGCACAGCTTCAGCCACAGCCTGGCCCAGCCCACAGTCCTGGTGTTGAGAGTGTGCATGGGAGCTCTGACACCTTTTAGTGCAGAGCGGGTAATTCATGCCCCTGGACTTCTCTGGCTAACTGGGTACTCAGGTCAGCTGGGAGATGGTTTTGCAGGCACCTGTCTCTCTGCAGTGATAGCTGGACAAAGACAAACTCCACCTAAGCCTCCTTTAACCAACTAGAAATTTCTGATTTTATCATTGTAGTAAAAGTCTGATGTAGACTATCTGGAAAATGCAGCAAAGCACTAATAAGAAAATAAATTACCAGCCGGGCACGGTGGCTCACGCCTGTAATCCCAGCACTTTGGGAGACTGAGGCAGGCGGATCACGAGGTCAGGAGATCGAGACCATCCTGGCTAACACGGTGAAACCCGGTCTCTACTAAAAAATACAAAAAATTAGCCAGGCGTGGCGTCGGGCACCTGTAGTCCCAGCTACTCAGGAGGCTGAGGCAGGAGAATGGCATGAACCTGGGAGGCAGAGTTTGCAGTAAGCCGAGATCGTGCCACTGCACTCCAGCCTAGGCGACAGAGCAAGACTCCGTCTCAAAAAATAAAAATAAAAAAAAATTACCTGTAAACTGGCCATAGAAAAATAAACACCAAACTTCAGTGTGCATCTCCCATACTTTGTATTTTTTTAAATAATGGCTTTATTGAGATAGAATTCATGTATGTTAAAGTTTATATATATTATATATAAGTATATTATATTTTATATATATATATATATATATATATATATTTTTTTTTTTTTTTTTTTTTTTTTTAAGACGGAGTTTCACTCTTGTCACCCAAGCTGGAGTGCAGTGGCTTGATTTCAGCTCACTGCAAACTCTGCCTTCCTGACCTCAGGTGATCCACCCATTTAATCCAAAGTGCTGGGATTACATGCGTGAGCCACTGCGTCCGGCCCAAAGTTTATATTTTAAAAGTGTACAGTTCACTGGCTTATAGTATATTCAGTGTTTTCACATTGAACTTTGTATATATCAGTACTTTATTCTTTTTTATTGCAGATAATTGTCTACTGTGTGGTTACACCACATTTTGTTTATCTATTCATCAGCTGATAGACATTAGGGATGTCTCCACTTTTTGGCTATTACGAATAATGCTGCTGTGCAAATTCATGAGCAGGTTTTCATGTGGGCTTGTATGTTCAGTTCTCTAGGGTGTGTACCCAGGAGTGGATCTGCTGTATCATATGGTCACTCTATTCAACCTTTCGAGAAACCACCAAATTGTTTCTTCAGGAAATGCACCATCTGACATCCCCATTTTATGAGGATCCCCACGTCTCTGTCATCTCACCAACACTTGTAATTATATATTATTTATTATAATTACCTTTTTAAGATTGTAACCTTCTTGGTGGATGGAAAGTGACTTGTCACTGTGGTTTAATTTGCATTTCCCCGCTGCCTAAAAATGTTAAGCATCTTTCCTTTTTTTTTGAGACGGAGTTTCACTCTTGTTGCCCAGGCTGGAGTGCAATGGTGCGATCTCGGCTCACCACAACCTCTGCCTCCCAGGTTCAAGTGATTCTCCTGCCTCAGCCTCCCGAGTAGCTGGGTTTACAGGCATGCGCCACCATGCCTGGCTAATTTTGTATTCTTAGTAGAGACGGAATTTCTCCATGTTGGTCAGGCTGGTCTCGAACTCCCGACCTCAGGTGATCCACCAGCCTTGGCCTCCCAAAGTGCTGGGATTACAGGCGTGAGCCACTGTGCCCGGCCTTTTTTTTTTTTTTTTTTTTTTTGAGGCAAAGTCTCGCTCTTGTTCCCCAGGCTAGAATGCAATGGCACAACCTTGGCTCACTGCAACCTCTGCCTCCCGGGTTCAAGCGATTCTCCCTCCCCGCCGAGTAGCTGGGATTACAGGTGCCTGCCACCACGCCTGGCTAGTTTTTGGTATTTTTAGTAGAGACGGGGTTTCACCATGTTGGCCAGGCTGGTCTCGAACTCCTGACCTCAGGTGATCCACACACCTCGGCCTCCCAAAGTGCTGGGATTACAGGCATGGGCCACTGCGCCTGGTTGAGCATCTTTCCATTTGTGTATCTTCTTCAGAGAAACTTCTCCCAAATCCTTTACTCATTTTAATTTTTTTCTTTATTCATTCTTAAATTTATTTATTCTTATATTTCTTAAATATGCTTATTCTTAAAAAACTAAATAGGATATTTGCCTATTTTGTGTTGAGTTGTAAGAGCTCTTCTTATATTCTGGGTACAAGTCCCATTCTGTAGACATGATTTGCAACTGTTTTCTCCCATCTGTGAGTGTTCTTTGATATTCGTGTATTTTTAACACCCAGCCAACTGTGTGAAAAATACATGCACATCTAAGAACACACACAGATGGGAGAAATGTATATATGTATGTCAGCTTTGTTACTTCTGTTTTCCACTTGACACTATGTAGCGAAGAGCTCCAAGGTTACACTGCTAGACTTCCAACTCTGACTCAGCAGCCACTGTGTGAATTCTTCCCGCAAGTCCCTTTTCTTTTTTCTTTTTTTTTTTTTTTTTTTTTGAGACAGAGTCTTGCTTTGTTGCCCAGGCTGGAGTGCAGTGGCACAATCTCGGCTCACTGCAACCTCCGCCTCCTGGGCTCAAGCGATTCTTCTGCCTCATCTTCACGAGTAGCTGGGATTACAGGCATGCACCACCACGCCTAGCTAATTTTTGTATTTTTAGTACAGTTGGGGTTTCGTCATGTTGTCCAGGCTGGTCTTGAACTCCTGACCTCAGGTAATCCGCCCGCCTCGGCCTCCCAAAGTGCTGTGATTACAGGCATCAGTCACCATGCCCTGCCTCCCTTAATTTTTCTACACCTCACTTTCCTCATCTATAAAATAGGGATGATCATCAGGTCCATGTCATAGGGTTGCTGTGAGGATCAAATCAGAAAATGGATGGGAAAGACTGGGCATGTAGGAAACCCTCATAGATGATGTTTGCAGGGGTTCCTTGTTCCTGCCCCCCATGAACACTCACCTTCCATCTTTATGTTTTATGTTTTGTTTTTGGTTTTGTTTTTCTTTGAGACGAAGTTTCACTCTTGTTGCCCAGGCTGGAGTGCAATGGCGTGATCTAGGCTCACTGCAACCTCCACCTCCCGGGTTCAAGCGATTCTCCTGCCTCAGCCTCCCATTACAGACCTCATGTGATCCACCCACCTTGGCCTCCCAAAGTGCTGGGATTACAGGCATGAGCCACCGCACCTGGCCTGTTTTATGTTTTATGTTCCCTGCTTTATGTTTTGTCTCATTTTCTGTTTTCTTCTCTCTTCTTTCTTCCTCTTTCTTTTGCTCCTTGTTAGCCTTCCCCCTTCCAAATGCCCAGGGCTCCACTAGAGCAGTTTGGCCCCAGTTGTAGCTCTTGATGCCTCAAGGCCACTGACTCCTCATTGGGTATGTTTTTTCCAGCCTTTGGGATTCTTTTTTTTTTTTTTTTCTCCTTGTGACGGGGCTTTGCTCTTGTTGCCCAGGCTGGAATGCAATGGCTCATGATCTCTGCTCACTGCAACCTCCACCTCCCAGACTCAAACAATTCTCCTGCCTCAGCCTCTGGAGTAGCTGGGGTTACAAATAGGCACCTGCCACCATGGTGGCTAATTTTTGTATTTTTAGTAGAGACGAGGTTTCACCATGTTGGCCAGGCTGGTCTCAAACTCCTGACCTCAGGTGATCCACCTGCCTCGGCCTCCCAAAGTGCTGGGATTATAGACATGAGCCACCGTGCCCAGGTGGCTTTGGGATTCTCGAACAGGGATGACCTCCAGCCAACTCTAAACAGAGAAATCTAAACCTGGGATCTATACCTAGTGTTACATTTTGTTCCCTTAGATTCTATGAACAGGGCTGGAACAGGCTGGTAACAAGAAGAGCTGCTGTGTCTTGTTGTTGTTTTGGTTTTGTTTGTTTGTTTGTTTTTTGAGGTGGAGTGTTACTCTGTTGCCAGGCTAGAGTGCAGTGGCATGATCTGAGCTCACTGCAACCTCTGCCTCCTGGGTTCCAGCGATTCTCCTGACTCCGCCTCCCGAGTAGCTGGGATTACAGGTGCCCACCACCACACCTGGCTAATTTTTGTATTTTTTCTCTTTTTTTTTTTTTTTTTTTTTTTAGGGGGGACGGAGTCTCACTCTGTCTGTCACCCAGGCTGGAGTGCAGTGGCACGATCTCAGCTCACTGCAAGCTCTGCCTCCCAGATTCACGCCATTCTCCCACCTCAGCCTCCTGAGTAGCTGGGACTACAGGTGCCCGCCACCACGCCCGGCTAATTTTTTGTATTTTTAGTAGAGACAGGGTTTCACTGTGTTAGCCAAGAAGATGTCGATCTCTTGACCTTGTGATCCACCCTACTCAGCCTCCCAAGTGCTATGATTACAGGCGTGAGCCACCACGCCTGGCCAAATTTTTGTATTTTTAGTAGAGATGGGGTTTCACCGTGTTGGTCAGGCTTGTCCCAAACTCCTGACCTCAGGTGAGCCACCTGCCTCAGCCTCCCAAAATGCTGGTATTACAGGTGTGAGCCACCACTCCCGGCCTGGAGCTGCTGTGTCGAGGGTAGGCAGAGCTTGGCTGGAAGTGAGTGCTGCCCAGAGAGCCAGGACTCCTGGGCTCCAGCTCAACCCTGCTATGGAAAACCATCCTTGGTCAATGTCTTGCTTTTCCTATTTGCAAATCAGGCAGAACCATAGCTCCTTCCTAGGTCTCTCAGGCCAGGCCAAGAAATGGTAAGGGATGTTTAGAAGATCCTGTGACTTTAAGGTGCTCGGCAGAAAGCCATGTGGGCTACTGGGGAATTCCTCCCTCTGGATGTGGACCACAGAGTATCTGAGTGCAATGGCAAGTATTTGTTCATGTCCTCTACTCATTTGTTGTTTGGGACATTCCTTGACATGACTCTTACTATCTTCTTCAGTCAGGATTCTTTACTTTTTATTGAAGTATGCCATTCTTCAGAGTACATATAATGAAAGTACAGCTTGGTGAACTTTCACAAACTGAACACACCCATGTAATTAGCACTGTCAGAGAGAAACAACGCAGGGCCAGCCCCCAGAAGCTCTGCCCCTGCACCCTTCCCACCTCACCCCACCAAGGGTTTCACTGTCACTATCTAATCACCACTCTTGGGTGTAAGTGACAGAAACTCATCTCCCAAGGACTTAAGCAGAAAGTGAATGCTTCCCTCAGCTGAGGGGTCCATGGGTAAGCCTTGCACAACTGGATCCAAATGCTTAGATGGTGCTGTCAGCTTGCCTGTGAACTTTCTCTGCTGAGTTCTCTTCTGTTGTTGATTTTAAACCTAGGCAGTTTCCTCTTCCCTTGTGATCAACAAAACTCCAGAATTGCAGTTGAGCAGATGTCCCATTCCTAGGCCAATAGTTCTGTGTGGGCTGGGGGGGCAGGGTCAGTGTGTGGAATATAGAGGTGGGTCTGTCTTGGGACACATGACCCTTAGGAGCCGGGAGTGGTGGATCAGCCCCATCTGAGCCACATGCACTTTTGAGTGGGTGAGGGTGATTCCCCAGGGAAAAGCCTAGAGACTGTTATCAGAAGGAAAAACGGGTACTGAGTGGACAGAACCAAGCATGTCCAGTGCACCTGTGCAGTGCTGATCCTCACACTAGTCACCGGAGAACAGGTGTTCGCTTGCGAAAAACCACAATCCAAAGTTCCGGGTTGCTCACAGGCAAGAAGGGAAAGCAAAGTACAATGCAGGGCAGAGTGGGGCATGCCTTGACAGGCACAGAGGAGGTGGCTGCAGGCGAGGCTGAAATGCCTCCCAGTGGGAGTCAGGGCTGCGCACTCATAGCATGGGTGAGGGAGTTGGGAGAGATGGAGCTTGTTTGATGAACACTGATTATTCCCGGCCATCTGAAGCCTGGGATATGGGAGATAAGGCTGGAAAGCTGAAGGTTACTGAAAAGGAGAATGACAGGATCAGATGTGTGGTGTAGGCACCTCTGGGGGCAACTGTACAAGATGGACTGAAGGGAGGCCAGGTGGGGACTTTGCTGGAATCCAGGAGATAAGGATGCAGCCAGGACCAGCATGACCCTCCCGCGGCTGGATGTCCAGGCCATCCACTGGGACACCATCAGGTCCCTTGACCGTCACATAGCCAGATGTGTCTTCAGTGTCCCCAACTTGATTGTCAGCTCTGCCAGGATCGGGATCCTGAGCACTGGCTTTCCTGGATGAATCTTTTGCTGATCTTATCTCTTCTCTATTTTCCAACCTTTATCTGTCATTTATGTTTTTTGTTCTACTTTTCACATCTTTTAAATTTTTCTTTCAACGTTTCTAATATCTAATGCAATTAGCCCCAAGGAAAACTAAGGGAAACAAGAAAAAACAAGAAAGGAAATGTACTCTCAGTACTTCAGCTGTGAGCTGTGAGCTTCAGCTGTGAGCTGGAGTGTTTTGCTCTGGTTTTAGGTTTTTGATTTTTTTTAAGAAAGAGGGTCACACTCTGTTGCCCAAGCTGGTGAGCAGTAGAATGATATAACTCACTGCAACCTTGAACTCCTGGGCTCAAGAGATCCTCCCACCTTGGCCTCCCAAAGTGCTAGGATTACAGGCACGAGCCACCGTGCCTGGCCTCCAGGCATATTTTATCCTTTCTCAAGCTATGTGTAGTGTTTTGACAAAAATAAATTTTAAAAAGAGTTAATGTCAAAAAAAGTTTCTGTGACTTAAGAAGGACCACTGCTTAGGGTGCTCCTCCTGGGTACCAAAACAAGAAACAGAACTTTCTATTCCCTTTATGGCCTCTTGTACTTTTTAGTTCCACCCTCCTCCTGAAAAAATATGATCATTTTCATCATCATCATCACCATCATCACCATTAATTACTTGTTGGAAATTTAAAGCAGAATTGCCTCTGAGGTTGGAAGGCTGGAGAGGGCATGAGAGATAGGAAACGTCACTTTCTTCTGCCTGACTGGCCTTGTGCTCTGGTGTGGGGCTGTGTCTGCCCAGGGGGTGTGGCCTCTTTTCCTGTCTTCACATATGAAACATGAGCTGGCAATGCCCTCATCTTTACCTTGAGTTTTTTTGTTTGTTTGTTTTGTTTTTGAGATGGAGTCTCGCTCTGTCGCCCAGGCTGGAGTACAGTGGCGCAATCTCAGCTCACTGCAACCTCCATCTCCCGGGT
Source organism: Homo sapiens (assembly GCF_000001405.40). Taxonomy (NCBI): domain Eukaryota; kingdom Metazoa; phylum Chordata; class Mammalia; order Primates; family Hominidae; genus Homo; species Homo sapiens. The sequence continues at coordinate 75,484,764 of NC_000016.10, read as the reverse complement.
TCAAATGATTCTCCTGCCTCAGCTTCCCAAGTACCTGGGACTACAGGCACTCACCACCACACCCGGCTAATTTTTGTATTTTTAGTAGGGTTTTGTCATGTTGGTCAGGCTGGTCTCGATCTACTGACCTCTAGTGATCTGCCCGCCTCAGCCTCCCAAAGTGCTGGGATTACAGGCGTGAGCCACCATGCGTGGCTTAGAATTTTATACAACACCTATGTGTTAACTTTTCCAAAAAGTAAACATATAATAAATATGTGCCCCTCATCAAGGGAAGACTTTCAAGGGGGAGATAGGCCTTCCAGGATGGGAAAGGGCACTGGACAAAGGCTCAGGACTGCGACACCCACCACAGAGCCCTGCAGTGAGAGTCTGGTTCTTCGATGTATTTATGTATGTTTGTTTGTTTATTTATTTATTTACTTTTTGAGACGGAGTCTCGCTCTGTCACCCAGGCTGGAGTGCAGTGGTGTGATCTTGGCTCACTGCAACCTCCACCTCCTGGATTCAAGCAATTCTCCTGCCTCAGCCTCCCGAGTAGCTGGGACTACAGGTGCCTGCCATCATGCCTGGCTATTTTTATATTTTTAGTAGAGACGGGGTTTCACCATGTTGGTCAGGCTAGTCTCAAATTCCTGACCTTAGGTGATCCACCCGCCTCAGCCTCCCGAAGTGCTGGGTTTACAGGCGTGAGTCACCGCACACCCGGCCTATTTATTTATTTATTATTTATTTATTTTTGAGACAGGGTCTTTCTCCGTTTTCCAGGCTGGAGTGCAGTCACACAGTCTCTGCTCACTGCAACCTGTGCCTCCTAGGCTCAAGCAATCCTCCCACCTCAGCCTCCTGAGTAGTTGGGACTACAGGTCCGCGCCACTGCACTGGGCTAATTTTTGTATTTTTAGTAGAGATGGGGTTTGGCCATGTTGCCCAGGCTGGTCTTGAGCTTCTGGGCCCAAGCAATTCACCCGCCTCAGCCTCCCAAAGTGCCCTAATTACAGGCATGAGTTACCGTACCCGGCTGGCTCTTGGATTTAAGCCCCTGCCCTTCCTCCTTCTTACTGGATATTCATGTCTCTGAGCCCCACTGCTTCAATTAAAACAGAGAGGTATGGTCATTTCTGCCTCCCAGGGACTTGGGATGATAGCATTTAATCATGAAGACAGAAGTACCTATCACAGGGCCTGCCTGACTTGTTCTTCCTAATGTCAAAACCTTGGCCCAAATGTCTACTGTGCTGAACGTAAGGCTCCTATCAGAATGCTCTCAGCTAGGAACTGGTCTTCTGGAGACTCTGTGGCGTAGGATGATTCAACCACCTTCCTAGTTCTTGAGTTTCAGTAATAGGATCTCATAGCAGTTCCTGTAGTGTGTGAGTCACTTAAGAAGACCTCTGGCTTCCCTGGAACACAGGTAACAAATACCTTGGCTTGGGATCAAGATCCTCCCTACCCAGGGAAGGGCTGAGCTGGCCAGGACAACTGTGTTTGGGCCAGAGCAGCAGGGTCCTGCACTCTGCAGGGAGCAATCACAGGTGGGAGAAGCCCACAGCCTGGGATCAGAAGTGCCAGAAGCTTAGGAACAGGAGTCCTGGGGTCCCAGCTTTCTCGCTGTCTCTCCAAGCCTTGAGTCTTTCACCTGAAAAATTGACATCATCGTGCCCACCTCAGGGCCCGTTGAGTTAAGTCATCGCGTGGACTTGAAGCACCTAGCACTTGTGATCATTGAAGTCAGAAAATGAGTTCCCTTCTCTTTCGGCGCCCCATTGGCAGGAAGCCAACCATCGTCAGCCCACTGGCACTGGAGGAGCGTTGATCATGTGCAGAGCAGATGAGTGGCTACTCTCCCTGTCTTCCAGGTTTTCCCAGAGTGGCTGTGGGATCTGGAGTCGGCTGGTGACAGAGCTGCTGGGCATCCTCCACCCACCCCTGTTGCCTCCTGATGAGGGAAATGGGCAGAGAGGAGATCTGCTCACAAGTTAGACCCTGGCTTCTCTCAGTGGGCGATGTGGACAGGGGAAGGGGGCAGGCAAGGAGCAAAGGATGCAGGAGCAAGGAGAAAACTTCCAGGCTCCTCCCTTCCAAAGTCACCCAGCCTTGAGATCATTGCAGATGCAACAGGTGCAAACAGAAGAACACTTTGGGACCTTGGAATGCGGGAAGCTGGCTCAGTGTTCCTTCCACCCTGTGAGACATGTGTGACATTTTTGTTGTTGTTGCTGTTTTGAGACGGAGTTTCCCCCTTGTTGCCCAGGCTGGAGTGCAGTGGCATGATCTCGGCTCACCACAACCTCTGCTTCCCAGGTTCAAGTGATTTTCCTGCCTCAGCCTCCCTAGTACAGGCATGTGCCACAACGCCTGGCTAATTTTGTATTTTTAGGAGAGATAGGGTTTCTCCATGTTGGTCAGGCTGGTCTCAAACTCCCAACCTCAGGTGATCTGCCTGCCTTGGCCTCCCAAAGTGCTGGGATTACCAGCATGAACCTCCATACCCGACCTATGTGACATTCTTAAGGTCCACGAAAGGGCTGGTGGTTGGAGGCCAGAGGGTGGCCTGTGAGATACTGGGATTGGAAGAGTAGGTGGCCTGTGGGTGTCTCCTCTGGGGGGAGACTCCCCAGGGGGAGGGGTTCCTCCTCTCCAAACAGTAGCTCAGCACAGGGACAGTAACAGTAATGGGGGCATGTGTGTAAGGAATGCTTTCCCAGGCCCCCTCTTCATAGGTGTTTGCAGCAGCATCTCACAGCCCTAAGAGGTTAAATGTTGCACATCCCATCCTACAGAAGTGGAAATCGAGCCTCAGAGAAGTTGTGTCGCTTTTGGGGCTATCTTCCCCTGTAGAGTGTGACTCCATCGCCCTCCTGCTTTACCAGGTGCTGAGGAACCTCTAATCATCTCCCATGGATTTGTGATCAGCGTTGCAGCTCTCCCAGCAGCCCTGGACAGTGGTGAGTCCCCTCAGCTGGCCGGGACAGTCCTCTGCTCTCACCTCTCTGCTTCTCTGGCTCCATCCCAGCTCCGCCTCAGCTGGTCTCCTTGCAAACCCACAGGGCTCCAGGACATCCTCCCTCTGGAGCCCATGCTGCCTTCAGCACTTCACCCCCTACCGGTGATGGCAACAATTGGTGTTCTTTGTCCACTTTATTTATTGGCTCATTTTTTTGTTTTTGAGAAAGAGTCTCACTCTATTGCCCAGGCTGGAGTGCAGTGGCATAATCTCAGCTCACTGCAACCTCTGCCTCCCGGGTTCAAGCGATTTTCACGTCTCAGCCTACCAACTAGCTGAGACTACAGACATGCACCACCATGCCCAGCTAATTTTTGTATTTTTTTTGGTAGAGATGGGGTTTTACCATGTTGGCCAGGTTGGTGTCGAACTCCTGACTTCAGGTGATCTGCCCACCTCAACCTCCCAAATTGCTAGGATTACAGGCATGAGCCACTGTGCCTGGACTTATTTGCTCATTTTGATATTGTACTGTATGTTTTGAGTCAGAGTCTCACTCTATCGCCCAAGCTGGAGTGCAGTGGCATGATCAAAGCTCACTGCAACCTCAAACTCCTGGGCTCAAGCAGTCCTCCCACCTCAGCCTCCCGAATAGCAGGGACCACAGGCGCACTCCACCACACCTGGCTTTCCTTTTTTTGTTTTTTTTAATGTTTTTGTAGAGACAGGCAGGCTATCCATATGTTGCCCAGGCTGGTCTCAAACTTTTCGCCTCAAGGTATCCTCCCACCTCAGCCTCCTAAAGTGCTGGGATTACAGGCTTGAATCCCAGGCTCGCATCCTGCCTATTTGCTTCTTTTCTTTTCTTTTCTTTTTTTTTTTTTTTTTTTGGAATGAAGTTTTGCTCTTGCCCAGGCTGGAGTGCAATGGCGCGATCTCGTCTCACTACAACCTCTGCCTCCCGGGTTCAAGCGATTCTCCTGCCTCAGCCTCCTGAGTAGCTGGGGATTACAGGTGCCCGCTACCACGCCCGGCTAATTTTTGTATACTTAGTAGACATGATGTTTCACCATGTTGACCAAGCTGGTCTTGAACTTCTGACTTCAGGTGATCCACCCACCTCGGCCTCCCAAAGTGCTGGGATTACAGGCGTGAGCCACCACGCCCAGCGCCTATTTGCTTATTTTCAATAAGAAAAGTTATTTTCCATAAGAAAAGTTATACCTGTCTATTTAAAAAAAAAAAAATCATACACTGCAGAAGCACACGCTGTAGCAAGGGCACTCTTCAGTTAGGGACATTACTACATGTCTCTCCTGTCCATCCAGGATATTCAAACATGTTCCCATTTTCCAATAATCCACTTAAATCCTGTATTATGTGCTGGTATCATCTCCCTTTTGCAGATGGGTAAACTGAGTCACGGGGCGATCCAATATTTTGTTCAAGATCACAGGCTATGTATGTCAGTGTAGTGTGGGAGATTAAAAAAGGAAAAAGACCACAGGCTACGGAGTGGAAGAGCCTCAGGGAGCCTGGCCGTGCTGTGACATCCACCAGAGCGCCCATCAGTTCAACAACCTAAAAGAGTTTCCTTACAGGAATTCTTAAGCAAAAGACAGGAATTCCGTTTGAAATATATTTCCCTCTCCAAATAGACAATGGTAATGTGGGTAGGTAGAACTAAGAAGGTAGGACTCACATTAAGAAGGTAGGACTCACATTAAGAAGGTAGGACTCACATGTAGACAGATTTCCGACCGCATTCTGCATTTGTACTTTTGCTCTCAGCTAGACTGGATCCTGAGTTATGTCTTAAGGCCACATTTCCGGGAGAGCTCCCCACTGAGACCATCATGTTCATGGGATGCTCGGGTCTGGTGGTAGAATCTGCCCCCTGCGGGCACTGGGCAGTGGGGTACGGGATGGGCGTGCAGGCTGCAGCCCCTAACCGCTGCGCTCTCCTCCCTAAGGCCCCCAGCAGTCAGCATGTGGCTGCCGCGCGTCTCCAGCACAGCAGTGACCGCGCTCCTCCTGGCGCAGACCTTCCTCCTCCTCTTTCTGGTTTCCCGGCCAGGGCCCTCGTCCCCAGCAGGCGGCGAGGCGCGCGTGCATGTGCTGGTGCTGTCCTCGTGGCGCTCGGGCTCGTCCTTCGTGGGCCAACTCTTCAACCAGCACCCCGACGTCTTCTACCTAATGGAGCCCGCGTGGCACGTGTGGACCACCCTGTCGCAGGGCAGCGCCGCAACGCTGCACATGGCTGTGCGCGACCTGGTGCGCTCCGTCTTCCTGTGCGACATGGACGTGTTTGATGCCTATCTGCCTTGGCGCCGCAACCTGTCCGACCTCTTCCAGTGGGCCGTGAGCCGTGCACTGTGCTCGCCACCCGCCTGCAGTGCCTTTCCCCGAGGCGCCATCAGCAGCGAGGCCGTGTGCAAGCCACTGTGCGCGCGGCAGTCCTTCACCCTGGCCCGGGAGGCCTGCCGCTCCTACAGCCACGTGGTGCTCAAGGAGGTGCGCTTCTTCAACCTGCAGGTGCTCTACCCGCTGCTCAGCGACCCCGCGCTCAACCTACGCATCGTGCACCTGGTGCGCGACCCGCGGGCCGTGCTGCGCTCCCGGGAGCAGACAGCCAAGGCTCTGGCGCGTGACAACGGCATCGTGCTGGGCACCAACGGCACGTGGGTGGAGGCCGACCCCGGCCTGCGCGTGGTGCGCGAGGTGTGCCGTAGCCACGTACGCATCGCCGAGGCCGCCACACTCAAGCCGCCACCCTTTCTGCGCGGCCGCTACCGCCTGGTGCGCTTCGAGGACCTGGCGCGGGAGCCGCTGGCAGAAATCCGTGCGCTCTACGCCTTCACTGGGCTCAGTCTCACGCCACAGCTCGAGGCCTGGATCCATAACATCACCCACGGATCTGGACCTGGTGCGCGCCGCGAAGCCTTCAAGACTTCGTCCAGGAATGCGCTCAACGTCTCCCAGGCCTGGCGCCATGCGCTGCCCTTTGCCAAGATCCGCCGCGTGCAGGAACTGTGCGCTGGTGCGCTGCAGCTGCTGGGCTACCGGCCTGTGTACTCTGAGGACGAGCAGCGCAACCTCGCCCTTGATCTGGTGCTGCCACGAGGCCTGAACGGCTTCACTTGGGCATCATCCACCGCCTCGCACCCCCGAAATTAGTGGAGGCCACAGTTGTAGCAGGCGCTAGGCCCGGGAGGAGAGTGCATGGTGCAGAGGGGGCTGGGGCGCACGGAGAAGCAGGTCCCTATATTGACCAAGGAGTTTGTGGTACGACCCCTCCCCCTCCCCAAGTAGGCAAGGACTGCACGTTTCTTTCTCTCTTGATTCTTGGTTTTCCTTTGAGTCCTCTGGAGCTGCCTTCTCATCAGGTGCACTCTTCATGGAAAGCAACTCTTGCCCCTCCTCCTCTGGGCACAGGGTGTGCGTTCAGATGACTTGGCTCCTACTCAAGGGCTTTCTTCCCCTTTAACTCTCTCCTTCTGGTGACACATCCTGCAGCAGCTGAGGGGGTGCCCTGGCACTGGCTGGGAGTGGAGAGGCACTGTGGTGAAATGGCTCCAGAGGTCTGTACATCACATACATATGCACACAGGCACACATGGCAAAACTCGGAAGTGAAAGGACTTGTCTGAAATCACATGGTGAGAAGGAGGATGAAGGGAGGAGAGAGCTTTTGCTCTGGGTCTCCAGTGGATAGGAGAGGACCTGCCTCCTGGGTGAGAAGGGTCAGATTTTCCTATTTTAATTGCTTTAGGGAAGAGCAAGCAGAGTCATGACCAGGGACACAGCTGAGAGATAGAGGAGGCTGTGAATGCTGAGACCAGAGTTTATCATGCTGGACAAGCCTGGAAGGAGGCAATAAGTGGGAAAGGTAGGAGGAGAGAAGGCTGGGGAGGGCTGGGCAGCAAGCCAGGCACAGTGAGTGGCAGAGCAAGAGGGGGAAAGCAGGATCAGTGCCTGGAAGGCAGGTGTGCCCGTCAGCGGGGAGTGGAACTCATCAGGCTTGCCAAGAGGTTGGAAGGGAAATGGCTCTGGGCTGGAACTGTCTTCCCTTGGTCCTTCTGGTCCAGGCCTTGGAGGAAAGCAGAGGATGATCCCTGCCTGTGAGCCACACCTCCTAGCTCTGGGGGCAAAGGGGCTTAGTAAAGGAATGCTGGATGTGTAGAGGGTTTAGTCCCGAGCTCAGGAAATGAGAGCCTATAAGTGCCCAGTACATGTTTAAAAGAAGAGCTCATGGAACCTCTGGAAAGGACAGGGAAGTTGAGTTAGCCACATAAATGAACCCAAGTCACATTGGAACACAGAGCTGGTCTGGGAACTGTGTTGGCTGCCAACAGAACTTCTGACCCTGTTACCTGTGAAATGAGGCAGTTTCCCTCACGTTGCCATCAGCTACCAGGAGCGATGCTGGTGGTCACTAGCTTCTGATCCTCATCCTGGGTGTGGCCACAGATTGGGGGAACCTGGATTGTGGAGTCACATCCTCCCTGCAAAGCAAGCAGGGCAAGGGAGATCTGGCATTTTCTGCTTTACGTGGAGGGAGAACAGGCACATTAGCCTTGAAGCTGAAGCTCATTTTAGGTTCCTTCCAGGTTTAGAAGCTTCAACCAAATGAAACTTGAATCTGTCCCTCGTGACAATTATAGGAGGAAGGTATTTAAAACCCCAGATTTATGAATGTGTACTACATGGCTTAGAGAATGTCTTTGTTCTTGTTCAGGTGGTTATAACAAAATACCTTAAGAGTGGGTAACTTGGCTGGATGCAGTGGCTCATGCCTGTAATCCCAGCACTGTGGGAGGCCGAGGGGGATGAATCACCTGAGGTCAGGCATTCAAGAACAGCCTGGCCAACATGGCGAAGCCCCTCCTCTACTAAAAATACAAAATTAGCGAGGCATGGTCGCACATACCTGTAATCCCAGCTCCTCGGGAAGCTGAGGCAGGAGAATCGCTTGAACCCAGGAGGCGGAGGTTGCAGTGAGCCAAGATCACGCCATTGCACTCCAGCCTGGGTGACAGAGCAAGACTCCATCTCAAAAAAAAAAAAAAGACTGGGTAACTTATAAACAAATGTTCTTCTCACAAGTCTGGAGACTGGGAAGTCCAAGATCAAGCCACCAGTGCTGTCTGATGAGGGCCCACTTTTTCAAAGACAGTGCCTTCTAGCTGTGTCCTCTTATCGTAGAAGATGGGAGACAGCTCTCCAGGGCCATTTTTTTTTTTTTTTTTTTTTTTTTGAGATGGAGTCTGGCTCTGTCGCCCAGGCTGGAGTGCAGTGGCACAATCTCGGCTCACTGCAACCTCTGCCTCTCTCTGCCTCCTGAGTTCAAGCAATTCTCCTGCCTCAGCCTCCTGAGGAGCTGGGACTACAGGGATGCACCACCATGCCCAGCTAATTTTTGTATTTTTGTAGACACTGGGTTTCACCATATTGGCCAGGTTGGTCTCAAACTCCTGACCTCAAGTGATCTGCCCACCTCAGCCTCCCAAAGTGCTGAGATTACAGGCATGAGCCACTGTACCCAGTCTCCAGGGCCTTTTAAAGAATGTCACTAATCCCATTCTTGAGGTCTCCACCTTCATTATCTAATCACCTCCCAAAGGCTCCACATCCCAACACCATCATATTGTGGGTTAAGATTTCAACCACAAGCCAGGCGTGGTGGCTCATGCCTGTAATCCCAGCATTTTGGAAGGCTGAGGCAGGTGGATCACTTGAGGTCAGGAGTTTGAGACCAGCCTGGCCAACATGGTGAAACCCCATCTCTACTAAAAATAAAAAAAATTAGCCGGGTGTGGTGGTGCACACCTGTAATTCCAGCTACTCAGGAGGCTGAGGCAGGAGAATCCCTTGAATCCAGGAGGCGGACAGTGCAGTGAGCCGAGATAATGCCACTGCACTCCAGCCTGGATGACAGAGCAAGACTCCATCTCATGCCCAGCCAGCATGCCCAACAAGCTTCATTTGCCCCTGTTTAGGTCACAAATTTTATTGATGGCTGCAATTAATGGCCTCTTGGTATCCAAGTCCTTTGTTGTATGACCCATCCATTCTCCCCTGACTCCCAAGGTGTCAGGACATGCTTGACTGGCTCCTGAATTTGCTCTCTGCGCATGGGCAGTACAGTCAAGCCTCACAGTGAACCCAGGTCAGCTTTCAGGACAAAGAAAGTGGCCTGGCTGACTAGGCACAGTAAAGCCAGGGCTGGGTAGGTACATACTTGTGCTGATCACGTATGTCTTATATCTCTGTGAGAGTGCAGTCCCAACAGGAAGGTTTAATCACTGGGGACTGCCCAATGCTGTGACAGGGCACAGAGCTCTGGGTTGCTGTGGGGGTGACTGCATTGACCACTGTTAGTGGTTTGCTGTGTTGACACTCTGTGCTGTGTGACCATGGCTCCTGCCATCAAGAAGTAGAGTCTGTTTCTCCACCTCTGAATCCAGGCTGGTCCTGTGACTTGCTTTGTCCTGTAGACAAGTGTAGTGCAACTTCCTGTGAGCCAGTTTGAAGCATAGGCCTTGGAAGCAAAACTTTACCTCCACCTGTCTTAGGTTTTCAGCTGGGGCTCTGCTGTGATTTGATTGTGTCTCCCAAAGTTGGAACCTTGATCCCCAGTGTTGTGAGGTGAGGCTTGATGGAAAGTAAATTACGCCGTGCGGGTTATGCCCTTGTGAATGGGTAGAGAACATTATTTCTGGGCGCAGGCATGGTAGCTCATGTCTGTAATCCCAGCATTTTGGGAGGTTGAGGTGTGCGGATTACTTGAGGTCAGGAGTTTGAGACCAGCCTGGCCAACAAGGTAAAACACCATTTCTAGTTAAAATACAAAAATTAGCCAGGTGTGGTGGCACATGCCTGTAAGGCCAGCTACTTGGGAGGCTGAGACAGGAGAATCGCTTGAACCCAGGAGGCAGAGATTGCAGTGAGCTGAGATCGCACCACTGTACTCCAGCCTGGGCAACAAAGCGAGAGTCTGTCTTAAAAAAAACCACCATTATTTCAGGAGTGAGTTGGTTATCCTGAGAGTGGTGCCTTTTAAATGAAGGAGTTCATTCTTTGTCTTTCTCTCGCCCTCACTTTGCCCTTCTGCCATATGATGCCTTCCATCATGCTAGGACACAGCAAGAAGGCTCTCGCTAGATGCTGGCTCCTTGATCTTGGGCTTCCCAGCCTCCAGAACTGTAAGCCAATACACTTCTATTTATTATATATGACCCTTGCTGGGTTCAGTGGCTCACGCCTGTAATCCCAATACTTTGCAAGGCTGAGGCAGGAGGATCACTTGAGACCAGGCACTCAAGACCAGCCTGGGCAACATAGTGAGACCCCATCTCTACAAAGTTAAAAAAAAATTAGCAGGGCATGGTGTCGTGCACCTGTAGTCCTAGCTACTTGGGAGGCTGAGTTGGGAGGACTGCTTGACCCTGGGAGGTTGAGGCTACATTGAACCATGATCATGCCAGTGCACTCCAGCCTGAGTGACAGAGCAAGACACCTATCTCTAAATAAATGACCCCATCTGTGGTATTGTTATAGCAAAACAAAACAGATTAAGAGAGACTTTTTAATGAAAAGACAGATTCACAAAGAAAAACAATGTTTTTGTTTCTGTTTTTTTGAGGCAGAGTCTTGCTCTTGTCCCCCAGGCTGGAGTGCAGTGGCGCCATCTTGGCTCACTGCAACCTCCGCCTCCCAGTTTCAAGCGATTCTCCTGCCTCAGCCTCCCGAGTAGCTGGGATTACAGATGTACACCACCACGCCCGGCTAATTTTTTTTGTATTTTTAGTAGAGATGGGGTTTCACCATGTCGATCAGGCTGGGCTGGAACTCCTGACCTCAGGTGATCCACCTGCCTTGGCCTCCCAATGTGCTAGGATTACAGGCATGAGCCACTGTACCTGGCGAAAAACAGTTTGTTAACACAGGCAGCCAACATCACTCAGGATAAGCCTCAATGAAAAGTAACAAAGTGATGGCTTGGAACACTGTCTTACACAGCATTTTTAAAAAATACAATAAATTTGTAGAGATAGGATGACCAAGGACAACAGTTTTAGGCTTCCAAAGGTGGTAAACTATGGGATGGTAAATATCCGAGAGGAAGCTGATGCAACAGGATTTGTCTGCAGCAGCCTCTGGTACCACCTCTGAGTCAAGGGTTGTGTCCAGTGATGGAGAGTTTATATCGTGCCTTTAGGCAGAAAAGGGGAGGGAAACCTGAACTTTTCCTGCACTTTCTGCTTCTTAATTGCCTTCAGCTGAAAATCATTTTTTATGTGAAAAAGGCATAGTCTGAGCTGACGCCTCTGCTTTCCTCCACCTGAAGAGAACCTGCGTGCTGCTCCTTTGCTTCGGACCTCCGCCTCTGCCCGGGAGAAAGCCCAGGCCAGCCTGCTGGACAAGCAGAGACCATGAGAAGGAGAGTTCAGGGGTCCCAAACCAGGCCATCCTAGACCAGCCAGCTCCAGCTGATCCGCACGCAGCCACTTCGGCTACCTTCTACTGGCCAAAGGGAGTCCCAGGGCTCACCCAGATTCAGAGGTGGGGAAACTGAGTCCACCACTTGAGAAGAGTAGCTATAAAGACATATGAGCGAGGCCAGCTGAGCCCAGCACTGCGGCCAAGTCGAAGACTTTAGGAGCAATAAAAGTGCTTATTGTGTTTCAGTCATTTGAGTGTTGTGGTGGTTTGTTACGTAGCATTGCCTAACCGATACACTTGAGAACGGAGGGCTCCTGGCACCTGCAGCTTCCAATTTCCACCAGGGTCCAGGCTCCCTCCCTGCTGGTAGGGCTGTAATTAGTGTCTCCCCTTACCTGTAGGCCCTGTGATGCAGCTAGAAGTGTCTAGGCCCAGCAGTCACCCACAATTAGGGGCAGGCACGCTTGCTGCCTCTGCTCTGGCTGTGGGAGCTCAGAAGGGGCAATCAAAGCACTAGATGGGCTGATGGGTGCATAGAAACAGTGTTGCCTGGAATAGGTCAGAGAACCCACCTATCAAGAGGCTGTTGGGGAATCAATGGTGGGCCTTATTTTTGTTATTTTGCATCAAGAAGATATATTATCCACATCAACACTGTATCAACTCCTCATGGCCACCACAGACCCTGTGTCCCCTAGCTTTGTCTTTGATGTGCCTTTGTCACCCACTCCTACAGACTGCGCCCCACCACTGCCACAACTGCCCCATCACCTCTACAGGGTTAAATCAATGGTTTTAATTTTTGCCTACCTGATGGGTGAAAAATGTTACTTGATGTTTCAGTCTGCACTTCTTTAATTCCTGGGGCAGCTGAACATCTTTTCATGCTTATGACTCAACTGTATTCCTTTTTCATTGTTCAAGGCTGTGCCCATGTTGCTGTTGACTTACCACAGCCTCTTTTGAATATGCTTTGTTATTTTTGTTGTGCAAATGGTTTCTCCTAGCTTGTCATCTGTTTTTTGTTGTTGTTGTTTTGTTAACTTACTTTATGGCATTTTCCCCTCAGGCTTCTTAAAAAAAAAGAAGCTTCATTGAGCTATAATTGATATACAACATCTGCACATAAAGTGTAAAGTTTGATTAAACATTTGTATATACCTGTGAAATCAAATCACCACCTCATCACAATCAAATTTCAAAAAGTTTCACCTAGTTTATCATATTGTTGAATGTGAATCCTTTCCTTATGGCCAGTGGATTTTATGTCTTGTTGAAACGACTTTGTCCTGCTACAGTGATAAAAATGGTCTTCACGCTTGCTTCCAGTACTTTAGTAGTCTAGTGTTTTACGCTTGGATCTAAATTGCATGCAATATTCCTGATCGGTGCGAGTCATCAGTTCTCCCAGCGCCCTCTACTGAATGATCTCACTCATCACACACTGAAACCACCATGGGCTGGAATCTGTCCCTCACCCACAGGCCCACTCCACACCAGTGGATCAGGCGAGCAATTTCTTTAGGTCGAGTGACCCCTATGCTGAGGTCCAGTGGGTTATCCCGACTACCTTCACAAGTTAATGGATTTAGATTTAAGCACCACCTGCCCCCAGCAGATTCTCTTACAATTTAAATATCCTCTCACAGTGCAAATCCTTATTCTGTGAATGACTCTATTCAGACCATGTTCCTTAAGAACCAGAGCTAGGCTGGGTGCAGCTGTAATGCTAGCAATTTGGGAGGCCAAGGTGGGCAGATTGCGTGAGCTCAGGAGTTCGA